>NT_187614.1:319674-639349 GCF_000001405.40 Homo sapiens | reverse complement strand
TACCCACCTATCAACATTACTAAATGAAGACTTACGTTCACATGAAAACCTGTGTGATGTTTCTAACAGTTTTATTCATAATAACCTACAAGTGGAAATAACTGAGATTATCTTTCAGCAAATAAGTAAACAAAGTGCAGTATAACCGTAACAAACACTAAGCAACAACCCGGAGGAATCTCCAAGGAATTAAACTTAGTGTAAAAAACTCAATCCCAGAAAATTACATGTTGTTTTGTTTTGTTTTGTTTTTAGACCAGAATCTCATTCTGTCACCCAGGGTGGAGTGCAGTGGTGCAATCTCGGCTCACTGCAACCTCCACCTCCTGGGTTCAAGCAATTCTCATGTCTCAGCCTCCCAAGCAGCTGGGATTACAGGTTAATCCCTGTAATTTTTGTATTTTCAGTAGAGACAGGGTTTCACCATGTTGGCCAGGCTGGTTTCCAACTCCTGACCTCAAGTAACCCACCCACCTCAGCCTCCCAAGGTGCTGGGATTACAGGCGTGAGCCAGGCACCTGGCCTTCAGAAAATTACAAGTTCTATCATCCCATTTATATAACATCCTTGAGATAACAAAATTACCAAAATGAGGAATACATTAGCAGTTACGACTAAGTCTGGCGGCAGGAGGAAAGCAGGTGTGGCTATAAAAGCACAACAGGAAGGGAGAGGATTCTGGGAAGATGGTGCAATAGGAAGCACCAGGAACCTGAGGTCGGGAGTTCAAGACCAGCCTGGCCAACATGGACAAACCCCGTCTCTACTAAAAATACAAAATTAGTCGGGCGTGGTGGTGCATGCCTGTAATCCCAGCTACTCAGGAAGCTGAGGCAGGAGAATTGCTCCAATCCAGGAGGCGGAGGTTGCCGTGAGCCAAGATCGCGCCATTGCACTCCAGCCTGGGCAGCAAGAGTGAAACTCCATCTCAGAAAAAAAAAAAAAAAAAAACAAGTATATATAAGTCAGCAATGAAGAAAATGCAGGACTTGTACACAGAAAAATCATAAAACTTTACTGAAGTAAACTGAAGACAACATATATAAATGGAAAGACATTTCATGTTCTTGGATTGCAACACCTTAATGTTGCTAAGATGTTACTACTCCAAAGCAATCTACACATTCAATAAAATCCCTGTCAAAATCCCAAGAATGTTTTTTGCAGAAATTAAAAAAAAATACATTCTAAAACTCATGTAGAATCTCAAGGGACCTCAAATAGTCAAAACAATCTTGAAAAAGAATAAATTTGAAGACATCACACTTCGTGATTTCAAAACTTACTACAAAGCTACAGTAATCAAAACAGTGTTGCCAGGCTTGGTGGCTCATGCCTGTAATCCCAGCACTTTGGGAGGCCGAGGCGGACGGATCACCTGAGGTCGGGAGTTTGAGACCAGCCTAATCAACATAAAGAAACCCCGTGTCTACTAAAAATACAAAAATTAGCCGGGTGTGGTGGCACATGCCTGTAATCCCAGCTACTCGGGAGGCTGAGGCAGGAGAATCGCTTGAACCCAGGAGGCAGAGGTTGCAGTGAGCTGAGATCAGGCCACTACACTCCAGCCTGGGCAACAAGAATGAAACTCCACCTCAAAAAAACAAAAACAAAAACAAAACACAGTGTTGTACTGGCATAAAAACAGAGCACTGAAAGAGAATAGAGAGTTCAAAAATAAACTCTCGCTTATATGGTGAAGTGATTTTCAACAAAAGTGCCAGGATCATTCAGTGGGAAAGAGACTCTTTTCAACAAATAATTTTGGGAAAACTGCATTATCTACATGCAAAAGAATGTAGGTGGACACTTCTCTTACACCGCACACAAAAATTGACTCAAAATGGATCAAAGACCTAAACATAAGAGCTACATCTGGTGGCCGGGCGCGGTGGCTCACGCCTGTAATCCCAGCACTTTGGGAGGCCGAGGCGGGCGGATCACGAGGTCAGGAGATCGAGACCATCCCGGCTAAAACGGTGAAACCCCGTCTCTACTAAAAATACAAAAAATTAGCCGGGCGTAGTGGCGGGCGCCTGTAGTCCCAGCTACTTGGGAGGCTGAGCCAGGAGAATGGCGTGAACCCGGGAGGCGGAGCTTGCAGTGAGCCGAGATCCCGCCACTGCACTCCAGCCTGGGCGACAGAGCGAGACTCCGTCTCAAAAAAAAAAAAAAAAAAAGAGCTACATCTGGGCCGGGCATGGTGACTCACACCTGTAATCCCAGCATGTTGGGAGGTCGAGGCAGGTGGATCACGAGGTCAGGAGATCGAGACCATCCTGGCAAACACGGTAAAACCCCGTCTCTACTAAAACTACTAAAAAACTAGCTGGGCATGGTGGCAGGCGCCTGCAGTCCCAGCTATTCAGGAGGCTGAGGCAGGAGAATGGCGTGAACTGGGGAGGCAGAGCTTGCAGTGAGCTGAGATCGTGCCACTGCACTCCAGCCTGGGCAACAGAGTGAGACTCTGACTCAAAAATAAATAAATAAATAAATATAAAAATAAAAATGTCAACAAATTTGCTCAACTATAACAGAAAAAGAAAGCTTACAAGAGAATGTAGAGCTCATAGTTTCTACTTAGTGTTTGTTAGATAAATGGTTTAAATGGACTGAAAATCCTGAAAAACTGCTTGAATCATAAAGAATCTTTGAAATATTATGGAAGCATTTTCTAGCTTGTTTCTTGAAACCTCTGAAAAAAACCTCCTCATGTATCAATACAAGCTAACCTGCTTTACAGAAATCAGAAGAAAACCATGGCTGGGCACGGTGGCTCACGTCTATAATGCCAGCACTTTGGGAGGTCGAGGTGGGCGGATCACGAGGTCAGGAGTTCGAGGCCAGCCTGGCCAACATGGTGAAACCCCTGCTCTACTAAAAATACAAAAATTAGCCAGGCATGCTGGCAGGCGCCTGTAATCCCAGCTCCTTGAGAGGCTAAGGCAGGAAAATAGCTTGAACCTCGGAGGCAGAGATTGCAGTGAGCCGAGATCGCACCACTGCACTCCAGCCTGGGACCCAGCGAGACTCTGTCTCAAAAAAAAAAAAGAAAAAAAGAAAACTATGTATTTTATTACATGTACACATTTGTCTTTCATATACTTGTAACTCAGAAAACCATGCTTTCACAAATGTAATAATAGAAATACAATAATATTAGCAATCATAACATTTGTGAAAGTGTAAAGAATAAACTGGCCAGATGCTGTCTCTTACACCCTAGAACCCAGGTTCTGGTCAAGGCTTGTCTTGGTTGTATGAACTCACTTCATGGACCTGTCATAAGGCTCAAAAGAGATACTGTAAACAAAAGCATCTTGTAAACTGCATAAGCCTGTAGATTTGTGGTCCATCTAAATCCAGGCACTTTAACGACTGATAGCTGTCCCCCCAGAACCTCCTTTCTCGATTCTTAACATAAACAACTTATACTTCCAAGTCCAGTTCAAAAGTTATATTCTTGGAAGCCTCCGCGTCCCTCCTGTCCATCCAGGCAGAACTAATCCATCTACACTCTAGTATTTTGCTCTCATAACTCTTGGCTCTTCCCCAGTTCATTCAAGAGTGTAACGAGCAGTTAAAATATGTCAGACATCATGCTATGCACTGGAGAAAAAATCTTAAATGTGTGAAGCTTACAAAGCTTTTTCACACACATTATCTCATTTCATACTTTAAAAATATCCCATAGGATCATGATTATGTGTTTACAATTTCTCTAACCAGAATAAATTCCCAGGGGGTAGAGACTAAGTGTGATTCATCTTTGATTCCCCAGAGTCTAATGCAGTGTCTGGCACCCAGAAGGCACCCATTAAGCACTTGATAAATGAATGAGTAAAGGAGTAACAAACACTTGTTCGATTACTAAAATGTCAATCAGGGTTAACACTGAAATAATCTTTCCACAAAGTTTCCACAGGGGAGAGGGGAAAAATACATTATATTATATACAAACACATCTGGGGAGCGAAAATTCCTCCCTATAGCAGAGCATCTCCAACTCAAGTTTAACTGTTTAACAAAGCCACATAGCAACTGAGGATGGATTTGATTTTACTACTGGACTAACAAGCTCTTAGTGAAGAACAATGAGTTCTGCATAAAAGCTCCTATGTAGATCATTCTGCTTGGTAAAACTGGACATTATTACACAAATATTAAAATAAACACTTAAAGAGCTTCTGCACAGCAAAAAAAAAAAAAAATCATCAGAGGGAACAGGCAACCTACAGAATGGGAGAAAATGTTTGCAATCTATCCATCTGAGAAAGGTCTAATATCCAGAATCTATAAGGAATTTAAACAGATTTATAAGAAAAAAAAACCATCAAAAAGAGGGTGAAGGATATGAACAGACATTTCTCAAAAGAAGATATTTATGCGGCCAACAAACATATGAAAAAAAGCTCATCATCACTGCTCATTAGAGAAATGCAAATCAAAACCACAATGAGATACCATCTCACGCCATTTAGAATGGTGATCATTAAAAAGTCAGGAAACAACAGATGCTGGAAAGGATGTGGGGATACAGGCATGCTTTTACACCGTTGGTGGGAGTGTAAATTAGTTCCATCATTACCAAAGACTGTGGCGATTCCTCACAGTGACCAATTGAAATTATATTTTACATGTAATAAAACCATTTTCTATTTACAAAAATCAAATAAATTCTCGTAAAGCAAACACGCCTCCATTTATTTCCCACTTTTTGCACAAAATTGGATTTTCACTGTAACTGAGGTGTGCTAAATGCATGGTTAATCTAGTGTCAGCATCATCTTCCTATAAATTACAGATGCCTTCTGTGAGCAGGTCTCCTGCAGGCTCATGTATGTTGTATTTTGAAATCTACTTTAGAGGATATTTTAAGACTTTTAGAACCAGAAATACCATTTGACCCAGCAATCCCATTACTGGCTATATATGCAAAGGATTGTAAATCATTCTACTATAAAGACACATGCACATGTATGTTTATTGCAGCACTATTTACAATAGCAAAGACTTGGAACCAACCCAAATGCCCATCAAGGATAGACTGCATAAAGAAAATGTGGCACATATACACCATGGAATACTATGCAGCCATAAAAAAGAATGAGTTCATGTCATTTTCAGGGACATGGATGAAGCTGGAAACCATCATCTCAGCAAACCAACACAGGAACAGAAAACCAAACACCACATGTTCTCACTCAAAAGTGGGAGTTGAACAATGAGAACACATGGGCACAGGGAGGGGAACATCACACACCAGGGCCTGTCAGGGGATGGCGGGCAAGGGGAGGGATAGCATTAGGACATATACTTAATGCATGTGGGGCTTAAAACCTAGACGACAAGTCGATAGGTGCAGCAAACCACCATGGCACATGTATACCCATGTAACAAACCTGCACGTTCTGCACATGTATCCCAGAACTTAAAGTATAATTTTAAAAAATTTAAAAAATAAAAAATAAAATAAAGTCTTGTTTCAGGGTAATATTAATTTGCGTTACCACCTATTTCAACACGGCAGACAATTGTACCATCTGAGACAAATGGAGCTTTGACATGAAATCTTAAAATACCCCATAAATGGTGGCCGGGCGCGGTGGCTCACACCTGTAATCCCAGCACTTTGGGAGGCCGAGGCGGGCAGATCACAGGGTCAGTAGATCGAGACCATCCTGGCTAACACGGTGAAAACCCGTCTCTACTAAAAGTACAAAAAATTATCGGGGCGTGGTGGCAGGAGCCTGTAGTCCCATCTACTCCTGAGGCTGAGGCAGGAGAATGGCGTGAACCCGGGAGGTGGAGCTTGCAGTGAGCCAGATCGGGCCACTGCACTCCACCCTGGTCAACAGAGCCAGACTCCATCTCAAAAAAAAAAAAAAAAAAAAAAATACCGCATGAATGGATTGATAGACAAAAAGCGAAAAAATCCAATGCTACCAGCTCTCATAAGCTCAAAATTCAATTCTCTACTCTACAAAAATCCCTGGTATAAGTGAGAGATATACTTCAAGATCTTTGCATATTCCAAAGTTTATGGCTATTACTGCCACAGAGCTTCTTCCATAAACTTCAAACGTTTGCACTGAAGAGCACTGTGTCTGGGGACTACTTTACTATCACTAGCTTCATAATGGTGTTTTCTCCTTGGTGTAATATTTCACAAGGAGACAAAGAATACGTATGTGTGTATGTGAATCATTCATGCTAGTTACCACGTAAATAACAACAAGCAGCAAATACGAAGTTAAAAGTGAAGTTGCAGTGTAAATGCTGCTGTCCAGATGGGTGAGGCTTACTCATCCGCCAAGCGAAGTCCTCAACCTCGCCTCCACCGCACACAGCGTTCAAGTTTCCATCTCAACAGAACTTACGCATCATGAACCTTTACGGTTCATAAACAGTTGAGAAAGCTAACATCAAATTCTTGCATGCCAAGAGTCTACAAATTATTCCATTCACAGATGTTATAATCGGATTTTTTTTTTTTTTTTTTTTTTTTTTTTTGATACGGAGTCTTGCTCTCACCCAGACTATAGTGCAGTGGCGCGACCTCGGCTCACTGCAACCTCCGCCTCCGGGGTTCAAGCAATTCTCCTGCCTCAGCCTCCCGAGTAGCTGGAATTACAGACACGCGCCACCATACCCGCTACTTTTTTGTATTTTTAGTAGAGACGGTGTTTCACTATATTGGCCAGGCTGGTTTTGAACTCCTGACCTCAAGTGATCCGCCCACCTCAGCCTCCCCAAGTGCTGGGATTACAGGCGTGAGCCACCTCGCCCGACTCTGATCATTACTTAATTAGGATAAAACCATTCCTTAGAAAGGTCATTCAATTCTGATGATTGTATATCTCATATTTTTCAAATACTCTCATTGTTAATAAGCATTTCACTCCACTAAGGCTACCCTGGCATCAAACGTATTTCAGATTTGGCCAGGCTCGGCAGCTCATGCCTGCAATCCCAGCATTCTGGGAGGTCGAGGCGGGTGGTTCACCTGAGGTCAGGAGTTGGAGACCAGGCTGGCCAACATGGCAAAACCCCATCTCTACTAAAACTACAAAAAATTAGCTGGGCGTGGTGGCAGGTGCCTGTAATCTTAGCTACTCGGGAGGTTAAGGCAGGAGAATCCCTTGAACCTGGGAGGGAGAGGTTGCAGTGAGCCGAGATTGCACCCCACTGCACTCCAGCCTGGGCGACAGAGCAAGACTCCATCTCGAAAATAATAATAATAAAATACAGTGAGGTGTTTTTTTTTGTTTGGTTGGTTTTTTGGGGTTTTTTTTGTGTGTTTTTTTGACCGAGTCTCGCTCTGTCACCCAGGCTGGAGTGTGGTGGCGCGGTCTCAGCTCACTGCAAGCTCCGCCTCCCGGGTTCACGCCATTCTCTTGCCTCAGCCTCCCTAGTAGCTGGGACTACAGGCGCCCGCCACCACGCCCGGCTAATTTTTTGTATTTTTAGTAGAGACGGAGTTTTACCATGTTAGCCAGGATGGTCTCGATCTCCTGACCTCGTGATCCGCCCACCTCGGCCTCCCAAAGTGCTGGGATTACAGACGTGAGCCACCATTCCCGGCCCAACACAATGAGTTTTAATAGACAGAGTCAGGTGACATTCATCTATCTAGTCCTACACGCCATTTTGGCATTGAAGGGTTCCACAGGGCTGGAGTCACTTAGCTCTAGGTGCACAATTCTAGTGTATGAGTATACTTTTCTATTCTAAAGCCGCAATGAGCAAAATGGGTCAGTGTAATTGTAGAATTCATCTTCTACATATCAAGCACTGTAATAGGTAAACATTTTATATACATCCTCTCTAATCTTTGCAACATTCCACAAAGTAAGGGTTATTTTACCCATTGAAAAATCACTGGAAAGTCAGAGGATTTAGGGCCATTGCCCCCAACATCTACAGCCCACACCAAGATTTGAACCCAGATCTCTCTGGTTTCAAAACCCTGCCCTAATCATTTCACTGTATTACCAATCCAAGGAATAAATAAAGTTAAGGTATCTTAGTCAGATAAAAGTGGCAAATTAGACCAGGCGTGGTGGCTCACGCCTGTAATCCCAGCACTTCGGGAGGCCGAGGCTGGCAGATCACGAGGTCAGGAGATCGAGACCATCCTGGCTAACACGGTGAAACCCCACCTCTACTAAAAAAATACAAAAAATTAGTCGAGCGTGGTGACACACGCCTGTAGTCCCAGCTACTCGGGAGGCTGAGGCAGGAGAATCGCTCGAAGCTGAGAGGCAGAGGTTGCAGTGAGCCAAGATTGTGCCACTGCACTCCAGCCTGGGTGACACAGTGAGACTCCATCTCAAAAAATTTTTTAAAAATGTGGCAAATTAATGAGAGGAAAATTTAAAAAGTTAACCCCACAAACCAAGAAATCTATTTATGATTATGTTTGTTGTAAGAGACAGAGTCTTGCTCTATTGTCCAGGCTAGTCTCAAAGTCCTGACCTCAAGCAATCCTCCCGACTCAGCCTCCTGAGTAGTGGGGATTATAGGCGTTACAGGCATGAGCCAATGCCCCCAGCAAGAAGTCTGTATGTTCTTATCATACGTGCGACTAAACAAAATTATACTTAAGAAACTGACAAATCATGGTAATATTTTAAATATCATGACTACACTGAAACCCTGCCAGAGGTATTTTTAAAATGTCAAGGATTTTTTTGATTTTTTTTTTTTGAGACAGAGTCTCCCTCTGTTGCCCAGGCTGGAGTGCAGCAGTGAGATCTTGGCTCACTGCAACCTCTACCTCCCGGGTTCAAGCAATTCTCCTGCCTCGGCCTCCCGAGTAGCTGGGATGGCAGGCACGTGCCGCCACACCCGGCTAACTTTTGTATTTTTAGTAGAGACGGGGTTTCACCATGTTGGTCAGGCTGGTCTCGCACTCCTGACCTTGTGATCCGCCCACCTCGGCATTCCCAAGTGCTGAGAATACAGGCGTGAGCCACCGCGCCCGGCCAAAATGTCAAGGATTTTTACGCTGATGTGCTTAATGTGTCCAATCTGCAATTCTAGTGGTAATCAGTGACATACCCATAAATCAGAGAGTACTTCTATGAAAATAATCACAGCCTACAAATACGGATAAAACTCCTCAGCTTTACCTCTTAGATGGTTCTAGACAGTTTCAGAATTCGTGCCTCTTTCTTCAACTCTCTCATTAATTTTATTACCCTTGGCAGTAAAATAATCTTACCAATTGCTCTCCCTATGAAATTGTGAATGAAAATTCCCATTTCTCTTTGCTAGGTCTTGTTAGCTGCCATCTCTGGGAAGGAGAAAGTGTTTTTATAGATAGGCATGGCAAGGACAAATAATGGAGTTGAAATGCAAGGGTGGATGGCAAATAAATTGCATCTTGTGAACTACCTCCAACTAACTTCTGCCTGGAGCACTGTGTTTAAAAGGATTCCTAGGCCACATCTGGAGGGATCCGGGAAAAAAAAAAACAAAAGAGATGTAACGAAGGTAAGCGGAGAACCAGTAAAGTGTAGTGCTACAGTAGCCTAGGGTTTCAAGGAAAGGAGATTATAATATCCAGTCAGGCAGAGCAGCAGTCAAACAACATGAAGAAAAATGTCCACGAGACTTGGCATGTAGGAGATCACTGATGTGCCTATTGACAAGTTCAGTAGCGTTGTGAGGGAAAAGTCAATGGGCTAAAGCGGAAATGAGTGCTGACACAGAGACAGCAGGTGTAAACCAGAGACAGAGCCAGTGTACCGGATGGCTGAAGTCAAATACTTACGTAGCAAATGGGGATAGAGACACGTGTCCGATGGATGTATTGGCCTTCTCAGGACAAATATTCCATCCCCTGAAAACCACAGGAAAGGGGTAAAGAAGGATACTCCTATAGGTCAATTTACAGAAGAGAGCAAAACCTTAAAATTGTCAACGAAGTAGGAGCTAAGAACCTCTGTATCAGGTGAAGAGACAGGAAGGTCAAGACGGGGAAGGAGAAGATTTGCTAAAGATGTTGAAGAGAATGAGAGAACTAAACAGGGCTGGGCAAGCAAAGGCATCAGGCAAGGCTGAGTACTCAGATGAGGTTGAAATTATGGAATAGTTACATTAAAACAGGGTTAATCTGTATGACTAGGTGCTTTTTCTTTAGCCTTCAGATACAGAAGTAGAACAACAGACTGTGGATTGGGCTGGCATTTTGCCAGGATACACCAGGAAGACGGGCACAGGAAAGGCCCAATGTTGGGAGTATTTCCATTAATCTCCTATGAGATCCAGGCTGGCTAGGGTAGCAAGGCAGGTTATAAGAAGAAAAATACAGACAAACTCGTGAGACTGCAGAGGCTTGGAAGGAGAAAATGTGTTGGGTGACAGTGAGATGCAGAAGATTTCTAAGGTGATACACCTGTAGAGGAGAAGGTGGAGGTCCCAGCCCAGGGAAAAGGTGGCTAATCTGCCCCTGGTGATGACCACTGGCATTAAAGGAATCCAGAAGAGACGAGGCTTTTTCTGTTTGTGGAAGTTATCTCCTTGTCCAAGTTTCTCTTCACCACTGAAAACCTCTGAAAGTTGTCAACTTCATTAAGGTAGATTCAGAAGACCTGTTTGATTCAAAATGACAAAATGCTTCTAGAGAAAAAGCACATATGTCTGGTCAGATAATGCGTGTATGACTTCGGACAAATCATAGCATTTCAGTGTTTGAGGTAATCTAGTCTGTCTGTCCTCTTTATTCCTTAACTCTCCATCTGTACAGACAGAAACAATGTAATCAGCCACATAACTTGTATAAAATAAATATGAAGAGAGAACCAATTATGAAGGTAGAAGTTCTTGGGGTGAGGGGAGGAATTTTAAAATACAAAATTAACTAGCTACTTCTTCAAGAAGAAAAATATCAGGGAGTACTGAAAGAGAACAATTGCAGAAAGGAAGAGAAATTAACGTGAACAGCAACCAAAAACCTTCTAAGAATGTATCAACAGTCCAGTGGAAAACAAATACCCACCCTGATGACACCTTGATCTTGGACCCACGGCCTCCAGTACTGTGAGACAGTAACATTCTGTTGCTGAAGGTGCCCAGTCTGTGGTACTGTAAAACAGCCCTAGGAAACTAACACAGCCTGTTAGCCCACAGATGGTGGAGAGAAGGAATGCTCAGTGGAGCTCCAGGCTTACTGTCTACAGCTCCCAAAGTGTGCTACAGGACCCCTGGATGGGTGTAGGTATGCAAGATAATTTTGGGTGGTGCAGGGTGAATAATTTCAAATGACATAAAAATGTGTTTCTCTTACTGGGTAAATCAGGGGTCCCCACCTGTTAGGAACCAGACAACACAGCAGGAGGTGAGCAGCCAGCCAGGGAGCAAAGCTTCATCTGTAGAAACAGCCGCTCCCCATCCCTCGCATTACCGCATGAGCTCTGCCACCTGTCAGATGAGTGGTGCCGTTCCATTCTCATAGAACCCAACTGGGAACTGAGCATGCCAGAGATCTAGATTGCGTGCTCCTTATGAGAACATAATGCCTGATGATCTCTGACTGTCTCCCATCACCCCCAAGTGGGACCACGTAATTACAGGAAAACAAGCTCAGGGCTCCCACTGATTCTATGTTATGGTGAGTTGTGTAATTATTTCATTATATATTACAGTGAAATAATCACAGAAATAAAGCACACAATAAATGTAATGGGCTCGAATCATCTCTGCACCATCCCTTCCCCTTCTCCCAGGTCCGTGGAAGAGTTGTCTTCAAGAAAACTGCTCTCTGGTGCCAAAACGTTTGGGGACCGCTGGTGTAAATGTTTCTAAGAATAGTTAAGCAACTTAAGCTTCACATGCTACGAAGAATACAGCTTTAAATGCTAATAAAAATAGGTGCAAATGAAAACATTCTTTCTGTGGTCCAGGGAATCTTAACCATTCTATCAGAAAGACTTGCAGCTTGGAGCTGCAGCTGCCCTCCCACATCCTGTCCGCTGTAAAGCCCTGCAACACACACATACAGGCGCACACACACACACGCACACATGCACATACATGCACATGCATATACTTGCACACACACATGCACACACACATGCACACAGATGCACATACATAAATACATTCACATGTATATACCTGCACACACACACATGCACACACATACACATGCATATTCCTGCAAACACACACACACACACACACACACACACACACACACACACACGCTGTGCTTCATGCCCTCACTAGGGTGGCCTGGGAGGAAATGCGTGTTTTTAGGAGAAATGAAGACAACTCAGGCCCCTCATTCTCCTGGTGTTTGCACAAGTGCCTTCTCTGCAGACCATGCTTCAGCCTCTTTCTTGGTTCTCCCTCTTACTGAAAGAGAGAAGCAGAGGCCCGGCACATACTCGGCTGCTTAGGGCTCAAGCCAAGTTCGCAAGCTTCCTGGGGAGCCTAGTGAGATGAAGGCACTGCAGAGCCTCCCCAAAAGAGTCGTCGGCTTTTCGTGGATCCTTGAGCCCAGGAAGGCGATAGGTGAGACATCACAGTTCATCAGAAGACACGAGCAAACTCCGGCGAGAAAGGGCAACGGTCAAAGATTTTATTCTCTCGGAAAAGGGTTCTCGGGCTGTAAGCAGCAGGCAGAAGACTTTATTGCACGCGTAGTTAGGTGATGGCGACCTACGGTTTTCACTGGGGACTGGGATCGAGAGTGATCCGACCTCCTACTCATGCTCGTCTCTCCCTGTCTCTCTCTTTGCCTTTTGTGTCTCTCTGCCTGTCTCTCTCGCTCCTTTTCCTCTCAGCCTCCTCTGTCTCTCTCCTTATCTCTCATCCTCTCTCTCTCTATCTCACTCCCTTCTCCCCATCTCTCTTTCTCTCTCCTTCTTTTCCACTTCTCTCACCCTCCTCATCTCTCTGCCTGCCACTGTTCAGGCTCCTGGGGCCCCACGTGGATGGGCGGACACAGGACTCCTAGGCTACCTTTCATAGCGCAAGCAGAGGGCTGCAGGACCTTGGTCCCCACCTCCCAGCATCCTCAAAATGAGGGGTGTGGGGTATGCCCTGCTCTCCTGAGTGGGCGCCCCACACTCCAGGAAGCAGAAACTGCAGGTCACAGCTGGCTCGAGTGGTGCCCACGGGGCTGCCAGCTTCCATCGTGTGATCTGCTGAGGCCAAAGCAGAGGACAGCAGCCCAGGCCCATCTCTGCAGCAGGGTGGGGGTAGGGGTGGGCTTGGGGGTGGGGATGGGGATGGGAGCCGCCAATGCAAACTGGCCCCTGGCTGGTTTCCTACCCTGCACCCTGCCATGCAAGTCCTACCCCTACCCCTACCCCTGTCTGCCCCACCTCCACCCCTAGGCTGCCCCACACCCAGGCTCCAGAAGTCTCCCAGGATCCAGGAACTAAGGGCAGCCTCTGGGTTCCATAGCCCCTAGTCCATGAGTCAGCCACCCCTCTGCGTGCTGACAAACCTTGGCTCTCATGCCCCACCCCAAGCCAAGCACACAGCCCTGTCCCCCCACCAGCATTATCACCGCCTCCTGATTTTGGCCCTGACAGCCCTGCTTCCTGGTAACCTTGCCCCCTCCCACCCTGCTCCAGGCAAGCCCAAAGGCCAGGCCCTCCACCCACCCTTCCTGGGGGCCACTCTACTATCTCCTTGCCCAGATGTCTTAACCTGGCTTTACCAAGATAGAATAAATAACAGGGATGAGGCCCCGGACCCCGCCAGGAAGATGTGCCAAAATACCCTCCATTTAGAAGCGGGAACAGTGATGGGGCCTATGGATGACCCCAGGATTGTCACCCAAGCAGCAAGAAGGGCAAGGAGCCCAGTTTCCTGCCCTTACCTGGGGAGGACGTGGCCAGGGCTCCAAAAGGCCCTGGAGAGGGGTGGGCAGGAGAGCAGATCCACCCTCCTCTTGAGGAAGCAGCCACCATCCCCAGGAAGAGCAGATGGGGGCACACAGGCAGAGTCCCCACGTGCTGTAGAGCAGGGCCAGCAGAACTGTACTCAGCCCCAGCCCCAGGGGAGCTGCAAGATAGACTGAGACCCTCACAGGTTGGGCTCTGTGTCCCCACCCAAATCTCATCTGGAATTGTAATCCTCCTGTGTCAAGGGAGGAACCTGGTGGGAGGGGATGGGATCTGGGGACAGGTTCCCCCCTGCTGCTCCCCTGATAGTGCGGGAGTTCTCAGGAGAGCTGATGGTTTGAAAGTGTGGCACTTCCTGCTTCTCCGCTCACTCCCTCCTGCCGCCTTGTGGAGAAGGTGCCTGCTTCCCCTTCGCCTTCTGCCATGACTGTAAGTTCCCTGAACTGGGAGTCGATTAAACCTCTTTCCTTTATAAATTACCTAGGCTCAAGTATTTCTTTATAGCAGTGTGAAAACAAACTAATACCCCTTCCCTGAGGCGCCTTCTCCTTAGGCAACCCGCTGCTCCCATGCTCCTCCTCTGCCCCCTGTTCTTTCTTTTCCCCTCATGAGGCCCAAGTGATAAACGGGGCCAGCCCCAGTGCCAGCCCCAGCCCCAGCCCCATCCTACTGCAGGCCTGTGTGGCTGCTGGAGAGGCCGTGTTCCTTTCCTCTCCCCGAGCCTGCCTGATATGCTTTCTGGATCCTGGAGGAAACTGACCCCCTATTCTCATACTGGTGCAACATCTTCCAAGACCTCAAAGCTGTACCATTTGAGCCAGTCTTTTTTCTTATCTCCACTTGCTAGGGCTGTCATTGGGACAGTCCTAGAGGGTGGTGCCAATGGATGAATGGATGGATGGACAGTAGTCCAGGGATGATGTCCCTGTCTGTCCTGAACCGGGCCCTTCCTCCAATGAGAAGCCTTCCTGAGTGAGTATATACAGTCATCCCTTGGTATCCATGGAGGATTAGTTCTAGGGTCCCCGGGAATGCCAAAATCCATGGATGCTCAAGTCTCTGATATAACGTGGCCTAGTATTTACGTATAAGCTATGCGCATCCTCCCGTATACGTTAGACCGTTACTAGATTATTTATGATGTGTAATACAATGCAGATGCTACATAAATGGTCGTGATACTGTATTCTTTAGGGAATGATGACAAGAACAAAGTCTGCACATGTTCAATAGAAACATAACCGTCCAATTTATTTTCTGAATATTTTCCATCTGCTGTTGCTGAATCTACAGATGCAGAGCTCCTGGATACGAGAGCCAAGTGTGCTTTGAGAGTAGGGTGGGTGAGGTTGCTAATGAGTACAGGGGAGCAGGTGTTGATCAGGAGGACCCTGCACTGGGGCATCTGGACGTCCTGCCTCAGGACTTGAGACTCCAGTTGGATGGCACAGGTAGACTCAGCCCAGGTCAAAGCCGTCCCCTTGAAGTTTCTTTTTATCCCAAGCTCTTTCTGGACCCTGGAATTCGGCATCCCCTAGGCCCTGCGTGGAAGGACAGATGAACCAGGTTTTAGATAACGTGTCTAGAAGAGTGAGCCCCTACTGTGTGCCCGGCACTTTCCCCACAGGATCCTCTAGCTAGAATATCCAAGGGTCATGGAGAGAAATACCCAGTTAAAATATCAGAAATGAAAAAGTGATACCATTAGAGACACTAAAAAGACCATTAGGTAATAGTATTAGCTTTTGTATTCTGAGATCCAATAGCAGCAGTCACTTCCCTCCACCGCTATGTGTATCCCAGGACCACCCTGGGCGGGGAGGGCTGGGGTTAGGGAGCAGCCATGGATGCTCTGATGCTGGCCCTGGGCCTCGGGGGTGACAGTGATGAGGAACTGGGTGCACACATGAGTGGGGCAGCCGGGCCTGGCCAGAGAAGCAGCACACACGTGCACAGACGTGTTTACCCACATACACATGTGCACGCACGTGCACAAACACATTGCAGGCAGGCATGTTGACGCCTCAGGCAGCGGAGGACCCTGACTCTGGGCGCTGCTGACCCGGGCAAGGCCCCACTGTGATTCGTGCCATGACCTCAGAATGTCACTGGTGCTTAGCACCTGTCTGCTCTCTGGCCTGCCTCAGTGGTCTACAGCAGTTACACACAGGCAGTGGTATCTGTGAGCAGCTCTGTGGACTCAAAGGTTTTCTCCCTGAGAGGCATGACCCAGGCCAGCTGATTCATCAGAATCAGGTGAGCGTGACCTGCTCTCTTCCCTCCAGGCGGACTTGGGGGCAGTGGCTACGGTGCGGGCGGTGTTGGCCTCTGTGGGGCAGCTACCGAGGAGGGTCATCCCTGAGCACTCACCAGGCGCCCGTTCTACACTGCCCGTGTAGACGATTGGCTCTTTCGTCTCCATGGTGGCTTCGTAGAGTGGGTGCTGTTCCCAAATGTCCCCATTCGACAGATGAGACGTCTGGGGTCAGAGAGGCAGTAACCGGCCTGGGAATCCGGACATGACCCTGAGTTTTGCTCTCAGCCCTGCCGTGTGCTGTGCTGGAATTCAGGCCTGAACCCTGTGACCTCCCTGCCCTAGATCCCAAATCTGCCCAGGTTTCCCATCCCGATGGGGCAGAGCCTGGTCCTGGCAGAGCCACTGGTATAGAGCCACTGGTACAGATCCACTGACGGTCCTCAGAACACCTCTGTGCCCTAAGCTGGGTCCTGATGGTCGCTGTGGGCCCCACTGAACACACATGGTCCCTTGTCCGGGGGAGCCTGCTGCCCTTGGGCAGCTGTGGAAAATGAAGGAGCCCTGGAGGGCTGGCTGAGGGGAGACTATCTTCCCTTGTGTTCAAAGGGGTCCGGGCACTAGGGTTCTCCCCAGGTATTTCTTGCTCTGCGTGGTCCTCTTGAGGCCTCGCCCTCCTTTTGCCTCGAGTATTCCCAGGAGGGACGGTCCATCCAGCTGTTCTCCAGGACCAAGGACCCACTGTTCTTCCTCAGTGACCCAGGAAAATGAAGCCTCCTCCTGTTGGGACGGCTCAGAATGGTGGACTCCACAGTCCCTCCGCGAGAGACGTGGTTTCCATGCGTACAATAGATCTTCCTCATCCCCCAAACCCAACACCCTCCTGCTCAACAGGCGTTATTCCTAAAGTGGCTTCACTGTTCAGACTGAAGAGCCACGGTAGCCAAAGTGATGAGCGGAGTAGAACCGAGCAGTCGGGAGAGATCTTGTTCCCTGTAGGAAACTGGGCATCGCTGAGGCCCTGAGCATCCCAGGAGGCCGATTGCACAGAGACCTCTGGTCGCTGACCCCAGTCTGCCTCCACATCCCTGGAATAGCCCATCATGGGCCCTTCACCCTTGGCAGGTGGAAACCATTCAACCTGCTGGGGCCGGTGTGTCCCCATTTCATGGCATTGGGGGACAACAGGATTCTCTGTCTAGGTCCCACTGTACTCAAGTCCTTGGGAAGATGCCCACCCCTGCTTGGGACTTGAGACTCCAGAGACTGGAGCAGCTGTGGGCCACTGGGTCTGGCCCCTTTTTCCCTGGGGGCGGCGGTGGAATGGGGGTTACGCAGCCAGCCAGCATCTGGGAGCCCGGCGAGAGCGGTTCAGGTGTTCTCCGAAGCCGCCGCGTACAGTGTGACCTTTAGACAATTCTGTCTCACAGGATGGACGTGGTAGAGGTCGCGGGCAGTTGGTGGGCACAAGAGCGAGAGGACATCATTATGAAATACGAAAAGGTACAAGTCGGTCTGCTTCTTGGAGGGAGGCCTCTTCCAGTGTGCCCTGGTCAAAGGGTCCTGGGCTCCCTAGGAGCACAGGGCAGGGACGGGTGGCCAATGCCCCCAGGCCCTTGCACCCTTTACCTTGGACCCCTCACCAAGGCTCCCTCTGGGCTACAGGGACACCGAGCTGGGCTGCCAGAGGACAAGGGGCCTAAGCCTTTTCGAAGCTACAACAACAACGTCGATCATTTGGGGATTGTACAGTGAGTCCTCTGCACTCCCCTCACCCCTAAAGCACCTGTCTCAGCTCAGGGATGGGTTTGCTTTTAGAAAGGCCTTTCTGACGCAGGACATGTCTCACCAGGTCGGGTCAACCTCCTTTCCAGGGACAGAACTCCTCCCTGACTCCCCTGCAGGTCCAGCCCGAGGTTGTTAGGCCAGAGGTGTGGGGCCCATCTAGGGAGCCGGTGGGAATGGAGACTGGGCTAGGTCAGGCCCCTGGGCGCTCAGCAGTTCTGTCGGCAAGTGAGCACAAGAGGAGCGGGGCAGCCTGAGGGTCTGGCCCTGTCTACTTGGAGACAAACCCGGTGAGATGCAAGGGTTATGGCCACAGGGTGAGGGGACGCCTGGCCCAGCCTCAGGGCTGTTGTCCAGCAGGTCTCTGAGGGCCCACCTGCCCCTGTTCTCCCCCATTCCCCTAGAGCTACAGCCCTCACTGTCCCGTGAGGGGAAAAGGCATGGTGACAATGGGGGCTGTAGCCCTAGGAGAACGGGGGGAAGATGGGCAGGGCCCCGTTCTGGGCATCTCACGGTGAGGCCAGGGAGGCAGCAGGGCTCGCGGCTAAAGACCTGGGTCTGGTGCTGGGAAGGGATCTGGGGCCGGGTAAGAGGAGCCCAGCCAGGAGCCCATCCCTCAGGGATCACAGGATGGAGAGACAGAGGATCCCTGGGGAGGTAGGGCGGGAGGGAGCTGATGAGCCGTGCCACTTCTGAAACGCAGGGTGTGTGGCTCGGGTGCAGGGAGAGGCAGGTGGATGCTGGGAGGTCAGAATCTGCAAGGGCCTTGGGGCTGTCAAGTGGGGTGGGCCCCTGGTGCAGCCAGAGTACACCGGGCAGGTCTCAGGGCAGGCTCCCTTGACCCTGGCGGGGGGATGTGGTCACTCCCTGAGGGACTCCTGTCAGGGCCCGGTCGCCCACCCTGGGCGGCCCCCATCCCATCTCAGGGCTAACCTTTCTCAGCTCCAGCAGAAAGCACCACCTCGAGTCCAGGACGGGCAGCCCCATTGGGCAGCCTGACCGCCCCCCACGCCAGGGGCCCCAGTAACCCCGGCCAGGCTGTCCCTACACTCCTTCTTCTCCCAGGTCCTGCCCCTCCTGGGAATCAGCCCCACAGGAAGGCCCTTGTCCTCCCTTCCCTGTGCCTTCTCCTGGGCTGAGCCCTGAGCTGGAAAGGGACAGAGCCAGTCCTTTCTGGGGGTCGGCACCCAGGCTGGGGCCGCTCCAGGCCCCGTGCAGTTCCTCAGCTCTGCCTGGGTTGCCTTACAGTGAGACGGAGCTGCCTCCTCTGACTGCGCGGGAGGCGAAGGTAAGAGCCTGATGCGTGGAGGGGCTGGTCCAGGGACGTAGGGACTGGGCGGGTGGTCAGTGAGGCAGAGGAAGCAGCTGGCCTGAGCGGTGGCGGGTGAGGGCAACACGCTGTCACTGGGAGGGGCAGCAGTCCCTGCTGGACCTGACCCCAGGTTGCTGTTCACTTTGGCAGTTTGATAAAATTCCAAAAGGAGAACCACAGTCCTGGCTTGGGGGTGGCTGCGCGCTTGTGTCAGGACCCCACCTAGAGGCTGGGACCTAAGACTGGTGTGTCTGTGGCCTGAGGATGGTACATCCCGGGGTCCCAAAGCCAGCCCACTGGTGCTCATTTGCTCAAAGGCTCTCAGCCCTTGAGGTCTGCCCTTCCCTGGCTCCTTCCAGCTGGCTCCCACCAGGGCTCCAGAGCCCAAGACCCAGCATCCGCGGGCGGCTCTGGGAAGCCTGGCAGCTCCGCTAACTCCAACATGCCTCATTTGACAGCAAATTCGGCGGGAGATCAGCCGAAAGAGCAAGTGGGTGGATATGCTGGGAGACTGGGAGAAATACAAAAGCAGCAGAAAGGTAACGTGTGGAGGGAGGAAGCACTCTCTGCAGAGACAGGGGACAGGCACCCATGGCTGTGGCCTGGCACCATCAGCCTCTCAGAGGGTGGGCGGCACACTGTCCTCGCCCAGAGGACTGCAGGCCTGGTCGCCAGATTTCCTGCCTATTCGTGCAAGCGTCACCTTGCAGGGAGGGAATCTGAATCTAGGGCTGGGACTACCCGGAGCTCAAGGCTAGGGATGCCCTGGGGACCTGAAGGAAGGAAAAGGTTCAGATCAGAGTTTCGACTCTGAGTGTCCATCCACTCTTTCAGTCCTGGGAAGGGAGACCCTGTCCCAGCTTGATCTCACCTCTACTGAGGAATCATGGGGCCAAAACCGACAATTTCCAGAATCCCCGGGCTCTGGTCCTCACTGGGGTCACCCCGTGGCCTGTGACACCAGATCGTTTTCTGCCCACAGCTCATAGATCGAGCGTACAAGGGAATGCCCATGAACATCCGGGGCCCGATGTGGTCAGTCCTCCTGAACACTGAGGAAATGAAGTTGAAAAACCCCGGAAGATACCAGGTACGCTCAGCCAGAGCACAACAAACAGGACAGGCCGTGTCGGGGCCCAGGTCTCCAGCTGGAGGGAACGTCAAGACCACCCTGGGGAGCTGGGGGTGAAGGTCAGATGAACACCCTGGGCACAGATGGTGACACAGTCACCACAGACAAACTCAGCTCTGGTGACCCTCCCTGGCTTCAGTAACAAGCCAAAATGCAGCTTTCTGCAGAAGGAAACCTTCCTTCTGTCCTTCCTTCCCGAAGTGCTGACTGTGGGCTGACTGCCACTGGGGGCAGGGAGTCTTCCATCTGTTCTGAGACTGCTTCCTCCTCTTGGCCCTGCCCTACAGATCATGAAGGAGAAGGGCAAGAGGTCATCTGAGCACATCCAGCGCATCGACCGGGACATAAGCGGGACATTAAGGAAGCATATGTTCTTCAGGGATCGATACGGAACCAAGTAAGCCTACGGGAGCCACAGGGTCCCAGCAGAGATGGGGTGAATGAGAGGGATGGGGGCTTCCCCGGAGCAGAAGCCAGGGTCACCCAGGAGGGATGACACAGCTGCCAAGAGCTCTCCCGGCCCAGGGAGCAGCCGGCACCATGAACCGAGCACCTCCCTGGTTCCAAGCCCTGGGCCAGACTGGAACATGTGGGGCCAGAACCCAGGAGGATCCTGAGGAGATGGAAGGCAGCAAACAAAATCATGCACAATGGTGAAGGGTGCTCTCCCTGACCCATGGGGACCCATGGTAGGACCCACGGGAGGGTGGCAGGATAGAGGGCCCATGAGCCCCCCCCAGGCAACAGTGACAGCACCAAATGCTGGGAGAATTAGGGGTCCTGGAAACTCTCATCCAGGTCCGCTGGGAACATGACATGGCACAGCCACGTTGGCAGCCAGTTGGGCAGTGGCTCACAAAGCTCGATGGACTTGAACCACACATCCCCAAAGTGTCACAGATATTGAACCCACTGATTTGCAAACTGACATCCACATGAAACCAGCATGCCAGGTTCACTGCTTGACTCCTCGTCACTCACACACGGAGCCTTCGGGGACGGCCTTCAACACGGGGATGGGGAGAGCAAGGCTGGTCCTCCCTTCAAACGGAAGACCCAGTGAGAAAAGGGAACGAGCCGGTGATGCCCGCACGAACGTGGGTGGATCCTAGATGCATTTTGCTGAGGGACAGAAGCCAGACCCAATAAGCTACCACAGTAGGATTCCCATTCCTAGGCCATTCTGGAAAAGGCCAAACCACAGGGACTGAGAAGCAGTCTGGGTGGCCAGGGGCTGACGGATCGGGGAGAGGCTGGTTGCATAGGGGCCACCCTGGAGACTTGGAGGATGAAGGAGTCGCCCCAGGAGGGGCTGGAGCGGTGGCCGGGAGACTCTGCACATCGGTTTGGAACCGTGGAGGAACTGTACACCCACAGACTGAACTGGCGTGTGTGCAAACTGAAAAAAAAAATCATTCAGAGTGAAAAGGATCAGGCAAGTCACTGTACAACTGGGCTATTTGCATGTCACAGATGTGGATTTTACTGAAACATTTCTTCAAGAGTCTCAGGCCCTGAAGAGCTCACTGCTTATCTGGTGAAACATCTGAACCTGAAATGGGATTTGCTGTTAGGCTTTGTAGACAAAGTGAAATTAACAACATCTGCACAAAACAAACCAAAGCCCCCTTTCTCTGTTTCCTAGGCAGCGGGAACTACTCCACATCCTCCTGGCATATGAGGAGTATAACCCGGTGAGTATTCCCGGCAGTGAGGTTCCCGGGCCATATTTCCATATTGACAGGAGTGGGTGTCTGGTGGGGGTGTCGTTGCTTCTTTTAAAGTTAGTATTTGTGACCCACCAGGATATAGGAGGTAGGATGTCAGCTCACCGCTGGCATAAACCTCCAAGGAAGGGGGTGGTCTCAAGGGGTCAAGCTGAGACACAAAGGAGTCAGGGCCCGGACTCCTGGTGTCACCTGGGCCTGACCACCACTTCTCAGAACAAGAAATGACGCCCTCCTCCTGGGGCTGCCCCAAAGCCCAGGAGCTTGGCAGCATCGCACACAGGATGGTGCTATCAGCAGACATTTTGGACAAGGTGCTGAAGTGCCTGATGGACTTGGCTCTTGTCATGAAATGAATGTGCATCCTGAGGAAGCCTCTTTTTCAGAGGAAGCCTCTCCTTCAGAGGAAGCCTCTCCAGTCACCTCTGCCCTCTCCAATGACATGAGTCCTCCCAGGTGACCTCAGCCCTCCCAGGTGATGTCCTTCCATGGTGACTCTGGCTCTTGCAGGAGGTGGGCTACTGCAGGGACCTGAGCCACATCGCCGCCTTGTTCCTCCTCTATCTTCCTGAGGAGGATGCATTCTGGGCACTGGTGCAGCTGCTGGCCAGTGAGAGGCACTCCCTGCAGGGTAAGTGAACAGCTGCCCCGGGGACCTCCTGCAGCCAGACCTGGGGATGGCCACCCTGGCCAGGTGATCACAGCTTTCAGCCAAGGCACCCTCCTTGTGTCGCCAGCTTGTTGGGAGACTTTAGAATGTCTCTGCTGAGGGTCCCACAGGAGTCCACGGCTGACCCCCAAAGCCCAAATCAGACGCCTCTCATCCCCATCAGCAGAGGGCATCTCATCCTCCCCGTGGCCACCCTCTGTGTCCTGGAGCCACGCCCTCCGGCTCTGATTCTGTGCAGCTGACTCTCCCCTCCCTGAGAGTCCTCCTGCCCTCCAGCTGCCCGGGCTCCTGCTGCCATCGGTGCCCACGAATGGGCCGACCAAGCCCAGGTGGCAGCATCTCCCCATCCCCTGTTCCCTGGCCCGACCCCACTACCAGGAGATGACCGGGAAGCCCAGCGCCCACCCAGTTCCGGCCACCCTGTCGTGGCCTGAAAGTCAGGCTTGCCCTTTTTGCACCCTGGCCCAGGAGGCCTCCAGGGGAACCTCCAGCCAGGCTCCAGGGAATGTTCCCGCCCCACCTCCCCAGGGTAAAGGCCGCATGTTGGGGTCACCAGATGGGAGGGTGGGAGGCCTTGGGGTTTGGGGGCCTCTCCAGCTGCCCAGCTCTTGCAGCTGATGGCTCCACATCTTGGGGGAAGGCTCTGATTTCATGATGGGCTGGGGGCTTCTCAGGATTTCACAGCCCAAATGGCGGGACCGTCCAGGGGCTCCAAGACCAACAGGAGCATGTGGTAGCCACGTCACAACCCAAGACCATGGGGCATCAGGTGAGTTTATGGTCCCCTCAGCTCTTCCCAGAGGCCCTGCCTCCCGTGGGGCTGTAGGAGCAGGGGGGCTGGAGCCCCTCGTGGGGCTGGTGACTGGCTGAGTCCCAGCCAGGGCCTGACCTGGGACGTCGGGTTCTCCATGGGCTGGGAGTTGGTTTCCTTTCCTGCCCTGGAGGAGACAGAGGCACAGGGATGGGGGCCCAGCTCCCACAGAGCAGGGCAAAGGGCAGTGTGTCCACCGGGAGTGTGGGAAGGTGACAGTGTTGTGGGGAGCTCTGGACACCGCCCAGTGTTCTGCACTAGGGGAAGGGTCTTCAGAGGCCCTGGAAGAGGGAGGTTTTTAGGGCAGCCCAGTGGCCTGAGCACCTCTGTTGCTTCCATCAGGACAAGAAAGATCTATGTGGGCAGTGTTCCCCGTTAGGCTGCCTCATCCGGATATTGATTGACGGGGTAAGGAGGCATAGGGAGACCCTGGCTCAGGGACCTTCCTTGCCCTGCAGTGCCCTGCTTCCCCAGCCCGGGGGTCTGGCTCACTCCCAGCCCACAGGAGGCTCAGGCGGGTCCCCAAAGGACACACAAGCAAAACCCTCTGCCCAAGGGGGGTCATCCCAGGGCCATGGCTGGGGCTCAGGCCCAGCCTCATGGGCAGACTGGGCCAGGACCCGACTTGAGAGGGCTCAGGGAAGCCTCAAGCCCTGGGCAAGCCCCTCTCTCCAGGAGCCACATCCCCACTCAAATGAGTGCCCCCCATGAGGAGCTTCAAGACCTTGTCTGACCCAGCGTCCTGGAGGGCTCAGGCGACCCTCATGGGGAAGGTCACTGACTCTGGAGACTGAAGCCCCAGTGTGCGCAGCTCGAGCCACCAGCCCCAGCCTGGAAGGACCAGGTTCTTTCACACCTGCTGTCCCCACAGATCTCTCTCGGGCTCACCCTGCGCCTGTGGGACGTGTATCTGGTAGAAGGCGAACAGGCGTTGATGCCGATAACAAGAATCGCCTTTAAGGTTCAGCAGAGTAAGTCTACGTGTGCCCAGCGGGGCCTGGGGAGCCCTGGGGTCAGACCCCGACTGGCCCGAGGGCAGCTTCCTCACACTGTCCTCATGATCCTCTGTTCTGGCCCAGAGGGAGGTCTGGCCAGGTGGGCTGGGCAGGACACTGTGACACCGAGCCCATCCCCCACATGACCCAGATGAAAGTCGAGAGTGTGGTGAGCACTTCCCTGTCCGGATCGCCCCCCAGCCACAGTCTCCTGTGTATATCTGGACACCTGGGGTGGCCACAAAAGGATCCGGCACCGCCCAGTAGGAGACTGAAGTGGCCACGGGATATGAGCTGTGACCATTCCCAGGTAACTCCCCTGGCCTGATATCCACCCTGTCCCTAGAGCGCCTCACGAAGACGTCCAGGTGTGGCCCGTGGGCACGTTTTTGCAACCGGTTCGTTGATACCTGGGCCAGGGATGAGGACACTGTGCTCAAGCATCTTAGGGCCTCTATGAAGAAACTAACAAGAAAGCAGGGGGACCTGCCACCCCCAGGTGGGCTCCAGTGCCATGTCCCCTCCCATGTCACCCTCTGGGGTAGTCAGTAGTAGGGGAGTGCCCGGGACCCGCAACCCTACTACCTGGGCCTTCCTCTTCACCTTTTCTTCCTCCTCTTCCTCCTGGACTCTAAGAAAGTACAGGAGGCCCACCGGTCCTCAGGGCAGGCGCTCAGTGCGTGTATACTGGACATGCTGTGCACGCAGGAGGGGGATGTGGGCAAGACCCTCCAACAAGCCCCCTCCCACTTTCCACGGTGTCTCCCTCTCCCCCTCGCAGGGCCCTCCAAGTTACTAGACGAGCCCAGACCCATTTGTGGGAGACCCCGCCCCTCCCTGCAAGCACCCACAGCCTCAGAGAGCAGCAGAGGCCCCTCACTCCTGCACGCTCCTCCAAGGTTGCCAGGACAAGAAGCCTGGAGCCAGGGAGACAAGGGAATCCGTGTCTCTGACCCACAGAGCATTCAGGGAGAGGGCACAGGCGGGACCCCGGGCCCAGAGCCAGAGCCAAGAGTTCAGCCAGAAGTGGGAACGGTCAGTCCTGGCATGGACTGGGCAGCCCAGGAGGGCAGAGGGTGACCCACGTCCGGGCCCAATCACCCACTGCGGAGACGGGTCCCCACGTGAGGTGACAAGGGGCTGGGTGACATCCAAGGCCCCTCCCACCTGAGTTCTGACTGGGGGCCGTATCCCAGGCCCAACAGCCCTGGGACGAAGGTGTGTGGCAGGAAGCCCCCAGCCAGTCTGAACCCTGGGGGCAGTCCCAGGAGCCACCCGCCATGCCACGACAGCTTCCCCACGCCAGGCAGCATGCACCCCTCCCTCTGGGATCAGCAGACTACAGGCGTGTCCTCGGTGTCAGGCCACGGGGGCCACACAGAGACCCCGAGGACTCCAGAGACGCAGGCAGGTGGGGCCCAGCCCGGAAAGGCCTGCGTGGGCTCACTGGAGATGCTGACCGCGTCTGTTTTCCTTTCAGCCAAACCCGAGCAAGGGTCGTCGGCATCCAGGCCTGTGCCGGCTTCACGTGGCGGGAAGACCCTCTGCAAGGGGGACAGGCAGGCCCCTCCAGGCCCACCAGCCCGGTTCCCGCGGCCCATTTGGTCAGCTTCCCCGCCACGGGCACCTCGTTCTTCCACACCCTGTCCTGGTGGGGCTGTCCGGGAAGACACCTACCCTGTGGGCACTCAGGGTGTGCCCAGCCCGGCCCTGGCTCAGGGAGGACCTCAGGGTTCCTGGAGATTCCTGCAGTGGAACTCCATGCCCCGCCTCCCAACGGACCTGGACGTAGAGGGCCCTTGGTTCCGCCATTATGATTTCAGACAGAGCTGCTGGGTCCGTGCCATATCCCAGGAGGACCAGCTGGCCCCCTGCTGGCAGGCTGAACACCCTGCGGAGCGGGTGAGATCGGCTTTCGCTGCACCCAGCACTGATTCCGACCAGGGCACCCCCTTCAGAGCTAGGGACGAACAGCAGTGTGCTCCCACCTCAGGGCCTTGCCTCTGCGGCCTCCACTTGGAAAGTTCTCAGTTCCCTCCAGGCTTCTAGAAGCATCTGGGCCAGGGCTCATGGCTGGATAATTTCCCTAGGCTTAACAACCCAAGCAAGCTTCGCATCCTCGTTTTATTTTTGGTTAAACTTATGAAAATGTATTAAGAAAGAGTGCAGCTCGAGAGAGATTCAGAGATGGAACACACCAGACCCCAGATCACAAAGCCAACCATGCCCAGCCCCTCCCAGCACCCCCAGCCCCACGACCATCGTTCTGAATTCTGACGACACCGTGAGCCTGCCTTTGTACTTCAAACTCATGGAAGGATAACCACCTTCATGTTTTGAAATAAATGTTTCCTGTTGAAATGATTTTAGATTTTAGACAGAAATATTGAAAAGGCACTATAGTATCCTCCTATACCTTCCATCCAGCTGCCCCTAATAATGATGTTTTGCAGTCCCATGGCACATAAGAAATTTAGGCCGGGTGTGGTGGCTCACACCTGTAATCCCAGCAATTTGAGAGGTCGAGGCGGGAGGTTCAGGTTCACTTGAGTCTAGAAGTCTGAGACCAGCCTGGGAAACCTAGGTGGACCCGGTCTCTAGAGAAAAGTCAAAGAAATTAGCCAGGCATGGTGGCGTGTGCCTATAGTCCCACCTAGTCAGGAGGCTGAGGCAGGAGGATTGCTGGAGCCCACGAGTTCCAGGAAGCAGTGAGCCATGATTGCACCACTGCACTCCAGCCTGGGTGACAGAGTGAGACTTTATCTCTTAAAAAAATTTAAGAAATTTAATGTGGGTACAGTTCTATTAACTAAATAATAATGTGAACTATTATCTAAGGTTATGAAGGCTAGAATTATCCCATTTTTGCCTAACTTCTCGTACCTGTCCCAAGATCCCACCTTGGACTCACCCTCTGCCTTCAGCTCACGTCTCTTCAGCTTCCTCCACATGGTCCAGCAAACACACACCTGGGCTGAATGGTAGAGCTGATTGCTCATACACAAAGGTAGACCGGTGGGCAGGGATTTTCAGACTTACACAGTCAATGAGTTTTCCTTGGTGTTCTGGAGAGCACCGTTTGAGAAACACTTTGACAGTGAATCTAGGCCTCAAGATCCATCAGCTGCTCTAGCTTGAATTTTGCTCAAGCTCAGTGAACACCTGCTCTGCCGGGTGCACGTGAAAGGGGCAAGGATGAGAAAGCTGTAGATAAAGAAGACAGGACGCAGGGGGTCTGTCTAAGCTCTATCCCCTGCCTTCAGCACTGAGGGATGAAATCCAACTCTTAGGGAACGGTGGCCACGTGCTGGGCCAGCCCCAGGCTCTCAGGATCTGACAGTGGGTGACGCAGAGCCAGGCCTTGCCCCTGGGGAGCTCTCCAGCATACACCTCCCTCTCCCCTCCCAGCGTGCCGCAAAGCAGGCGTCAACGCCATTGTTAATGCACGGAGGAGGAACCTGACTGTTAGACCTGGGTTTTCCAGGGTTGCACGGCTTCTGGGAGACGGATGTGACCCTGAGGACAGGGCACAGGCCAGTGTAATGCCAGGATGGAATGAGCTGTGATCTGTGCTGTATAGAGGCCTAGGCCAAGGTGGGACTGACGGATGACCAGGTCAGCCGGGTCACTGAAAACACTCTTGGGTCCTCACCTGCCGGTTCCCAGGAGTCCGGAACTGCCAGGAGAGTGGTGGCAGGTCCCCCATCCTCAGCTGGGTGGGCCTGGATAGAACAGCAAGGTGAGGGCACATTTCCCTGGCCATTCCCTCCAGGCACAGCTGTGACCTGTTCATTCCAAATTTGTGGAAGTATTTCCACACACACAGAACTGCAAATAGCAGTGGATGTGGTGAGAGGCGTTTGCACATGGGATAGGCAGGATTTTGGAGGCAGAGCCTCCAGGGCTTGCCGATGGGTTAGCTGCAGGGCTTGAGAGGGAACGGAGAATCCAGGATGATGTGTTCAAATCGGTCCATTCACCTCTTCCGTTCCACGCCTGTGCTGGGCACTGGGAGAGACAGATGCACACAGGAGCCCCGGACGAGGGGAGGTGTGGGGGGAAGCCCAGAGTGTCTGGGCAGGGTAGGAAACCCAGAGCGTCTACTGGGAGCTGAAGGCTTAGGTCCACCTGGGTGCCGTCCAGGTTCTCTGCATGTAGAAGTATAGGCTGAGCTTCCCGGAGGAGGAGCAGCTGCTGTTGCTGGTGACCAGCACATTCAGGAACGGAGACTACTCTGTCAACAGACAGGGGGATGACCTGAGGTCTGGATGGTCTAGGGGGTGGTAGGGCCCAGGAGGACCCAGGAAAGGGTCTCGGGGATGCAGAACATCCTATGGAGGGCATTTGGGAGTCAGTGCTCAGGTCACTCCGGGTCACTCAGGTCATTTGCCGGCCCCTGTCATAATTATTGCCATATGAGAGTGCCACCCGTCCTATGACATATTTTATATATTTCTGTGAATGGCCTACTTGTTTGTATTTATGAATTTATGTTTAAAGGATGGGCAGGGGTGCTCGAGAGGTCCCCAGGAGTTTCCCTCTGGGGAGAGAGGGGCCCACCCCTTCCCAGCAGCCCTCTGAGCCCCCCGATCGCTTGGCCACAGCCTCTGCCTGGAGAAAGCATCCCCCTCGGAGATATATGGACATCAGAAGAAACCTTTCTCTGTCACCAGGACAAATCCTGTTCTTATTTGAACCAAGGCCAGTTTTCCTAATGAATGCAGGGAGGACAGCACAGATCAATGAAACCAGCAGATAATCCACAAGACTGTTTCCCAGAGCTGGGAGATTTCCTTCCCTGCCAACACTTTTCCTGAAAGGTCTTAAGAATGAGGCAAACAGTTTAAGTCTCTCTTGCACTGTTCTTTTAGTGAAAGAGTTCAATGAGGAAGGAGAGGAAGTGGAGCATATGCTTAGTTTCCAAGCTGGAAAAGTGGCCCATGGTTAACCAAGACTAGATGTAAAAGCACAGGTGGCCGCGGGTCCAGGTGAGTCGGTCCTACGATGGCACGGCTGCTAATGCCAGCAGATGCTCCTGTCCTCTCCTTTCAAGACTGACTTCTTCTGGTCTTTCATTCGTTAAAATAAAATTGACAGGGCATCATCCAAGAAGCTCTACACTTTCCCTTACTTGGATTTCAGACTCTAGATTCTGCTGAGATTTGAGCTTCATGGTGAACACATTCTTGTTGTGCTTGCTGCTGAGGGGTGTGGAGGACAGAGAGATGGTGAAATGGCAAAGTGGCTCTTGAGCATGGGTGGGGGAAGCCCCCACATATCTGAGTCAGTGCCACCTGGACACTACCCTTGGAGCATCCTGCTGAGGTGGCCATTCAGGTTTTCTTTCCTTTCCTTTTATTCCACTGTTTCTGAATCACAAATAAAGATCCAAGGCAAACAGCACATTCAGATCCCCAAGCTCTCCACCTCCAATGTGACCAGGGACGTGCACCACTTCAGGCTCATGCAGGACCCACAGCCTTTGGACCTCAGCTAAGGGACCTGCTTCTCTTCAGCACACGGGGCTTGTTTGTGTTGGGGTCTGAGCCCTGAGCGCATGGTCAAGGAGACCCCCAGGTCTTTCTGAACAGAGACAGCTGGCCTGGCGGCCTCCCTCTCACTGCATGCAAGAGTCTGTTAGGGCGGCTGTCTTGCTTCTGTGTGTTGGGAAATTCAATTTAGGTACCTAAAAATGAAAAGTCCCAGGACATCTCCATGGCTTGGGATCCACAGGAGAGCATCATTGATGCTGGGGACAATTTAAACATATAGAAACCCACAGGGCTACCTTAGACAGGGCACAGGGCACAGCACCCGGGGATGCAGAGTGGAAAGTTCACCACTACAGCCTGGAATTGCCTCTGTGATGCCTTCTTCATGACACTTGGCTGCCTTCGTGGCTGGAAGGCTGAGGCCCAGATCCCAACATGGCCACAGGCTAGCAGCTTGCTTCACCTTCCTGAACTGCAATTTCTCCATCTGAGCCTCTCTCCTAAGAGGAGTGTGCAGGGTCACTTAGCCCATATGGGCCAGAAACCCCACACGGTGCCAGGCACACAGTAGGGCCTCGGCAGATGCTGCCCCCTTCTGTCTCCACCACCCTCCTGGGGCTCCCTCCTGAAACAGCCTCCCTCAGCGCCTTGAGTCTTGCACCCTAACAGCCTCTTGCACGCAGTGAGAGGGAGGCCCCCAGGCCAGCTGTCTCTGTTCAGAAAGACCTGGGGGTCTCCTTGACCATGGGCTCAGGGCTCAGACCCCAACACAAACAAGCCCCGTGTGCTGAAGAGAAGCAAGTCCTTTAGCTGAGGTCCAAAGGCTGTGAGTCCTGCATGAGCCTGAAGTGGTGCAGGTGCCTGGTCACACTGGAGGTGTAGAGCTTGGGGATCTGAATGTGCTGTTTGCCTCGGACATGAAACATCTCACAGACTGCCTGGAAGAAGGTGGAGCAGACTGGGGTTAATGGTCAGCAGCAGCAGCATCCCCACCACTGGGGCTATCCCTTTTTAGGCCCTTACCGTGGGCCAAACACTGAGCCGTGTGCTTCGTGTAACTTCTAAGCACGCTTACCTGATAGGGTGACAGCAAAGACTCGAAGAGGTGCCTGGGCTTGGCACATAGTAGCTATTGCTACTATTATGAATGTTGTTTTGTCTTTGTTTTTGTTTTGAGACAGGGCCTCACTCTGTTGCCCAGGTTGGAGTACAGCAGTGCCATCATAGCTCACTGAAGCCTCAACCTCCCTGGGTTTGAGCAATCCTCCCACCTCAGCCTCCCAAGTAGCTGAGACTACAGGTGTGCGCCACCAAGCCCAGCCAATTGTTTGTATTTTCAGTAGAGACTGGTTTTGCCAAGTCGCCCAGGCTGGTTTCGAACTCTGGGGTTCAAGCAATCTGCCCACCTCAGCCTCCCAAAGTGCTGGCATTACAGGCGTGTGCCACTGCGCCCAGCCATTATGAATGTCAATATTGACATGATCTTGTATCCTTATGCCCACACTGGGAGAGGTCTGATTGTCCCCATGTTCCTGGTGTGGAACCACATGGAAGAGGCCTATGTTATCCCAACAGTGCAGAAGCACAGCCTGAGTCTCTTCTTTGGCTGAGCCAAGGGCGTGCTGGAGAGGCCTGACAGAAGAAGGAGCGGCCCTTGTGACCAGTGCCCTTTTGGTTCACAAGGAACTTCTCCTCTTGTTGAAGTGACTTGGCTGAGCTTGCTACTTCTGCTTTGAGAGTCAAATATCAGGATCAAGACTTTAATTATCCCCAATTTACAGATGATGAAACCATATTGGGCAGGAAAGAAAGTCACCCCAGGAGAGCAAGTTGGACCTGAGCACTGGCTGAGGACAAAGGAGAATGATAATTTGGGATGTAACTTGTTAAGGGGTCTCACAAGTGTTCTTGTGATCCAGGTGTCGAGAGGATACAGCAGAAAGGTTGCCAGGGAGATGAGGGTAGGGTGCACCACAAGAGTGGGAGAAATTAAAGAGAACACGCAACAAAGCCTTGGGACACTGGGAGGGGGATGGACCACCCAGTTTTGTGCTATGGGAGAAGACAGCAAGAAAAGGAATCTGTGTTAAATCCCGACAGCCTGCATGAGAAGCAAATGCCCTTCATTTTCTTCATCAGCGGCGAGACTGGCATCCCTGCAGCTTTGGGAGACCATGCTAGTGTAGATGCCAGCTCACGCCAGCGGGCCTGACTGGGAGACCTTGGGCTGGGGTTCTGGTCTGGGGCTCCTAGGCCTGATGGGAGGAGAGTTCAGCCCCAGGTTTCCTGTACTTCAGCTCATATCCACACAATGGTAATTATTGAAATGAGAGACTCAAAAGAAGATGGAACGTGAACTTTTTTGTTGTCCCATGTGGACACCTGTGTTCGGTTTCCAGTTCTACCTTTGCTGTCTGTGTGTTCTTAAGTAACTCACTTAAACCTTTCTGAGTCTCATTTTCTTCATTTATAAAATAAAAGACGTAACATTTATGTCAGATATTGTCCTGAGGATTAAATGGGAGAATGAACAAGCCTCTTCTGCATTCCCCTGGCATCCAGTGGGTGGAGGCCAGAGAAGCTGCTAAACATCCTGCCAGGTGCAGGACAGCCCCCATCACAAAGAATTGACCGGATCCTGATGTCAGTAAGGCAGAATTGAGGATCCTTGGTGTGGGGGAAAAAGAATAAACTCAGAAGCTTGGCAGATCTCAGTTCAAACCCTGGTTGTATCACCTCTAGCTGAGTGACCTTAGGCAGGTCTGTGAACTCTCTGAGACTCGGCCTCCTCATCGGTAGAATGAGGTAGATAAAAATGCCAAGCTCGGCCGGGCGCGGTGGCTCACGCCTGTAATCCCAGCACTTTGGGAGGCCGAGGCGGGTGGATCATGAGGTCAGGAGATCGAGACCATCCTGGCTAACAAGGTGAAACCCCGTCTCTACTAAAAATACAAAAAATTAGCCGGGCGCGGTGGCGGGCGCCTGTGGTCCCAGCTACTCGGGAGGCTGAGGCAGGAGAATGGCGTGAACCCGGGAAGCGGAGCTTGCAGTGAGCCGAGATTGCGCCACTGCAGTCCGCAGTCTGGCCTGGGCGACAGAGCGAGACTCTGTCTCAAAAAAAAAAAAAAAAAAAAAAAATGCCAAGCTCACCCAGAAATAACCCCGTGCATATATGGTCAACAGATCTTTGACAAGGCCATCAAGGATATACAATGTAGATTCTTTTATTCCTTTACTTTCTTAATAGACTTGCTTTCACTGTACTGTAAAAAAAAAAAAAGGCACAATGTAGAAAGGAAACTCTCTTCAATGAATGGTGTTGGGGAAAGTGCATGAAAAAGAATGAAATTGCACACTTGTTTTACATCATATACAGAAAATTAGCTCAAAGTGGATTAAAGATTTAAATGTAATATCTGAAACCATGTAAATCCTGGAAGTAAACATAGGGAAAAATCTCCTCGACATTGGTCATAATTGGCAATATTTTTTTTGATGTAACACCAAAGCACAGGCAACAAAAGTGAAAATAAATAAATGGGACTACATCAATCTTAAAAGGTTTTACACAGCAAAGGAAACCATGACAAAATGAAAAGGCAACCTACGGGATGGAAGAAAATATTTGCGACCCATATATTTGATAAGGGGTTATTTGAAAAAATATAAGGAATTCACACAATTCAATAGCAAAAATTAATAAATACATGAATAACGCAATTAAAAATAGGCAAAGGACCCCAATGGACTTTTTTCCCCAAGGAAGATATACAAATGGCCAGCCAGCATATGAGAAGGTGCTCAACACCACTAATCATCAGAGAAATGCAAATCAAAACCACAGTGAGATATTGCCTCATAGGATAGGACGGCTCTTATAAAAAAACGACAAGAGATAACAAGTGTTGGCGAAAGCATAGAGGAAAGAGAACCCTTGTACACTGTTGGTTGGAATGTAAAGTGGTATAACCTTTACAGAAAACAGTATGGAGGTTCCTCAAAAAATTAGAAGCAGAACTACCATACGATTCAGCAATCAGGTTAGAACCTTGAAGAGAGATCTGCGCCCCATGTTTATTACAACACTATTCACAATACCCAAGATATGGAAACAGCCTAAGTGTCCAGCAACAGATGAATGGATAAATAAAATACATATAAACAATGGACTATTAGCCATTCAAAAGAAGAAACTCCTGTCCTGGATAAACCTGGAGGACATTACGCTAAGTGAAATAAGCCAGACACAGAAAGACAAGTTTTGTATGATCTCACTTATATGTGGGATCTAAGAGAGTCAAACTCATAAAAACAGATAGTAGAATGGTGGTTGCCAAGGGCTGGAGGTGGGGAAAATGGGAAGCTATTAATCAAAGGGTGTAAACTTTCAGTTATAAGATGAACAAATTCTGGAGATTTAATGTACAGCATAGGTGGTAATGGATGTAATAAATTTGATTGTGATAATTAGTACACAATATATACATATATGAAATCATCACATTGTATGCATTAAATATACACAATCCTTGTCAACTCAATATTTTTAAAAAAATTTTTAAAATGCCTAGGTCATAAGAATTCTGAGAATGAAATACAACAACATACATGAATGGACCTGCTACACAGAAGGTGCTAAATAGGTTTGTTTTGTTTTATTTTATTTCAACTCTGGCAGATGTAGACCTATTGGGAAAGAATATAGAATGCACTTGTGCACAAGGATTATCTATACGATGGTTAAATATCCTGCATACATGCCATGTCATTTCTACTCCTCAGTCAATGGATAATAAAAGCAGAACCAGCCTTCTGGTGGTCACAAAACATTTTGACATGAGAAAGGCTGATCATGAGCAATCTGGCAATGTACATCCCAGAGCGTGCATGCCCTTTGACCCACAGCTACCATGATGTCATGTCTAGCAATTAGTCCTAAGGAGATGATCAGAGATGTGTAAAGAGATTTCATTCTAACAGCATCCTCTGTAGTGGTATATGTCAGGGGCTGGTAAGCCATGTCCAGAGGAGCAGGCTGCATCTAGTCCACCACCTGTTTTTATAAAGTTTATCAGAACACAGTCATGCCCATTCATTTACAAATTGTGTATGGCTTCTTTCCCTGCAACAGCAGAGTTGAGTGTTGCAACAGAAACCTATGGCCTGCAGAGTTTAAAATATCTACCCTTTGGCCTTTTATAAAAAAAGTTTACTGATTCCTGGTGAGTATATTAAAAAGTTAGCAAAACCTAAATCTTCCAGAGTGGAGAATTAGAAAGTAAGACGTGTTGTATATAAGACAGACAGTTTGTGTGTGCGTTTATTTATAAATATATTATTCTGAAATAATGTTGTCGACATATGTTGCAGGTCTTAAAAATTGGTCAATATATAGTGTTAATCAAAAAATGGCAAATTGTAAAATGTAGACAGAATGTGATTGTGTATTTTGTGCATACACCAACAGAAAAGGGTGCTAGGAAACCTGTGGACCAACATACTAAGTGTGGCTCTTTTGATGGTGGTATCATGGATTTTTAAAAATCTTCTTGGTTTTCTGTAGATTCTGACTTTCCTGTCATGAGTATGAATAAGTATGTATTTCTTGAGAAATGTGAAAATAACTTTATCTTCCCAGATTTCTCATAATTGAAAATGTTGGAATAAATGGTCCTGGGACAGATCTTTCCATTGAGAAGGGCAGAAGGGAAACCCTGGGGATTCAGCTGGGTTTCTGTTGCATTTCTGGTAACACACAGTTGTGAAAAGCCAGTGTTGGCCGTTCCCCAGGACAGTCTGGGGTAGAGGAGGTCAGGATTTAACTACTTGAGGGTCCGGGGAACAGATGTGGCCACAGTCCTTCCTGACTCACTGTTTTCCCTTCCACAGTCCCCGTCTTCTCTTCACTGATGCACATAGATGCCTGACCAGAGGAGAGATTTAGTTTTCGTCCAAGGATTATCTGTTATGTTGCAGTTCTGAAATTCCCATAACGTTTAGGCTAGAACACAAGTGATTTCATTATCTCCAATGTGTATGGCTTGATAGAAATAGATTCCATTATGTAGCACCTTAAATCCAGATAAAACATAAGGAATTTCTATTCCATGTTTGTATGATCAATGTTAATAATCTAAGAAAATCTAAAAAGAAGCTACTTCCTATATTACAGTATGAAATAAATATGCTGAATGATTTGTTTTGGGGGGTGGAATGGAAAGGTATAAGACTGAGGAGGGTGCCTGTGGGAACAGTGATAGGAATCCTTTCTTAAGGGTTGGGTTTTACATACGTCTTTTAAAATAGATGATATCATTAATAAATTATCTGTGGGCATCATGAAAAAAGTGTATAACGTACAACTTTATGAGCTTGACAGTTGGTGAAAACTTTTCTGTTTAAAATTTTATTTGGCCCTCCCCAAAAGAAATGTTTATTTATGAGTATTAGGATAGTTCCAGCAGTAATGCCTCAAAAGAACCAGGAGGTATAGTGTTGTCTAAAATGTGGACTCAGGAGCCAGACTGCCTGGCTGTGCAACTAGCCTTGTCACTTCCTAGATATGTGGCAAGTTAATTAACTTCTCAGTGTTCTTATCTGTAGAATGGGGATAATCCTAATATACATCTCAGGGTTATATTACAAATTAAAAAAGTTAATTTTGTAAAGGACTTAGAATGATATCTGGCAAATAAAAGTGTTCATAAAAGTAAACCCTATAAAAGTGTTTACTCATTAAATACAATAATCTGAAACCATTAGTAATTTAAACATTTGTGGCTGACTTGGTAATATTTATGAAAATAAATACTGTATTTATAATCTTTGACCTTATTTGACTCCTAGGAATTTATTGTCCAGCAAACATTTTCACAGGCAGACAAAAATATTACTATAAAATCACGTTTATTACACCAATCTGTGCAAAAGGAAAAAATAGACAATTAAAATGGCCATCAAAAGGAGTATTGATTAAGTGAATGATAGTAAATCCATTCAATAGTAATCATATTATCCAAAAAGAATGAGGCATAGTCATGTGATGTGGGAAGATCCACGGCTAATGTTAAACGGTAAATGATACAAACTGTTATGCCCAATAAAATACTTTCTGTGAGAGAATATATGTTAATTTATGCGAGTGGCGCCAATGTGGAGGGTTTATGCTAATTTCATTATACCTCACAGACAGACCTGGGCTCTCCCACTCATTTTCTATGTGGCCTGGGGTAAGTCATTTATCTGCTGGAAGCCTCAGCTTCTTCATCTGTCAGGCAGTGATACCCTGACTACTCTGCAGGGTAACTCTGAGATTTCAACGTGATCATCTCAGAATATGCCTGGCAAACAGTAGGAGCTCAGAACTTGATGTTTTTTTCCTACAGCAACTGCTGTAGGGGATAGCAGCTAATGCAAGAGGTTGGTAAATCCTTATATATATCAAATATTGTAGAAACATAACTACATGCTACTATTTTTTCAAACCCTCCCCTCACCCTTTTTTTTCCCCTGAGACAGAGTCTCACTCTGCTGCCCAGGCTGGAGTGCAGTGGCGCCATCTCGGCTTGGCTCACTGCAACCTCTGACTCCCGGGTTCAAGCGATTCTTGTGCCTCAGTCTCCCAAGTAGCTGGGATTACAGGCATGTGCCACCATGCCCAGCTAATTTTTTTGGTATTTTTAATAGAGATGGGGTTTCTCCATGTTGGCCAGGCAGGTCTCCAGCTCCTGGCCTCAAGTGATCTGCCTGTCTCGGCCCCCCAAAATGCCGGGTCAAACCTCTTATATCCAGTAAAACAGCCTCACTGGGTCAATGGATATCATGTGGCTGCCTAACATTTTTACTTTATAAAAGGTCTTCCTGAGGCCATTTGAAAGTATGGATCAAAACACTTTATGAACAGGGCCACAGGTTTGCATGAGGTTTGTCAGTGGACCTCCAGGATGAAGAGACCAAAGTGACTGTGCAATTTCTAGTGGAATAATTTACACTTAAGATCTCATTTATTTATCAAAAGACCGCTGTGAGGTAGGAATTCTTAACCCCCATTTGCAGAAACAGACTTTGCCTGACACCACAGAGCTAGGAAAAAGTGGGCATAAGATCCTCATCAAGTCTGACTTCCAAAAGAAGATTCAAAAAGAAACCTCCTTGCTACCCGCCAAATCTCTGTAGAGCCAGCCATGTTCACACATGAAACAGGACAATGACAATAGCACCAGGAATAGCTACTCCTGGTCAGATGCCCTCATGAGGTCAACTCCGCGGGATGGGGACACCGGGCCCTGCTTAGGGGAAAGGAAGGGGGTTTGTAGAGGAAGCCCAGCCAGCCAAGCAACCAGAGATGGGAAAAACCTATTGGGAAGAACTTGCTTGCTCTAGCTGGGCTTTGCAAAGAACAGGAAAAGATGAGTCTGCACAGACAGAAATGGTCTAGAATGGCTGAATGTTTCATGTAGAAATTTTATTTTATGATTAATACACTCGTGCCATTTCTTGGAACCACTTGCTTGTTTAATTCTAGTCTATCAAGTGATAACTTTGTTGATATTTAGAGGCTCCTCAGTTAATTTCTGTGGGATTTTTGGTTATATTTAATAAGGAAAATAATATGAAATGTCTAAGAAAAAAAGAAACAAAGTCAATTATTCCTGAGAATGTTTAAATTTATTGAAGTACACTTGTTAATTGTTAGTATAGAACCTACATTTCATGATAGAAAACCTTGGACTTGCCAGTTGTAGCTGCTGGAATGAGGTGTTTGTCCAGTACATCCAGAACGTCGCCACAGATTAACTTTAGCTCAGTCTCAACCTGAAAAAATAAAAATAAATTAAAAAAATCAGATCGTTGAAGTCTAGAAATTCTGTAAATTATTACACATTCTATCTACCTCTGGTTTTGAGGAAGAGAGCTTAGTGTTACAGAGAATTCATTTCCCTCTCCAAACTCCCTTCCTCCCTTTTGACACAAAAGCAGAGAAAAGCTGCCTGTCGGTTATCAAAAGTATCTTTTCCTTCCTGCCTGCAATTAAGTGCTACACACACACCACCCCCCACCCCAATACCCCCTCACAGTCCAACTGCAGAATCACCAATGACTGAAACTAAACACTGATGCTACTTGGTAAATGCTGGTCAATTACATGAATCTTTCACAAAGTAGCAACTATTGTGTCCATTTACTGGGGAAAACAGAAGCTAAGACATTTGCTCAAAGGTCATCCCCTTAAAAGAACGTAATAAGCAGAGCTAGGATTTGAAACCAGGCAGGGTGCAAGGGACAGAACAAAATTCAAACCCAGGCAGTTTGCCTTCAGTACTTACATTCCTAACAAGGTTCAACAGGCAATGCCTTTAGTGGAAGAGACCAAAAACTAGTTAAGATACCAAAAATCTGTGGACCAAAGTAACAATTGCCACTCATTTATATTCATTTATAATGCTAAAAATGTGCACCACCTCTAAAGGCACATACCCAGTTTACGTCTTTTTTTTTTTTTTTTTTTTTTTTTTGAGAGGGAGTCTGGCTTTGTCACGCAGGCTGGAGTGCAGTGGCGTAATCTCAGCTCACTGCAACCTCCACCTCCCGGGTTCATGTCATTCTCCTGCCTCAGCCTCCGGAGGAGCTGGGACCACAGGTGCCTGCCACCACGCCCAGCTAATTTTTTGTATTTTTAGTAGAGACAGGGTTTCACCGTGTTAGCCAGGATGGTCTCGATCTCCTGACCTCGTGATCCGCCTGCCTCGGCCTCCCAAAGTGCTGGGATTACAGGCATGAGCCACCACGCCAGGCCTATTTTTTGTTTTTTTAGACAGAGTCTTCCCCTGTCACTCAGGCTGAAGTGCAGTGGCCCTATCTCAGCTCACTGCAGCCTCTGCCTTCCAGGTTCAAGCAGTTCTCATGCCTCAGGCCCCTGAGTAGCTGGGATTACAGGGGTGCGCCACTGTCTCGGGTTAATTTTTGTATTTTTAGTAGAGATGGGGTTTCACCATGTTGGCTAGGCTGGTCTTGAATTCCTGGCCTCAAGAGGTCCACCTACCTCGGCCTCCCAAACTGCTGGATTATAGATGTGGGCCACGCGTGGCCCAACTCTACTATTTCAATGCAGCTCCTGTACCCTAGGTCATCACTGACTTCCCAGTTGCTGAATCCAGTTGTCTTTACTGAGTTGGTCCTTAATTTAACTTACTTTTGCATTGAAGCTACTGACTGACCACAGCATTTTGAAACTCTGTTCCTCTTATTACTGTGATTCTACTTTCCTTATTTTTCATCTTATCTCTTAAGTCTGTGGCTTCTCAGACTTCCTCACAATTGATTGCTTATTTTAAAAATTCAAAAATTTAAACCTCCCGAGCAGTTCAAAAACAATATACCTTTGAAATTTTTTAAACTTTTCAGAGTTGCAAGAATAGTTCAGTGATCACCAGGTGTTACCATTTTGCCATATTTTCTTTGTCTCTGTGTCCCTCCCTTTCTACCTGCCCCCACATATATGTGTATCTATGAATATTGACATTTTTTAACATTAATAAATTTTCTTTCTGTACAATTTGAGAGTTAACTGCAGATTTCATAGCACTTCACCCCTAATTTCTTCTATACATCTCCTAAGAATAAGGGCATTTTTTTTTTTTTTTGAGAAGGAGTCTCACTCTGTCACCCAGGCTGGGGTGCAGTGGTGCAATCTTGGCTGACTGCAACCTCCACCTCCTGGGTTCAAGCGATTCTCCTGCCTCAGCCCCCCAAGTAGCTGGGATTACAGGTGCCTGCTACCATGCCTGCCTAAGTTTTGTAATTATAGTAGAGATGGGGTTTTGCCATGTTGGCCAGTCTGGTCTCAAACTCCTTACCTAAGGTGATCCGCCCTCCTTGGCCTCCCAAAGTGTTGGGATTACAGACGTGAGACTCCATTCTCAGCCTCTTTTTCCTTTTGTAATTAACAAGTGATCTATGGCATGATAGAAACAGTGTGAATATTCTGTCCCATAATAATCTTTACTTAATGGTTTCATCTGGATTGCTTCTTGCCCAAATCAAATATTACTATAGTGATTAGAAATTGGAGACTTTTCTATTTTTTCTGTATTTTTTCTATATTGTCATTCTTCTGTAAAGATTTTTTTAAACTCTTTTGTTTTTTTTTTTTTGAGACGAAGTCTCGCTTTGTCACCAGGCCGGAGTGCAGTGGTATGGTCTCAGCTCACTGCAACTTCTGCCTCCCAGGTTCAGGCGATCCTCCTGTCTCAGCCTCCAGAGTAGCTGGGACTACAGTCATTTGCCACTGTGTCCAGCTAATTTTTTGTATTTTTAGTAGAGATGGGGTCTCACCATGTTGGCCAGGATGGTCTTGATCTCTTGACCCCGTGATCCAGCCACCTCAGCCTCCCAAAGTGCTGGGATTACAGGCGTGAGCCACCGTGGCTGGCCCTATACTCCCTTTTTAAATTTTTTTTTTTTTTTTTTTGAGATGGAGGTTCACTCTGTTGCCCAGGCTGGAGTGCAATGATGTGGTCTTGGCTCACTGCAACCTCCGCCTCCCAGGTTCGAGCAATTCTTCTGCCTCAACCTCCTGAGTAGCTGGGATTACAGGTACATGCCACCACACTCGGTTGATTTTTGTATTTTTAGTAGGGATGGGGTTTCACTATGTTGGCCAGGCTGGTCTTCAACTCCTGACCTCATGATCTGCCCGCCTCAGCCTCCTAAAATGCTGAGATTGCAGGTGTGAGCCACTGCACCTGGCCCTTTTTTTTTTTTTTTTGAGACAGGGACTTCCTCTGTTGCCCAGACTTGAGTGCAGTGGTATGATCATGGCTCACCACAGCTTGGACACCAGGCTGCCTCAGCTCACTGCAACCTCTGCTTCCCGGGTTCCAGTGATTCTCGTGCCTCAGCCTCTGGAGTAACTGGGAGTACAGGTGCTCACCACCATACCTGGCTAATTCTTGTATTTTTAGTAAAGATGAGGTTTCACCATGTTGGCCAGGCTGGTCTCAAACTCCTGGCCGACATGGTGATCCACCTGCCTTGGCTTCCCAAAGTGCTTCATATTGTTAGCCCTAATTCTAGTCAAATTCCATAGCGTTCTTCCTCTTTATTTTTATTTTTTTATTTTTGAGACGGAGTCTTGATCTGTCCCCCAGGCTGGAGTGCAGTGGTGTGATCTCGGATCACTGCAGCCTCCACCTCCTGGGTTCAAGCAAATCTCTGCCTCTGCCTCCTGAGTGGCTGGGATTACAGACACCTGCCACCATGCCCAGCAAATTTTTGTATTTTTAGTAGACACAGGATTTCATCATCTTGGCCGGGCTGGTCTTGAACTCCTGACCTTGTGATCCACCCACCTCGGCCTCCCAAAGTGCTGGGATTACAGGCGTGAGCCACCGCGCCTGGCCTGTATTAGATATTTTTAAGTCAGTTTCCTAAGACAATTAAATATTTCAGGTAGTTGGGACTTTTCTTTTTTTGGTTTGTTTTATTTTGCTTAATTTAACCATTTTAAATATGATTCTCTGGGAATTTTTTCTTCAAAATATAGAATATGTGTGCATTAGTTTGCTAGGCTTGCTGCAACAAAGTACCACAAACTGGGTGGCTTAGACAACAGAAATTTATTATCTCATAGATCTGGAGACTAGAAGTTCTAGATCACGTTGTTAGAGTTGGTTTCTTCGACAACTGTGAGAAACCTTATGTTCCATGCCTCTCCCCTGGCTTCTGGTGGTTTGCTGGTCATCTTTGGCATACTTTGGCTTGTAGGTGCATCACCTGGATCTCTGCCTTCATGTTCACATGGTGTTCTACCTGTGTGCATATCTGTGGCAAAATTTCCCCTTTTTATAAGGATACCAGGCATATTGGATTAGGGTTCCTCTCTACTCCAGTAGGACCTCATCTTCACTAATTACATCTGCAATAACCCTTTCCAAATAAGGTCACATTCTGAGGAACTAGAGGTTAGAGTTTCAACATACGAAATTTTCTGGGGGGTGGGTAAGGGACACGATTCAATCCATAACAATATGTTTATGAGTAAATGAGTTAGTGTGTTATTGTCTTTCTGCCACCTCAGAATCTGAGAAAACACAGTTTCTTTTTCCATTCCTTGGGCTGTAGGTGGAGAAGGAGGAGGATGATGATGGTGATTATTTTTTGGTCATGCCCCATAATGTGACCCACTTTAAAAAACAACAAACAATTGTAAGGAGGAGAACTGTCATACACCTACTGCCCAGCTTAAAAATAATTAGATCATCTTCTTTAAACATAACTGTCATCCCATCATCACACCTAAGAAGTTGACAGTTTCCCCAGTTTTTTTTTTCTCTTTTTTTTTTGAGATAGGGTCTTTCTCTGTTGCCCAGGCTGGAGTGCAGCGGCATGATAGTGGCTCATGGCAGCCTCATCTTCCCAGGCTCAAGGGATCCTCCCATATAGCTGGGACCACAGGGGTGCATCACCACATCCAATTTTTTGAATTTTTCTAGAGATGAGGTCTCCCTGTGTTGCCCCACCTAATTTTTTTGTTGTTGTTGTTCCATTCTTTTTTTTTTTTTCTCCTGTTTGTAAGGATTTAATCAAGGTCTGTATGTAGTTTGGTTACTATGTCTCTTAGGTCTCTTTTCCTTTATAGATTCCCCTCGTGATTTACTGAAGAAACGGGGTCATTTGTCCTGTAGAATTCTCAAATTTTGATTTTGCTGATATTATCCCCAGAGTGTCATTGACCATGTTCATCTGTTCCCCAAATTTCCAAAAACTGGTAGTTAAATTTAGGTGGTTGATCTGATTCAGATTACACTCTCAGTATCGCATATGCTTTGATCAGGAGGCATAATGTGTACTTGTGTGTGCGTATGTGTGTTTTTTTAGTGATGTTAGTGGTCACTGCCTGTGTCAGCATTTCACTACCAGGGTAATTTGGCAATGTCTGGAGACACACTGATTGTCACAGCTTGGGAGAGGGAATGCTATAGGTACCTTCAGGGGTAAGAGTCAGCACAGCACAGCACAGCCCCCTAACGCAAAGTATTAATAGGCCTAAAATGTCAGTAGCCCTGAGGTTGAGAAACTCTGGCCTACTTTTGTAGTTTCATCAGGTGTTTGTGAAATGGTTTTATTCTAACTGTTATTTCTTCTTTCTTTGTTAGCTGGAATTCTTTCATAAAGAGAAACTCTTTGATCAGTTAGTTACCCAAGGTACAGTTCATACAGAAAAGGCAGGATGTATGTTTGATTCTTTCCTAGTTTTCAAAATAATGAATTAGTTCCCTAGCATCTTCCAAAATTGACCAATGAACTTTGTGTGTGTTTTTTTCTTTTTTAGTATATTATGAACTTACACGTTTTAACATATTTGTGTTTCCTTTCATCGCAGTTATTTTTATTTTATTTTTATTTATTCATTTATTGTTTTCAGGCAGGGTCTTAACTCTGTCACCCAAGCTGTAGTGCAGTGGTATAATCGCTGCCCACTGCAGGCTTGACGTCCTGACCTCCAGCAATCCTCCCACCTCACCCTCTTGAGTAGCTGGGACCACAGGTACACCATCATGCCCAGCTAATTTTTGTGTTTCTGGTAGAGACGGGGTTTTGCCGTGTTCACCAGGCTGGTCTTCAAATCCTGAGCTCAAAAGTAATCCACCTGCCTCTGCCTCCCAAAGTGTTGAGATGATAGGCGTGAGCCACCGCACCTAGCAGTTATTTTTATTGGTGCTCGTTTTTTCCCTTCGTTGAATGCTGGGTGCAGTGAATGCTGGGTGCATCTTCATGTTGGGTTCTGAGTCCTTTTGACATGAGCACATTGTCTGGTGTTGTACGAGAGAGCAAAATAAGGAAACTGGTGTTCTATGCTTATCTTGTACATTTTCCCCACACTTGGAATCAGCCATTCCTCCAGGGAGTGCAGGTTCACAGTCTGGGCTCTAAGAGAATTATAAGGTCAATGTGGTCATCATCTTTTAGTATTAAGTCAGATATTCTAAATTATTATTTACTTCTTACATTTGGCCCAAGAGTTTAACCAGATATTTTGGGAAAGAGAGAAGGAATTAAATAAATAAATCTCATGGTTAGAACTGAAGTGATAACTATACTTTCACAAGGAAATATAACTTATAACCCATGCGGAATAGAAAATTATTTTTGCTCCTTTAGATTTCTGAAGGAATGAAATGAGCTGTGGGAAGAAACTTTAACTGGAGCATCTTACCAGTATTATTCATGTTTTAACTCTGCTTCAGTAGTTTTTCAGGTTTATTACAAACCTGCAGTAGCCAACTGAATTAATTATCTCTAAACAGGGATTTAGCCAGTGGACTAGGCACACTGAAGCTTTGTGAGAGGGGAAATTGATATTCACATTTTTTCCAGCTTGTTTTGAGCTCGATATATTCTTTTTTTTTTTTTTTTTTCATTGAGACAGACTCTCGCACCGTCACCTGGGCTGGTGTGCAGTGGCACGATCTCTGCTTGCGGCAACCTCTGCCTCCCAGGTTCAAGCAATTCTCCTGCCTCAGCCTCCCGAGTAGCTAGGATTACAGGCGCCCGCCACCACGCCCGGCTGATGTTTTGTATTTTTAGTAGAGACGGGGTTTCGCTTTATTGGCCAGGCTGGTCTTGAACTCCTGACCTCATGATCTGCCTGCCTCAGCCTCCCAAAGTGCTGGGATTACAGGCCTGAGCCACCATGCCCAGCCAATATATTCACATTTTTAATAGGAATAACAGTATACTAAAATCTTTTTTAGTGCATGTTTAAGATTTGAAGATGTAATTTGACTCAGTACTTTCCACTTGCATTTTTTTCTTCCACTTGCATTTCTCCACTATTAGAATAGTGCCTGCTAAGACTATTCTAATACTTTATTATAGTTAACCCCTGCGAAAAGAGCTCCCAGAGCTTACAGTGCATTTGATTGATGTCATATGGACTATTCATTATTTTCTAAATTATTTTGTTTGTATAGAGCAATCTGAAGAGGATGTAAGTCAGTTTGATTCCAAGTTTACACGTCAGACACCTGTCGACAGCCCAGATGACACAACTCTCAGTGAAAGTGCCAATCAGGTGTTTTTGGTAAGTGAAAGAATTTCCATGTAGTCATGGGAAATTTTAAGTATGAGGATGGGCTCTTCGATAAGAAAATTCAGTTTGCTTGCTTTGCAGCTCATGTAGGTAACCTGGCCCACTTTTTTTTTTAAATAAGCCATGCTCTTATAAATTATTGATACCTACAAAATTGATTTTCATAATCCAACATTTTATTTTAGCAATTAGAGTGGGAATGTACAATTCTTTGGAGAGTATGATTCCCTTTTTTGGTTGGGCCACAGACTTAAAATGATGTTTGGCTTAGCATCTCAACCAAAAATTAAGTCATAGCAGTGGGAGAGAAAAACCTCACTAACTACATGTATTTTATTTCTGAAACAGCTATAGATTTTTGGTACCTTTTTTTTTTTTTTTTTTGAGACAGGGTCTCACCTTGTAGCCCAGGCTGGGTGTAGGGTGTAGTGGTGTGATCACAGTTCACTACAGCCTTGACCTCCCAGGCTCAAGTGATCCACCCATTTCAGCCTCGTGAGTACCTGGACTACAGGTGTGTGCCCCATCCAGCTAATTTTTTATTTTTTTGTAGAGACAGAGTCCCACTATTTTACTCCTGGACTCAAGCTATCTTCCCACCTCGGCTTCCCAAAGTGCCAAAATTATAGGCATGAGCCATCATTCCTGGCCCTATTTTTGGTACTCTTAACATAAGTAGGGGATTTTTTTTTTTTTTTTGAGACTGAGTCTCACTCTGTCATCAGGCTGGGGTGCAGTGGCGCGATCTCAGCTCACTGCAACCTCTGCCTCCTGGGTTCAAGTGATTCTCCTGCCTCAGCCTCCTGAGTAGCTGGGACTACAGGTGCCTGCCACCACGCCCAGTTAATTTTTGTATTTTTAGTAGAGACAGGGCTTCACCATGTTGGCCAGGATGGTCTTGATTTCTTGACCTCATGATCCACCCGCCTTGGCCTCCCAAAGTGCTGGGATTACAGGCATGAGCCACTGCGCCCGGCCAAGTAGGGGATTTTTTAAACCTAATTGTGAATATTTGACATCAAATTATATTGGTTCATATGTAATAGTGAATTCTTGTTGTAGAAATATCCGTATAGATTTATAGCTTGTCTCCTCAGAAAAGTAAAGGTTTTAGATGTTGGCCAACAGAAATGATGGATTTATATCAGATGACCATCAATGCATACATACTATTTTGCTTAAATACCATATATGCTTGTTGATTTTATTACTGTACTTATATGTCACATGAACATCTTTCTCATTTTGTATCCTTTTTTTTCTTTTGTCGTTCCTGTATGGAATACCTCTAGGGAGAATAGAATATGGGGAAAACAATTGTTTGGGAGTGTTTTTTTCCCTCTTTTTGAGTTCACTGGATTTGTCACTAACTTAATTCTATGCTTTTCTTCCCCACACTGCTCACTATATAACACAAGTAGTGTTGTATCTTATGGGATGGGAAATAAGCTCTAAAGTTAGCATGGAGCTGGGACATGGTGGCTCAGGCCTATAACCTTGAGGTCAGGAGTTCGAGACCAGCCTGGCCCACATGGTGAAACCCCATCTCTACCAAAAATACAAAAATTAGCCGGGTGTGGTGGCATGTACCTGTGGTACCAACTACTTGGGAGGCTGAGGTAGGAGAATGACTTGAACCCGAGAGGCAGAGGTTGCAGGAGCCAAGATCGTGCCACTGCACTCCAGCCTGGGCAATAGAGTGAGTGAGACTCTGTATAAAAAAAAAATAATTAAAAAAATAAAGTTAGCATGGAATGCAAAAGTTGTGTATAGTACAGTATGGTTTCAAGTAAACAACACTGAATAGTAATAATCCTATAAATTAGTAATATAGAGCACGTAGGCAAAATATAATCTTACAGTATTAATTACATAAGAGATAAAAGATGAGTGAGTGCATGCATGTTTTTAAATTCAAGTTTGATGTGTGCATGATCAAAGTTACGGCATCTCTGTTAGTAAAATCTTAGGTTCACTCAGGGAAGTGGGCATGAATCACTTTAATTTTGGCTTTTTTTTTCTCTTTCATGTACTACTGATGTGGAATTTATACCTTTGATTTAACATAGAGACCTTTTCATCAATTGAACATTGCAGAATTTCAACTTATGTGACAGTTTCCCCCCACAAAATAGAAGCATTTTATTTAGCTACCAAGAAATCCTAAGTTGTGGTGGTAAATGTGAGCTATTGACGCTTTCGTTGCCAGTTAAAAGTATTGTTGAGCTTTTCATAATTACTTAAATTGGCTATAACTGATGAACAGAGCAACTCATTTGTTAGGTTGTAGCCAGAATTCTGTACATAAAGTGGGTCTCTTGAAACATTAGTAAAAACAAAAATAGGCCAGGTGCAGTGGCTCATACCTGTAATCCCAGCACTTTGGGAGGCTGAAGTGGGTGGATCACAAGGTCAGGAGTTCTAGAACAGCCTGGCCAATATGGTGAAACCCCATCTCTACTAAAAATACAAATATTAGCCAAGTGCGGTGGCACACGCCTGTAATTCCATCTACTCGGGAGGCTGAGGCAGGAGAATCACTTGAAACCAGGAGGTGGCAGTTGCAGTGAGCCAAGATTGTGCCAGTGCATTCCAGCCTGGGCAACAGAGCAAGGCTCTATCTCAAAAAAAAAAAAAATTCCGCATACATAAGAAGAGAATATGCATTAAAAAAATCAGCAGAGCCTCACATTCCAGGATTTTCTACACAAGAAACCATTCCTAAAATATGTGCTTGGAATTACTAGGGTTTCTCTTGCAAACATTTTAATAACACCTCATTTGTTTTTTTTATTATAATATTTATTTAAGCAAAATTTCTTTTTTTTATTTTATTATTTTATTATTATTACACTTTAAGTTGTAGGGTACATGTGCACAATGTGCAGGTTAGTTACATATGTATACATGTGCCATGCTGGTGTGCTGCACCCATTAACTCGTCATTTAGCATTAGGTATATCTCCTAATGCTATCCCTCCCCCCTCCCCACACCCCGCAACAGTCCCCAGAGTGTGATGTTCCCCTTCCTGTGTCCATGTGTTCTCATTGTTCAATTCCCACCTATGAGTGAGAACATGCGGTAACACCTCATTCTTTAGGGGTGTGGTTATATGTGTCATGTTATTAGATCTTTACAGCAACTCTCCTGGGTAAAGCGGTTATTACTAGGTCATTTTATAGAAGGAAAAATAACCAGTACTTTTTTTTGCTTTACTTCAGTAGCTATTGCCTCCTTCAATTTGACATTTCAATCCTGGCACATAGTGGGGGCTCAACAAATATTTGCTGGAGGAATGCCATTTAAAATACAGTGATTGGATAGGAGAATATTTGAGGGCATTAACAATTTTTAAAAGCCAAAAAAAAATTACAATTGGACTTATGAGATTTTGATTTTTTTGTGTATTTTCTTTTAAAAAATAAGCTTCTCTAAGCTGGGCTTGGTGGCTCATGCCTGTAATCCCAGCACTTTGGGAGGCTGAGGCAGGTGGATCACCTGAGGTCAGGAGTTTGAGACCAGCCTGGCCAACATGGTGAAAACCCGTCTCTACTAAAAATACAAAAATTAGCTGGCCGTGGTGGCACACACCTGTAATCCCAGCTACTAGGGAGGCTGAGGCAGGAGAATCGCTTGAACCCGGGAGGCAGATGTTGCAGTGAGCCAAGATCACACCACTGTACTCCAGCCTGGGTGACAGAGCAAGACTCTGTCTCAAAAATAAATAAATAAAGTATATAAATAAATAAATAAGCTTCTGTTTTGGCTTCCTCCAATGTAGTCTCTTTGAGTAGGAAGAAATTGTTATGATTCAAACTAGTAAATTCTTTTTTTTTTTTTTTTTTGAGATGGAGTCTTGCTCTTATTGCCCAGGCTGGAGTGCAGTGGCGTGATCTTGGCTCACTGCAGCCGGCTCACTTGAACCGGGTTCAAGTGATTCTCCTGCCTCAGCCTCCCAAGTAGGTGGGATTACAGGTGCCTGCCATCACGCCTGGCTAATTTTTGTAGTTTTAGTACAGATGGGGTTTCACCATCTTGGCCAGGCTGGTCTTGAACTCCTGGTCTTGATCTGCTGACCTATATCCGCCCGCCTCGGCCTCCCAAAGTGCTGGGATTACAGGTGTGAGCCATTGCGCCCGGCCGACAGGTAAATTCTTATATCAAAAAACTGAGTTAGACTTGGTCCCTGGAGCTGTTTTCCATCCCTAAAAAGATGATGTCAAGCTATCATGTATAATAAATAACAACTCAATTGACCACATATTTTCCTTTAAGCCTAATGATGAAATAATATTATAATGAAATACTTAGAAGTTTTAAGGGAAAAAATCCTTTAAGTCATTAAATTAAAATTGAAACCAAAACAATAACTTCACTGTTTTAGGATAAAATTGGCATATGAAAGGTTTGATAGTGAACGACAGTAAGATTAACCTACTACAGCATTTGCCTTTAGCTTTTACTGAGTAATACTTGGAGCTATATATTTATAGCATTTGCTATAAATGTGCAAATGAAGACATTATTTATTGTATTACTGCTGAGATTAATATTGTCTTTTTCAGATTTCTAAAACATTACAGCAAATGCGCACATGAGGGCGCTCTAATCAGCTAGATGTGGAGAGGGTAGGCATTTGTTGACTGTTAAGTCAAAACTAGTTCTATACTTTTACAGATGGAAAAATCAAGGTCCACCAAAGAGGTTATGATTCTACACGAGTTATTCTCTAGAGGAAACAAATTGGGTATTAGAATTTTGAAAAGATTAAACAGAAATCCCTGTCAGTGAATTTATGCTGGAGAATTTTGACTTTTATCCTAGCAACTCCTTATTGAAAATCTTTACCCATGCCATGATATAATTTATCTTCAATCTTAAATGGGTTTGGTAATAGTGTTTATAAGATGTAGGAGAGTTAATTAGAATATTTATTTTTATGAACTTTTGCTTTATAAAATTAACAAATGTTAATTGTGCTTCATTTATACTTTTTTTTTTTTTTTTGAGACGGAGTCTTACTCTGTCACCCAGGCTGGAGTGCAGTGGCGTGATCTCAGCTCACTGCAACCTCTGCCTCCCAGGTTCAAGCGATTCTCCTGCCTCAGCCTCCCAAGTAGCTGGGACCACAGGCACGTGCCACCACGCCTGGCTAATTTTGGTACTTTTAGTAGAGACGGGGTTTCACCATGTTGGCCAGGGTGGTCTCGAACTCCTGACCTCAAGTGATCTGCCCGCCTTGGCCTCCCAAAGTGCTAGGATTACAGGTGTGAGCCACCAACACCTGGCCCATTTATACTTAAGGCTGATTCTCAACTGATTTGGGTAAGATCCTTAGTCTTTCCCCATCTCTGACGTAATTCCTAGTTTGTCCTTTGGCTTTCCTGTGTATATAAAGCTACCAGGCTGCTTGCAGATTTTTCGGGGAATAAGTCCCATAAACACTCACAAAGATTTTATTAGGGAGAAGCTATGATGCGAATATAGAATGTAGATTTTTTAAATTTCAAAATCAGTATGGGCCGGGCGCGGTGGCTCACGCCTGTAATCCCAGCACCTTGGGAGGTCGAGGCGGGCGGATCACGAGGTCAGCAGAGCGAGACCATCCTGGTTAACACGGTGAAACCCCGTCTCTACTAAAAATACAAAAAATTAGTGGGCGCAGTGGCAGGCGCCTGTAGTCCCAGCTACTCGGGAGGCTGAGGCAGGAGAATGGCGTGAACGCGGGAGGCGGAGCTTGCAGTGAGCGGAGATCGCGCCACTGCACTCCAGCCTGGGCGACAGAGCGAAGACTCCATCTCAAAAAAAAAAAATCAGTATGTAGAGCTGGGCATGGTGGTGTGTGCCTATTAGCCCAGCCACTGGGGAGGCTGAGGCAGGAGAAGCCCTTGAGCCCAAGAGTTCAAGACTAGCCTGGGCAACACAGCGAGACCCTCATCTCGAAAAATAAATAAATAAATAAATAAAGTATTGCAATATTTATTATATAGGCAAATTTTTTTCAACTTAAGTGCTACCCTCATCAGGGGAAGATTTGTTTGATTAGATCCCCACACAGGCTGGCCGCTTCCTCATTTCTACTTTTTCTTTTCTTTTTGAGATGGAGTTTTGCTCTTGTTGCCCAGGCTGGAGTGCAATGGCGCAATCTTGGCTCACTGCAACCTCCGCCTCCCGGGTTCAAGCGATTCTCCTGCCTCAGCCTCCCGAGTAGCTGGGATTACAGGCACCTGCCACCACACCCGGCTAATGTTTGTATTTTTAGTAGAGATGGGGTTTCACCATGTTGGCCAGATTGGTCTCAAACTCTTCAGTTCAAGCGATCTACCTGCCTCGGCCTCACAAAGTGCTGGAATTACAGGTGTGAGCCACTGCGCCCGGCCTCATTTCTACGTTTTCAAAGAAGTCAATTTTCTTTAAAAAATAAACTCTTTTGGCCACGCGGCGGCTCATTCCTGTAACCCTAGCACTTTGAGACTCAGAGGCAGACGGATCGCTTGAACTCAGGAGTTCAAGACCAGCCTGGCCAACACGGTGAAACCCTGTCTCTACAAAAAATTAGCTGGATGCAGCGGCACGTGCCTGTAGTCCCAGCTACTCAGGAGGCTGAGGCAAGAGAGTCACTTGAGTCCAGGAGGCAGAAGTTGCAGTGAACTGAGATCACGCCATTGCACTCCAGCCTGGCTGATGGGAGTGAAACCTTGTCTCAAATAAATAAATAAATAAACTCTTATTTTAAAAAAAAAAAAGCAAATCATGAAACAAAACAAAACCCAGGGCTCTGAATGAAAAAGATCTCTCCTTTAGGGGGCTAGGTGATGGAAAGGAAAATAGGTCATGAATTTCATGTTCTCATTTGTCTTCGTTAATGACTTGTATGTATATATATTTCCATTGAAGACATAGATATGCATTTGATCACCTACACTTGTTTGTATTTTGAGTCATAAATTAAGGCATTTCCTGTCCAGAAAGCACCTGACAATCTTATGATAAAAAACATGGAATTTTAAAATCACAAATGCAAATAACAAGCCAGGCACAGTGGCTCACGCCTGTAATCTTAGCTCTTTGGGAGACCAAGGTGGGTAGATTGTTTGAGCTCAAGAGTTTGAGACCAGCCTGGGTAACATGGAGAAACCCTGTCTTTACAAAAAATAAAAAATTAGTGGGGCACGGTGGCATGTGCCTGTAGTCCCAGATACTCAGGAGGCTAAGGTGGGAGGAGTGCTTGAGCCCAGGAGGTCGAGGCTGCTGTGAGCTGTGGTGGCAACACTGCACTCCAGCCTGGGTGACAGAGTGAGACCCTATCTCAAAAAAAAAAAGGAGTGCAAATAACAGATGACCTTACAAACATCAAAAGTTATGTCTTTATAATAAGTTTTGTCTACATTTAATGAAATATATTGGACAAGGAAAAAATGTAGCAGTATGCATATGGCTTTATCTTGGCCCTGCCCACTACTGTGCCCTCATTTCTTTTCCTTCCCACTGAGTCCTTCCACACTACCACACCACAGCAAACCTGACAAGCTTCTGCCTGAAATAGCACCATTGCACTTCTCTTCCCTTTGCCTGAAACATTCTTTTTTTTCTTTTTTTTCTTTCTTTTTTTTTTTTTTTTATGAGATGGAGCCTCACTCTCTCGCCAGGCTGGAGTGCAGTGGCACGATCTCAGCTCACTGCAACCTCCACCTCCCTGGTTCAAGCGATTCTCCTGCCTCAGCCTCCCGAGTAGCTGGGATTACAGGTATGCACCACCATGCCCGGCTAATTTTGTATTTTTAGTAGAGACGGGGTTTCTCCATGTTGGTCAGGCTAGTCTCGAACTCCCGACCTCAGGTGATCCGCCCGCCTCGGCCTCTCAAAGTGCTGGGATTACAGGCGTGAGCCCCTGTGCCTGGCCACCACAATCAATTTTAGAATATTTTCATTTCTCTCAAAAAAAAAATACCATACCTATGAGCACTCACTCCCCATTTTCTCCATCCCTCAGTCCTAGGCAACCACTAATTTACTTTCTTTTAGGATAGGATTTGCCTATTTGGACATTTCATATAAATGGAACCATACAATTTGTGATCTTTTGTGACTGGCTTTTTTCAAGTAACCTAATGTTTTCAAGGTTCATTCATGTTATAGCATGTGTCAGTACTTATTTCCTTTTTTTTTATGGCTCAATAATATTCTGTTGTAGGAATATAACACATTTCATTTATCTGTTTATCACTTTTTTTTTTTTTTTTTTTGAGATGGAGTCTCAGTCTGTCACTCAGGCTGGAGTACGGTGGTGTGATCTTGGCTCACTGCGGCCTCCGCCTCCTGGATTCAAGCCATTCACCTGCCTCAGCCTCCCAAGTAGCTGGGATTACAGGCACGTATACCATGTCCCGCTGATTTTTGTATTTTCAGTAGAGATCGGATTTCACTCTGTTGGCCAGGCTGGTCTCGAACTCCTGACCTCAAGCAATCCTCCCGCCTTGGCCTCCCAAAGTGTTGGGAGCCACCACACCCAGCTGTCTCCACTTTTTGACTATTATGAATAATGCTGCTATGAACATTCATGTGTAAGTTTTTGTGTGGACATATGTTTTCCTTTCCCTTGGGAATATGATGAAGCCTGGCATTGCCAGGTCATATGATAACTCTATGTTTAAGCTTTGGAGGAACTGCCAGACTATTTCCAAAGCAGTTCCAACTTCATTGCAAAGCATTTTACATTCCCTCCAGCAACATATGAGTGTTTCAATTTTTCCACATTTTCTCCAACACTTGTTATTATGTGTCTGTTTATTATAGCCATTCTTGTGAGTGTGAAGTGGTATCTTAACATGGTTTGGATTTGCACTTCCCTGATGGCTAATGATGTTTCTATGGTTTGAATGTTGGAGTCCTCCAAAATTCATGTTATAACCTAAGACCTAATGTGACAATGTTAAGAAGTGAGGCCTTCAAGGTGGTGATTAGGTCATGAGGGCTCTGCCCTCGTGAATGAAATTAATGCCCTTATAAAAAGGCTTCACATAACATTTCTTCTTCTTTTTTCCTTTCTTCTCCTGCCATGTGAAGATGCCACTGCGAGAACGGGAACAATGGAACAGGCCCTCACCAAATGCCAAATGTGCTATCACCTTGATTTTGGTTTTCCCAGCCTCCGGAACTGTGAGGAATAAATTTTTTTACTTATAAATTACTTAGTCTCAGGTATTTTGTTACAGCAGCACAAACAGACTAAGACAGAAATTGAGTGTATTTTCTTGTGCTTATTGGCCATTTATTTTCTTTTTTTTATTTTTATTTATTTATTTATTTTTAGGTGGGGTTTTGCTCTGTTGCCCAGGCTGGAGTGCAGTGGTGCAATCTTAGCTCATTGCAACCTCTGCCTCCCGGGTTCGAGTGATTCTTGTGCCTCATCTGCCTGAGTACCTGGGACTACAGGCATGCGCCACAACGCCTGGCTGATTTTTATATTTTTAGTAGAGATGGGTTTTCGCCATGTTGGCCAGACTGGTCTTGAACTTCTGGCCTCAAGTGATCCACCTGCCTTGGCCTCCCAAAGTGTTGGGATTATAGGCATAAGCCACCACCTGGCCCTTATTGGCCATTTGTATGTCTTCTTTGGAGAAATATCTGTTCAGATCTTTTGTCCATTTTAAAATTGGGTTATATCCTTTTTATTATCAAGTTGTAAGAGTTCTTTATGTATTCTAGATCCAAGTCCATTGTCAGATACTGTAGTCTCCCGTATGCTCTCTGCAGTTTCAGTTACCTGCGGGCAGCTGCAATCCCAAATATTACAGTATTTTGAGACAGAGAAAACTATTCATGTAACTTATGTTAAAGTATATTCTAGCCAGGCACAGTGGCTCACACCTGTAATCCCAGCACTTTGGGAGGCCGAGGTGGGTGGATCACAAGGTCAGGAATTGGAGACCAGCCTGGCCAATATGGTGAAACTCTGCCTCTACTAAAGATACAAAAATTAGCCGGGCGTGGTGGCAGGTGCCTGTAGGCCCAGCTACTCGGGAGGCTGAGGCAGGAGAATCGCTTGAACCTGGGAGGTGGAAGTTGCAGTGAGCCGAGATGGCGCCATGGCACTCCAGCCTGGGTGACAGAGCAAGACTCCATCTCAAAAACAAAAAGTATATTCTAATTGTTCTCTTTTATTATTAGTTATTGTTGTTATTCTATTACAGTGCCTAATTTATAAATTAAACTTCATCATAGGTATGTATGTATGTATAGGAAAAAAACATAGTACATATAGAGTTTGGTACTATCTGCAGTTTCAGGTATACACTGGAGGTCTTGGAACATATTTTGTTACATATATATCTATATATTTATAAATATATATTTATATATAGCTATATATTTATGTATCTATATATCTATAAATATATGTTTATATATCTATATTAATCTATATCTATATATGAATATATAGGTAATAGATAAATATATACATATATATATATATTTTTTTTTTTTTTTGAGATAAGGTCTCGGTCTATCGCCCAGGCTGGGATACATTAATGTTATCTTGGCTCACTGCAGCCTCAACCTCCTGGGCTCACGTGATTCTCCCACCTCAACCTCCCAAGTAGCTGGGACCACAGGCACATGTCACCACATCTGGGTAATTTTATTTATTTATTGTAGAGATAAGGTATCCCTATGTTGCCCAGGTTAGTCTTGAGCTCCTGGGCTCAAGTGATCCTCCCACCTCAGCTTTCCAAAGTTCTGGGATTACAGGCATGAGCCACTGTGTCTGGCTACATATTTTCCACAAATAAAGTGATCCTACTTTGTACATAATTTGCAAGTATTTTCTCCCATTCTGTGGGTTGTCTTTCACTTTTTTTTTCTGGAGTCCTCCAAAATTCATGTTATAACCTAAGACCTAATGTGATGATGTTAAGAAGTGAGGCTTTCAAGGTGGTGATTAGGTCATGAGTGCTCTGCCCTCGTGAATGAAATTAATGTGCTTATAAAAAGGCTTCACATAGCATTTCTTCTCCTTTTTTTGCCTCAGCCTCCTGAGTAGCTGTGATTACAGACGTGTACTACCATGCATGGCTAACTTTTGTATTTTTAGTAGAGACAGGGTTTCACCATGTTGGCCAGGCTGGTCTCGAACTCCTAACCTCAGGTGATCGGCCCGCCTCGGTCTCACAAAGTGCGGGGATTGCGGGCGTGAGCCACCATGCCCGGCACATGCATCAGTTTTTATGCTTCCTTGCTTGGACTGATTAACCAGTCAACTACTGGTTCCAATAAAGTTGGATGAGGTGGCTTATACTCTACTTATTTGCCGCCCCCGCTTCTTCCTTTTTTTTGAGACAGGGCCTTTGACGCGCTGGCTGGAGTGCCGTGGTGTCATCTTGGCTCACTGCAGCCTCAACTTCCTGGGCTCAAGCAGTCTTCCCACCTCAGCCTCTAAGTAGCTGGAACTACAGATGTGTGCCCCTATGCCTGGCTAATTTTTGTATTTTTGTCGAGACGGGGTCTCCCCATGTTGCCCAGGCTGGTCTCCAACTCCTGGGCTCAAGAGATCCGCCCACCTTGGCCTCCCAAAGCCCTGGGATTGCAGACATGAGCCACTCTGCCTGGCAACTTGTAACAGTTCTTTGTATGTTCTTGATACAAGTCAGTTGTCAGATACAGCGGTAGTACATAATTAAACATAATTATATAGAACTATATTTTATATAAGCGCAGCATTATATAAAACAGCAAAAATTTGGAAATAACCAAATGTCCAACAATAGGTAGTTAGCTAAGTAAATTGTGAAACATCCATGTAACGAAAGGTATACAACTATAAAAAATGATCTAGACCTATTTATACTGACATTGACAGATGTCTAACATAAATTACATGAAAATAGGAAGTGACAGAGAAGAGAGTATGGTATAATCTCATTTACATTAAAGTAATCAAAAAAACCAGCTTATATAATAGATACAGGCTGGGCAGGATGGCTCACGCCTGTAATCCCAGCACTTTGGGAGGTCAGGGCAGGAGGATCACTTAAGCCTAGGAGTTCAAGATCAGGCTGGGCAACATACCCAGACCCCATATCTACAAAAAGTTTAAAAATTAGCCAAGTGAGCTACGATCACGCCACTGCACTCCAGGCTTGGGGACAGAGCAAGACTGTCTCTAATAAAATAAAACAAAATAAAATAAAATAGGCTGGGCATGGCAGCTCATGCTGTAAAAGTGCTGTAATCCCGGCACTTTGGGAGGCTGGGGCAGGTGGATCACCTGAGGTCAGGAGTTCAAGACCAGCCTGGCCAACATGGTGAAACCTCGTCTGTACTAAAAATACAAAAATTAGCTAGGCATGGTGGTGCACATCTGTAATCCCAGCTACTCGGGAGGCTGAGGCAGAAGAATTGCGTGAACCTGGGAGGTGGAGGTCACAGTGAGCTGAGACTGCACCATTGCACTCCAGCCTGGGTGACAGAGTGAAACTCTGTCTCAAAAATTAAAATAAAATAAAGTAAAATAAAATATAATAGATATAGCTACATATGTGTGAAAAGGACAATAACATTAAATTATGAGTGTTTTCTGTCCTCCCTTGGGGGACCTTTCTAAATAAATAGGAGTATACTCTAAAATAATGATTAAAGGTTTAGTATAGTAAATGACTACATAAAAAAAGCAGAAAGCAAAAACAAGTAAATGGCTACAATGTCACTAGGCAATAGGAATTTTTCAGCTCTACTATTATCTTATGGGATCACAGTTGTGTATGCAGTCCATCGTTAACCAAAACATCATCATGCAGCACAGGACTGTATAGGTATGTATAACATGGACAGAAACAGACATCTCAGAAAAAGCAAGATACAAAATTGTATGTACATTATGATTAAAACAATACTAAACACTAATTTGATAAAAGAGTAACAGCAAATAATTAACTGTGTTTGGTGATGAGATCATTAGTGAAATTTTCTCCCTTTATCTTCCAATCTCTTAGTAATCTTGTATATTGTTTTTTGTAATATTTAAATAAGTTTTACAAGAGTGCTGTTGGTGGCTGGTAGTTGATATTCCTGTTTGTCTTTGTTTATGAAGCTCCCTCCTTCTCTGTGGATACCACGCTTCTTCTTACCCTGTATATCTATAACCAACTGTGAGAGAGTTTTTAATGTTTTGACAAAAATTTTTAAAGGTCCAACAGAACAATCACAATTTTTTCCACTGATTACTGTGATCCCTTTGAATAGTCTTAGCTTGCATGGTCATTTTTACAGTCCCATACTACTATGCAAACTGAGAAATGACTACATATAACATAGATTTACTCTCTATCTTAGTAATTTTAATCTTTATCATTGAGTGCTTAAAGGAACGTCTACAATGCACCATAAACCATACAGCAGAATGTTAGAATTTTCACTATAAAACCAAACACGTCATATATGCACACCCATGAAGTGTACAAACAATACATACTAAGTTATCTCTTAACACTATTTTTCCTTTTTCTGGTGTTTTGTTGTTGTTTGTTTGTTTTTGAGACAGAGTCTCGCTCTGTCGCCCAGGCTGGAGTGCAGTGGCACGATCTTGGCTCACTGCAACCTCCGCCTCCTGGGTTCAAGTGATTCTCCTGCTTCAGTCTCCCCAAGTAGCTGGGACTACAGGTGCATGCCACCATGCCCAGCTAATTTTTATTGTATTTTTAGTAGAGACGAGGTTTCACCATGTTGGCCAGGGTGGTCTCAAACTCTTGACCTCAGGTGATCTGCCTATCTCAGCCTCCCAAAGTGCTCAGATTACAGGGGTGAGCCACTATGCCCGGCCAAATCTTTAATTTCTAAACTAATTTGGAAAGACAGAAAAATTCGTATCTTCCTATGTATGTAATCAAAAAATAGTAGTCAAAATATTCATTGCATTTTCACTGTCACTCAATCTTTTGCCAATCATAATCTATTTTTTTTTAGTTTTTATTTTTAGAGACGGGGTCTCATTCCTGTCGCCCAGTCTGGAATGCAGTGGCACAATCATGGCTCACTGCAGCCTCAAATTTCTGGACTCAAGAAATCCTCCAGTCTAAGCTTCCCAAGGAGCTGAGATTACAAATGCGAGCCACTGAGCCCAACTATAATCCGATTTTTTATTTGTATATCTAATTATTATATAATTTTATATATAATTGCACAATATATACTTTATGAAAAGTAACGGTTTCTAAGATGAAGAAAATCTAACCCCTTCCATGAGTTCCAGTATCTTATTATAACTACACTAAGCTACAATAATAGCTTAATATTAAACATTAATGTTTCTTTGACCTAAGGAAGCTGATTTTTAAAAATAATAAATATTAATTTTAAACACAGTATTAAAGTATTAATAATCAAACAAAGCCACGCAGTGAAACGACATTTGAATTTTGGGAAATTTTCTTTTTTTTTCCTTTTCTTTTTTTTTTGAGACAGAGTCTCACTCTGTCGCTCAGGCTAGAGTGCAGTGAGGAAATCTTGGCTCATTGCAACCTCCACCTCCCAGATTCAAGCAATTCTCCTGCCTTAGCCTCCCAGGTAGCTGGGATTACAGGTGCCTGCCATCACGCCCAGCTAATTTTTGTATTTTTAGTAGACAGGGTTTCACCATGTTGGCCAGGCTGGTCTCGAACTCCTGACTTCAAGTGATCCGCCCGACTCCACCTCCCAAAGTGCTGGGATTACAGGTTGAGCCACCACACCTGGTAAGAATGTTGGGAAAATTTTTTCATACTAACACATTGGCATATCAGTTATCAGTTGGATAAAAGTTTTCTTCCATATAGGAAGTTATAAAATGCCACTGCCCAGAGACAAAATCTTCTGAAGAGTTATTAGATGAATGGCTGACAACATCGAATAAAAATGCACAAAGAACATTGCCATAATAAACTTTTGATATCCAAAGGGCTACATTTGAGGGGTTATATACCTAAAAGAAACCTCTTTCGGCCAATATTTACATCCCCCTTAAACTCACCTACTACTCTCTCTCTATATATGCCCATTAAGATAGGATATCTTTTGAGAACCTGCCTCCAGAAATAAAGTCTTTAAAAAGTTTGGGCCAGGCACGTGGTTCACGCCTGTAATCCCAGCACTTTGGGAGGCCAAGGCAGGAGGATCTCTTGAGGCCAAGAGTTTGAGAACAGCTTGGGCAACACAGCAAGACCTCATCTCTGCAAAAAATAATAAAAATAATTTTTAAAAGTTTAAAAATATAGCATTTCATTTTAAAAAGTGCCTAGAAAAGCAGAAGATTTTAAAACATATAAATGTCACTTGCATCACTAAATACCCCCTTAACCTTCAAACAGTCTCTACTCCAATAACACACATAACAAATAAACCCTAGGCCCTTACAGCAATTGGGTTAAGAAAGGTTAAATTTCAGAATGCATAAAGATAGGAGGCATTTCTCATTCTTATGGTAGAGACTACATGCTGTCGTCTGTGTACATGCTTACAATAATAAAGGCCAACCTTTTATTAATGTTTGCTAATAAATATCCTCCTGATTTTCCATTCCAGCTAAGATTTGATAATATAATTGACTCTTCTGTGTTTTCATCACAAGCAGCACTGTTACAGATATCATTTCCTCTTAATTTATCCACAGGCTGTGTGAATAATTTAGAAAATTATTTTCGAAGGACTCTATCTAGGGAAGTCTTTTGGGTTTTAGAGTAGGGTTCTTTCTGGTTTTCTGCAGCTGTGGGGTCACTCCATCAGAATTTCATGGTTATATCCTTTGCGCAATCTGTAACATTGTTTAAGTTCAAAACTACATACATTATTTCATCAAAATTAAAAACTTTTGGGCATTAAAAGATCCTATCAAGACCATGAAAGACAATCTACAGATATTAATATATCTGTAACCCACAGAAGTATTTGGGAGAAAATATTTGTAAATCATATATCTGATGTGAGAATAATATCCAGAATGTATAAAGAACTACAGAACTACAACTCAACAACAAAAAAGCGCACATCTCAATTCAAAAATGGGCAAAGGATTGAACAGACATTTCTCCAAAAAAGACATACAAATGACCAATAGCACATAAAAAAATGCTCATTAGCACTAGCCATTAGGAAGCTAAAAATCAAAATGACAATACTATGTCACACCCATTAGGATGGTTATTAATTGAAAGAAAACAGAAAATAACAAGTATTGGGTAGATATGGAGAAAATGGAAGGAGCACTTGTGCATTGCTGGTAGAAATATAAAATGGTACAGAAGCCGTGGAAACCAGGTTAGCTGTTCCTTAAAAGGTTAAATATAGAATTACCATATGACCCAGCAATTCCATTCCTAGGTTTATATCCAAAAGAAGTGAAAGCAGGACTCAGATAGATATTTGCACACCAGTGTTCACAGCAACATTATTCACAATAGCCAAAAGGTGGAAACAACCCAAATATGTCCCATCAACAGATGGATGTATAAACAAGATGTAGTATATACAAATTATTCAGTCAAAAAAAGAAATTAAATTCTGCTATGTACTACAACATGGATAAACCTTGAAAACATTATCCTAAGTGAAATAAGAAAGGTCAAATATTGTTTGATTCTATTTCCATGAAGTGTCTAGAATAGGCAAATTCATAAAAAGAGAAAGTAGAATAGAGGTTACCAGGGGCTGGGGAAGAAAAGGGATAGAGAATTTCTGTTTGGGATGATGAACAAGTTCTGGAAATGGACAGTGGTGATGGTTATACAATATTGTGAATGTACTTCATGCCACTAATTGTACACTTTTTAAAATAGTTCAAATGGTAAATGGTATGTTTTATATATATATATATATAACCACCATAAAAATAAAGTAAATTGCCAAAGCCAGGAGAAGGTGGGGGAGAGCTATGTACATACCCGAGTTTGTGAAGATCAGACAAAGATTCACATGAACTATTTTGAAAGTCTTTTACAATAATCCTAGTAAGACATAGCTGAAAACATAATACTGATCATGACTAAGCCATAATCCTATTACAGTGGAAATCATAATTTAGTACAATTTTTTGCTTTCTCAAAGATATGAGAAAAGCTGCATACATGTATTTATATACCAGAAAAATATACCTTTTAGTAAGGGTTTTACAGCAATGCAAATGTCAAAGTAGCACTGGCCTAAATTGAGGCAAATAGTTTTTTAACTAGTAGGCGATAACTGTGAAGGACTTAGTAAATGTGAAAACTTTGAAAAGCTGAAAAATCCACCTCTAGTATTTTGACTTCGCTGACATAGGGAAATGCACAAACATCTACTACATTCCAGATTTAGGGACTCAGGATACTAAGATAAACAGAAAAAGTCTACCCTTTCAAAAGTTTAGCTTATCTCTGCCAGGATCACAAGAGGCACTAGTGAAGAACAGACATTTTGGGGGCATTTTCAAATTCTCAAACTGACACAAATACATGAGATGCGCAAAAGTCTTCTAAATTACAGTGTAACCTACAATTGTCTATCTTCTAATAAATTCTTCTAACACATAGAGAACTTCTGTGTAGTGCAGTTTTCTGAGACCTGTAATTATAAACTTCAGTTACATTGCTATAAACTTCCAAATTGGGAGTTTGAAATATGAGCCACATGTTACTTAACGTTCAGAAGATGTATAAATGAGAGCAAAAGGTTATGGCTTAACAGAAAACTAAATAAGAAATAACTATTGATTTTTAAATAGCAACATATCACAATCATAGACACACCAATGACTGTAACCATATGGTTCTCTCAATCATCAAGCATATGCTAAATTTGTACTTAAAACGGTCCAATGTGACTTTAAAAAAAGGTTACTCTTCAAGCAGCTTTCAATCTAGTTGGGAGAGTAAATTACTACACATAAAACGTGTTATTTATGTACATATATATGTAAAAATACTCAAATACAAAGGATCCAAATGTAAGAATTCAAAGGAGATAAGTTAGTTCAGGAAAGCTCCAAAGAAGGTAAGATTTAGGCAAAGTCCAGAAGGATAGACAGAATTGAATGGAAATGAACCCTTCATAATCTAACTTCATCTTGCCTTTCCAACACATTGTACAATACAAAATTATTAGAATAGATAAAAGCAGTCTATGGCCATACCAACCTGAACATGCCGATCTCATCTGATCTCAGAATAAAAACAAATTAGAAAAGAAGCTGAGTGCAGTGGCTCACGCCTGTAATCCCAACACTATGGGAGGTTGCGGTGGGTGGATCTCTTGAGCTCAGGAGTTCAAGACCAGCCGGGGCAACATAGCAAAACCCCGTCTCTACAAAAAAACACAAAAATTAGCAGGGCATAGTGGTGCACACCTGTAGTCCTAGCTGCTAGGGAAGCTGAAATAGGAGGATGGCTTGACCCTGGGGAGTTGAGGCTGCAGTGAGCAGTAAATGTGCCACTGCACTCCAGCCTGGGTGGCATAAAAAAGTCGTTCCAGATAAGAGAAATCACAGAAATATGGAATAAGAAGAGCATACTAATTAGCCCACTTAATGCTTATTGTAGAGAAGTGGTTAAATATTTTACATAGGAATACACATGTCAAATTATATAAATCATATGGGAGAAAAAACGCTCCAAAAATTACATGGAATTTTGACATGACTTTCCAATGTACCCTATTCATACCCACTACTCATTTGCTATTTGAGAGAAATGTCTCAGAACCAGTCAAACCAAGGCTCACCTTCAAAACCAGGTGGGCACCCAAATTATAACAAGAATTAGAAATTTGTGTTTGTCCTTGCATATAAGGCTGTGTTTCATTTTTCCTTCATATTTACTACTGATTGCTTCATGAATTCAGATAATTTCAGAGCCAGGAGGCATTATTTATAACCCAAATTTTAAATGTTTATATTCCTGAAACATTTGAATATTTGCATAAATGTCATGAGACAAACAAAATTTACTCTGTAGAAAGCACAATTTACCAGATTATTACTGCTAGTTTTATTCTGTCAGCTCTCTCCTTTAAGGAGAAAGCACAGCACTAGGTAGTCCCATTTATTACATCAACATTTTAATAAGGCCAGGCACTGTAGCCCATACCTGTAATCCCAGCACTTTGAGAGGTTAAGGCCAGAAGATTGCCTGAGTTCAGGAGTTCAAGACCAGCCTGGGAAACAACAGTGAGATTCCCATTACTACAACAAAATAAAAAAATTAGCCAGGTGTGGTCCGCACATCTGGAGTCCCAGATACTTGGGAGGCTGAGATGGAAGGATTGCATGAGCGCAGGAAGTAGAGGCTGCAGTGAGCCATGATCGCAGAAATGCACTCCAGCTAGGGTGACAGAGGGAGACCCTATCTCAAAAAAAAAAAAAAAAAAAAAAAAGAGAAAGAAAGATCTGTATCTGTCCCTTGGACTATTTGCCTCCTACTCCTCCAATTCGTTCTTTATATTTCCCATAGAATAATCTTTGAAATGCACCTCTAGTCATTTTACTCAGGTGCTCTTCTTCAGTGGAAGGTACGTATGCCCTATGGTTTGAAGTCAGTCATTTCAGCATGGCAAGCCCTAGTAGTTTCTATGATTTGGTCCCTGTCTGAACACTGTGTACCCTTGCAACTGTTGCTTTCTAGATCTTGAAATGTTCTGCTTCTCCACAGGTTCCCCCTCTTATCTCTCCTATTACTTACATAAACTGCACAAATCTTACTATATAGCTTGACTGAATTTTTAGGGATGCATCCAAGGAATTATCCTGCAAAATTAAGATACAGAACATTTCCAGCACCCCAGTAGGCTCTCTTCTGTTCTCTCCCAGTCAACACTGACCCTCAGAGGTCACCACTATTCTGTCACCATAAATTAGTTTTGCCTATTTTGGAACCTCATATATACAGTAATGCAGTATTTACTTTTTTCGTGTGTATGTGTGCATGGTGAACTCATTTTTAAGACCAAATTTTATGCATCTTCTCTGTGAAGCAAAACCCTGTCTGTTCCACACAGACTTAGAGTGGCAGAGGAGTACCTTAACCTATCAAAGGCTATTTTGAGCAAAAGCCACTTTGTGTCATTGAAGCTGTAGAACTGAGCCACAAGAGGGAACTGTTAAAGTCCCAGGGTCAAGGACCAGGTACCTACGTTATCCCCACAGCACAGAAGCACAGCCTGAGTCTCTTCTTTGGCTGAGCCAAGGGCGTGCTGGAGAGGCCTGAGAGAAGGAGCGGCCCTTGTGACCAGTGCCCTTTTGGTTCACAAGGAACGTCTCCTCTTGTTGAAGTGACTTGGCTGAGCTTGCTACTTCTGCTTTCAGAGCCCAATATCAGGATCAAGACTTCAATTATCCCCAATTTACAGATGATGAAACCATATTGGGCAGGAAAGAAAGTCACCCCAGGAGAGCGAGTTGGACCCGGGCACTGGCTGAGGACAAAGGGGAATGATAATTTGGGATGTAGCTTGTTAAGGGGTCTCACAAGTGTTCTTGTGATCCAGGTGGCGAGAGGATAGAGCAGAAAGGTTGCCAGGGAGACGAGGGTAGGGTGCACTGCGAGAGTGGGAGAAATTAAAGAGAACACGCAACAAAGCCTTGGGACACTGGGAGGGGGATGGACCACCCAGTTTTGTGCTATGGGAGAAGAGAGCAAGAAAAGGAATCTGTGTTAAATCCCGACAGCCTGCAGGAGAAGCAAATGCCCTTCATTTTCTTCATCAGCAGCGAGACTGGCATCCCTGTAGCTTTGAGAAACCATGCTAGTGTAGATGCCAGCTCCCTCCAGCGGGCCTGACTGGGAGAACTTGGGCTGGGGTTCTGGTCTGGGGCTCCTAGGCCTGATGGGAAGAGAGTTCAGCCCAGCTTTCCTGTACTTCAGCTCGTATGCAGACGATGGCCATTGTTGAAATGAGAGACTCAAAGGAAGCTGGAACCTGAACTTTTTTGTTGTCTCGTGGACACCTGTGTTCAGTTTCGGGTTCTACCTCTTGCTGTCTGTGTGTTCTTAGGTGACTCACTTAAACCTTTCTGAGTCTCATTGTCTTCATTTATAAAATAAAAGACGTAACATTGATGTCAGATATTGTCCTGAGCATTAAATGGGAGAATAAGCAAGCCTCTTCTGCATTCCCCTGGCTTCCAGTGGGTGGAGGCCAGAGAAGCTGCTAAACATCCTGCCAGGTGCAGGACAGCCCCCATCGCAAAGAATTGTCTGGCCCCTGATGTCAGTAATGCAGTATTGAGGATCCTTGGTGTGGGGGAAACAGAATAAACTCAGAAGCTTGGCAGATCTCAATTCAAACCCCGGTTGTACGGCCTCCAGCAGGCCTTGGTCAGGGAATAGTATCTAGCTAAAGTTCATTGACTTCATTTTGTTTTCATTGAATTTATGTTTTGCTGGCTTTCCATTTATGAGAGTGATACAAATTTCCTTTAAACATGAAGTTGTAAATATAAACAGGTAGGCCATTCACAGGAATGTCTAAATTATGTCACAGGAAAGGTGGCACTCTCATATGGCAATAATTATGACAGGGGCCGGCAAATGACCTGCGTGACCCGGAGTGACCTGAGCACTGACTCCCAAATGCCCTCCATAGGATGTTCTGCATCCCCGAGACCCTTTCCTGGGTCCTCCTGGGCCCTACCACCCCCTAGACCATCCAGACTTCAGGTCATCCCCCTGTCTGTTGACAGAGTAGTCTCCGTTCCTGAATGTGCTGGTCACCAGCAACAGCAGCTGCTCCTCCTCCAGGAAGCTCAGCCTATACTTCTACATGCAGAGAACCTGGACGGCACCCAGGTGGACCTAAGCCTTCAGCTCCCAGTAGACGCTCTGGGTTTCCTACCCTGCCCAGACACTCTGGGCTTCCCCCCACACCTCCCCTCGGCCGGGGCTCCTGTGTGCATCTGTCTCTCCCAGTGCCCAGCACAGGCGTGGAACGGAAGAGGTGAATGGACCGATTTGAACACATCATCCTGGATTCTCCGTTCCCTCTCAAGCCCTGCAGCTAACCCATCGGCAAGCCCTGGAGGCTCTGCCTCCAAAATCCTGCCTATCCCATGTGCAAACGCCTCTCACCATGTCCACTGCTATTTGCAGTTCTGTGTGTGTGGAAATACTTCCACAAATTTGGAATGAACAGGTCACAGCTGTGCCTGGAGGGAATGGCCAGGGAAATGTGCCCTCGCCTTGCTGTTCTATCCAGGCCCACCCAGCTGAGGATGGGGGACCTGCCACCACTCTCCTGGCAGTTCCGGACTCCTGGGAACCGGCAGGTGAGGACCCAAGAGTGTTTTCAGTGACCCGGCTGACCTGGTCATCCGTCAGTCCCACCTTGGCCTAGGCCTCTATACAGCACAGATCACAGCTCATTCCATCCTGGCATTACACTGGCCTGTGCCCTGTCCTCAGGGTCACATCCGTCTCCCAGAAGCCGTGCAACCCTGGAAAACCCAGGTCTAACAGTCAGGTTCCTCCTCCGTGCATTAACAATGGCGTTGACGCCTGCTTTGCGGCACGCTGGGAGGGGAGAGGGAGGTGTATGCTGGAGAGCTCCCCAGGGGCAAGGCCTGGCTCTGCGTCACCCACTGTCAGATCCTGAGAGCCTGGGGCTGGCCCAGCACGTGGCCACCGTTCCCTAAGAGTTGGATTTCATCCCTCAGTGCTGAAGGCAGGGGATAGAGCTTAGACAGACCCCCTGCGTCCTGTCTTCTTTATCTACAGCTTTCTCATCCTTGCCCCTTTCACGTGCACCCGGCAGAGCAGGTGTTCACTGAGCTTGAGCAAAATTCAAGCTAGAGCAGCTGATGGATCTTGAGGCCTAGATTCACTGTCAAAGTGTTTCTCAAACGGTGCTCTCCAGAACACCAAGGAAAACTCATTGACTGTGTAAGTCTGAAAATCCCTGCCCACCGGTCTACCTTTGTGTATGAGCAATCAGCTCTACCATTCAGCCCAGGTGTGTGTTTGCTGGACCATGTGGAGGAAGCTGAAGAGACGTGAGCTGAAGGCAGAGGGTGAGTCCAAGGTGGGATCTTGGGACAGGTACGAGAAGTTAGGCAAAAATGGGATAATTCTAGCCTTCATAACCTTAGATAATAGTTCACATTATTATTTAGTTAATAGAACTGTACCCACATTAAATTTCTTAAATTTTTTTAAGAGATAAAGTCTCACTCTGTCACCCAGGCTGGAGTGCAGTGGTGCAATCATGGCTCACTGCTTCCTGGAACTCGTGGGCTCCAGCAATCCTCCTGCCTCAGCCTCCTGACTAGGTGGGACTATAGGCACACGCCACCATGCCTGGCTAATTTCTTTGACTTTTCTCTAGAGACCGGGTCCACCTAGGTTTCCCAGGCTGGTCTCAGACTTCTAGACTCAAGTGAACCTGAACCTCCCGCCTCGACCTCTCAAATTGCTGGGATTACAGGTGTGAGCCACCACACCCGGCCTAAATTTCTTATGTGCCATGGGACTGCAAAACATCATTATTAGGGGCAGCTGGATGGAAGGTATAGGAGGATACTATAGTGCCTTTTCAATATTTCTGTCTAAAATCTAAAATCATTTCAACAGGAAACATTTATTTCAAAACATGAAGGTGGTTATCCTTCCATGAGTTTGAAGTACAAAGGCAGGCTCACGGTGTCGTCAGAATTCAGAACGATGGTCGTGGGGCTGGGGGTGCTGGGAGGGGCTGGGCATGGTTGGCTTTGTGATCTGGGGTCTGGTGTGTTCCATCTCTGAATCTCTCTCGAGCTGCACTCTTTCTTAATACATTTTCATAAGTTTAACCAAAAATAAAACGAGGATGCGAAGCTTGCTTGGGTTGTTAAGCCTAGGGAAATTATCCAGCCATGAGCCCTGGCCCAGATGCTTCTAGAAGCCTGGAGGGAACTGAGAACTTTCCAAGTGGAGGCCGCAGAGGCAAGGCCCTGAGGTGGGAGCACACTGCTGTTCGTCCCTAGCTCTGAAGGGGGTGCCCTGGTCGGAATCAGTGCTGGGTGCAGCGAAAGCCGATCTCACCCGCTCCGCAGGGTGTTCAGCCTGCCAGCAGGGGGCCAGCTGGTCCTCCTGGGATATGGCACGGACCCAGCAGCTCTGTCTGAAATCATAATGGCGGAACCAAGGGCCCTCTACGTCCAGGTCCGTTGGGAGGCGGGGCATGGAGTTCCACTGCAGGAATCTCCAGGAACCCTGAGGTCCTCCCTGAGCCAGGGCCGGGCTGGGCACACCCTGAGTGCCCACAGGGTAGGTGTCTTCCCGGACAGCCCCACCAGGACAGGGTGTGGAAGAACGAGGTGCCCGTGGCGGGGAAGCTGACCAAATGGGCCGCGGGAACCGGGCTGGTGGGCCTGGAGGGGCCTGCCTGTCCCCCTTGCAGAGGGTCTTCCCGCCACGTGAAGCCGGCACAGGCCTGGATGCCGACGACCCTTGCTCGGGTTTGGCTGAAAGGAAAACAGACGCGGTCAGCATCTCCAGTGAGCCCACGCAGGCCTTTCCGGGCTGGGCCCCACCTGCCTGCGTCTCTGGAGTCCTCGGGGTCTCTGTGTGGCCCCCGTGGCCTGACACCGAGGACACGCCTGTAGTCTGCTGATCCCAGAGGGAGGGGTGCATGCTGCCTGGCGTGGGGAAGCTGTCGTGGCATGGCGGGTGGCTCCTGGGACTGCCCCCAGGGTTCAGACTGGCTGGGGGCTTCCTGCCACACACCTTCGTCCCAGGGCTGTTGGGCCTGGGATACGGCCCCCAGTCAGAACTCAGGTGGGAGGGGCCTTGGATGTCACCCAGCCCCTTGTCACCTCACGTGGGGACCCGTCTCCGCAGTGGGTGATTGGGCCCGGACGTGGGTCACCCTCTGCCCTCCTGGGCTGCCCAGTCCATGCCAGGACTGACCGTTCCCACTTCTGGCTGAACTCTTGGCTCTGGCTCTGGGCCCTCTCCCTGAATGCTCTGTGGGTCAGGGACACGGATTCCCTTGTCTCCCTGGCTCCAGGCTTCTTGTCCTGGCAACCTTGGAGGAGCGTGCAGGAGTGAGGGGCCTCTGCTGCTCTCTGAGGCTGTGGGTGCTTGCAGGGAGGGGCGGGGTCTCCCACAAATGGGTCTGGGCTCGTCTAGTAACTTGGAGGGCCCTGCGAGGGGGAGAGGGAGACACCGTGGAAAGTGGGAGGGGGCTTGTTGGAGGGTCTTGCCCACATCCCCCTCCTGCATGCACAGCATGTCCAGTATACACGCACTGAGCGCCTGCCCTGAGGACCGGTGGGCCTCCTGTACTTTCTTAGAGTCCAGGAGGAAGAGGAGGAAGAAAAGGTGAAGAGGAAGGCCCAGGTAGTAGGGTTGCGGGTCCCGGGCACTCCCCTACTACTGACTACCCCAGAGGGTGACATGGGAGGGGACATGGCACTGGAGCCCACCTGGGGGTGGCAGGTCCCCCTGCTTTCTTGTTAGTTTCTTCATAGAGGCCCTAAGATGCTTGAGCACAGTGTCCTCATCCCTGGCCCAGGTATCAACGAACCGGTTGCAAAAACGTGCCCACGGGCCACACCTGGACGTCTTCGTGAGGCGCTCTAGGGACAGGGTGGATATCAGGCCAGGGGAGTTACCTGGGAATGGTCACAGCTCATATCCCGTGGCCACTTCAGTCTCCTACTGGGCGGTGCCGGATCCTTTTGTGGCCACCCCAGGTGTCCAGATATACACAGGAGACTGTGGCTGGGGGGCGATCCGGACAGGGAAGTGCTCACCACACTCTCGACTTTCATCTGGGTCATGTGGGGGATGGGCTCAGTGTCACAGTGTCCTGCCCAGCCCACCTGGCCAGACCTCCCTCTGGGCCAGAACAGCGGATCATGAGGACAGTGTGAGGAAGCTGCCCTCGGGCCAGTCGGGGTCTGACCCCAGGGCTCCCCAGGCCCCGCTGGGCACACGTAGACTTACTCTGCTGAACCTTAAAGGCGATTCTTGTTATCGGCATCAACGCCTGTTCGCCTTCTACCAGATACACGTCCCACAGGCGCAGGGTGAGCCCGAGAGAGATCTGTGGGGACAGCAGGTGTGAAAGAACCTGGTCCTTCCAGGCTGGGGCTGGTGGCTCGAGCTGCGCACACTGGGGCTTCAGTCTCCAGAGTCAGTGACCTTCCCCATGAGGGTCGCCTGAGCCCTCCAGGACGCTGGGTCAGACAAGGTCTTGAAGCTCCTCATGGGGGGCACTCATTTGAGTGGGGATGTGGCTCCTGGAGAGAGGGGCTTGCCCAGGGCTTGAGGCTTCCCTGAGCCCTCTCAAGTCGGGTCCTGGCCCAGTCTGCCCATGAGGCTGGGCCTGAGCCCCAGCCATGGCCCTGGGATGACCCCCCTTGGGCAGAGGGTTTTGCTTGTGTGTCCTTTGGGGACCCGCCTGAGCCTCCTGTGGGCTGGGAGTGAGCCAGACCCCCGGGCTGGGGAAGCAGGGCACTGCAGGGCAAGGAAGGTCCCTGAGCCAGGGTCTCCCTATGCCTCCTTACCCCGTCAATCAATATCCGGATGAGGCAGCCTAACGGGGAACACTGCCCACATAGATCTTTCTTGTCCTGATGGAAGCAACAGAGGTGCTCAGGCCACTGGGCTGCCCTAAAAACCTCCCTCTTCCAGGGCCTCTGAAGACCCTTCCCCTAGTGCAGAACACTGGGCGGTGTCCAGAGCTCCCCACAACACTGTCACCTTCCCACACTCCCGGTGGACACACTGCCCTTTGCCCTGCTCTGTGGGAGCTGGGCCCCCATCCCTGTGCCTCTGTCTCCTCCAGGGCAGGAAAGGAAACCAACTCCCAGCCCATGGAGAACCCGACGTCCCAGGTCAGGCCCTGGCTGGGACTCAGCCAGTCACCAGCCCCACGAGGGGCTCCAGCCCCCCTGCTCCTACAGCCCCACGGGAGGCAGGGCCTCTGGGAAGAGCTGAGGGGACCATAAACTCACCTGATGCCCCATGGTCTTGGGTTGTGACGTGGCTACCACATGCTCCTGTTGGTCTTGGAGCCCCTGGACGGTCCCGCCATTTGGGCTGTGAAATCCTGAGAAGCCCCCAGCCCATCATGAAATCAGAGCCTTCCCCCAAGATGTGGAGCCATCAGCTGCAAGAGCTGGGCAGCTGGAGAGGCCCCCAAACCCCAAGGCCTCCCACCCTCCCATCTGGTGACCCCAACATGCGGCCTTTACCCTGGGGAGGTGGGGCGGGAACATTCCCTGGAGCCTGGCTGGAGGTTCCCCTGGAGGCCTCCTGGGCCAGGGTGCAAAAAGGGCAAGCCTGACTTTCAGGCCACGACAGGGTGGCCGGAACTGGGTGGGCGCTGGGCTTCCCGGTCATCTCCTGGTAGTGGGGTCGGGCCAGGGAACAGGGGATGGGGAGATGCTGCCACCTGGGCTTGGTCGGCCCATTCGTGGGCACCGATGGCAGCAGGAGCCCGGGCAGCTGGAGGGCAGGAGGACTCTCAGGGAGGGGAGAGTCAGCTGCACAGAATCAGAGCCGGAGGGCGTGGCTCCAGGACACAGAGGGTGGCCACGGGGAGGATGAGATGCCCTCTGCTGATGGGGATGACAGGCGTCTGATTTGGGCTTTGGGGGTCAGCCGTGGACTCCTGTGGGACCCTCAGCAGAGACATCCTAAAGTCTCCCAACAAGCTGGCGACACAAGGAGGGTGCCTTGGCTGAAAGCTGTGATCACCTGGCCAGGGTGGCCATCCCCAGGTCTGGCTGCAGGAGGTCCCCGGGGCAGCTGTTCACTTACCCTGCAGGGAGTGCCTCTCACTGGCCAGCAGCTGCACCAGTGCCCAGAATGCATCCTCCTCAGGAAGATAGAGGAGGAACAAGGCGGCGATGTGGCTCAGGTCCCTGCAGTAGCCCACCTCCTGCAAGAGCCAGAGTCACCATGGAAGGACATCACCTGGGAGGGCTGAGGTCACCTGGGAGGACTCATGTCATTGGAGAGGGCAGAGGTGACTGGAGAGGCTTCCTCTGAAGGAGAGGCTTCCTCTGAAAAAGAGGCTTCCTCAGGATGCACATTCATTTCATGACAAGAGCCAAGTCCATCAGGCACTTCAGCACCTTGTCCAAAATGTCTGCTGATAGCACCATCCTGTGTGCGATGCTGCCAAGCTCCTGGGCTTTGGGGCAGCCCCAGGAGGAGGGCGTCATTTCTTGTTCTGAGAAGTGGTGGTCAGGCCCAGGTGACACCAGGAGTCCGGGCCCTGACTCCTTTGTGTCTCAGCTTGACCCCTTGAGACCACCCCCTTCCTTGGAGGTTTATGCCAGCGGTGAGCTGACATCCTACCTCCTATATCCTGGTGGGTCACAAATACTAACTTTAAAAGAAGCAACGACACCCCCACCAGACACCCACTCCTGTCAATATGGAAATATGGCCCGGGAACCTCACTGCCGGGAATACTCACCGGGTTATACTCCTCATATGCCAGGAGGATGTGGAGTAGTTCCCGCTGCCTAGGAAACAGAGAAAGGGGGCTTTGGTTTGTTTTGTGCAGATGTTGTTAATTTCACTTTGTCTACAAAGCCTAACAGCAAATCCCATTTCAGGTTCAGATGTTTCACCAGATAAGCAGTGAGCTCTTCAGGGCCTGAGACTCTTGAAGAAATGTTTCAGTAAAATCCACATCTGTGACATGCAAATAGCCCAGTTGTACAGTGACTTGCCTGATCCTTTTCACTCTGAATGATTTTTTTTTTCAGTTTGCACACACGCCAGTTCAGTCTGTGGGTGTACAGTTCCTCCACGGTTCCAAACCGATGTGCAGAGTCTCCCGGCCACCGCTCCAGCCCCTCCTGGGGCGACTCCTTCATCCTCCAAGTCTCCAGGGTGGCCCCTATGCAACCAGCCTCTCCCCGATCCGTCAGCCCCTGGCCACCCAGACTGCTTCTCAGTCCCTGTGGTTTGGCCTTTTCCAGAATGGCCTAGGAATGGGAATCCTACTGTGGTAGCTTATTGGGTCTGGCTTCTGTCCCTCAGCAAAATGCATCTAGGATCCACCCACGTTCGTGCGGGCATCACCGGCTCGTTCCCTTTTCTCACTGGGTCTTCCGTTTGAAGGGAGGACCAGCCTTGCTCTCCCCATCCCCGTGTTGAAGGCCGTCCCCGAAGGCTCCGTGTGTGAGTGACGAGGAGTCAAGCAGTGAACCTGGCATGCTGGTTTCATGTGGATGTCAGTTTGCAAATCAGTGGGTTCAATATCTGTGACACTTTGGGGATGTGTGGTTCAAGTCCATCGAGCTTTGTGAGCCACTGCCCAACTGGCTGCCAACGTGGCTGTGCCATGTCATGTTCCCAGCGGACCTGGATGAGAGTTTCCAGGACCCCTAATTCTCCCAGCATTTGGTGCTGTCACTGTTGCCTGGGGGGGGCTCATGGGCCCTCTATCCTGCCACCCTCCCGTGGGTCCTACCATGGGTCCCCATGGGTCAGGGAGAGCACCCTTCACCATTGTGCATGATTTTGTTTGCTGCCTTCCATCTCCTCAGGATCCTCCTGGGTTCTGGCCCCACATGTTCCAGTCTGGCCCAGGGCTTGGAACCAGGGAGGTGCTCGGTTCATGGTGCCGGCTGCTCCCTGGGCCGGGAGAGCTCTTGGCAGCTGTGTCATCCCTCCTGGGTGACCCTGGCTTCTGCTCCGGGGAAGCCCCCATCCCTCTCATTCACCCCATCTCTGCTGGGACCCTGTGGCTCCCGTAGGCTTACTTGGTTCCGTATCGATCCCTGAAGAACATATGCTTCCTTAATGTCCCGCTTATGTCCCGGTCGATGCGCTGGATGTGCTCAGATGACCTCTTGCCCTTCTCCTTCATGATCTGTAGGGCAGGGCCAAGAGGAGGAAGCAGTCTCAGAACAGATGGAAGACTCCCTGCCCCCAGTGGCAGTCAGCCCACAGTCAGCACTTCGGGAAGGAAGGACAGAAGGAAGGTTTCCTTCTGCAGAAAGCTGCATTTTGGCTTGTTACTGAAGCCAGGGAGGGTCACCAGAGCTGAGTTTGTCTGTGGTGACTGTGTCACCATCTGTGCCCAGGGTGTTCATCTGACCTTCACCCCCAGCTCCCCAGGGTGGTCTTGACGTTCCCTCCAGCTGGAGACCTGGGCCCCGACACGGCCTGTCCTGTTTGTTGTGCTCTGGCTGAGCGTACCTGGTATCTTCCGGGGTTTTTCAACTTCATTTCCTCAATGTTCAGGAGGACTGACCACATCGGGCCCCGGATGTTCATGGGCATTCCCTTGTACGCTCGATCTATGAGCTGTGGGCAGAAAACGATCTGGTGTCACAGGCCACGGGGTGACCCCAGTGAGGACCAGAGCCCGGGGATTCTGGAAATTGTCGGTTTTGGCCCCATGATTCCTCAGTAGAGGTGAGATCAAGCTGGGACAGGGTCTCCCTTCCCAGGACTGAAAGAGTGGATGGACACTCAGAGTCGAAACTCTGATCTGAACCTTTTCCTTCCTTCAGGTCCCCAGGGCATCCCTAGCCTTGAGCTCCGGGTAGTCCCAGCCCTAGATTCAGATTCCCTCCCTGCAAGGTGACGCTTGCACGAATAGGCAGGAAATCTGGCGACCAGGCCTGCAGTCCTCTGGGCGAGGACAGTGTGCCGCCCACCCTCTGAGAGGCTGATGGTGCCAGGCCACAGCCATGGGTGCCTGTCCCCTGTCTCTGCAGAGAGTGCTTCCTCCCTCCACACGTTACCTTTCTGCTGCTTTTGTATTTCTCCCAGTCTCCCAGCATATCCACCCACTTGCTCTTTCGGCTGATCTCCCGCCGAATTTGCTGTCAAATGAGGCATGTTGGAGTTAGCGGAGCTGCCAGGCTTCCCAGAGCCGCCCGCAGATGCTGGGTCTTGGGCTCTGGAGCCCTGGTGGGAGCCAGCTGGAAGGAGCCAGGGAAGGGCAGACCTCAAGGGCTGAGAGCCTTTGAGCAAATGAGCACCAGTGGGCTGGCTTTGGGACCCCGGGATGTACCATCCTCAGGCCACAGACACACCAGTCTTAGGTCCCAGCCTCTAGGTGGGGTCCTGACACAAGCGCGCAGCCACCCCCAAGCCAGGACTGTGGTTCTCCTTTTGGAATTTTATCAAACTGCCAAAGTGAACAGCAACCTGGGGTCAGGTCCAGCAGGGACTGCTGCCCCTCCCAGTGACAGCGTGTTGCCCTCACCCGCCACCGCTCAGGCCAGCTGCTTCCTCTGCCTCACTGACCACCCGCCCAGTCCCTACGTCCCTGGACCAGCCCCTCCACGCATCAGGCTCTTACCTTCGCCTCCCGCGCAGTCAGAGGAGGCAGCTCCGTCTCACTGTAAGGCAACCCAGGCAGAGCTGAGGAACTGCACGGGGCCTGGAGCGGCCCCAGCCTGGGTGCCGACCCCCAGAAAGGACTGGCTCTGTCCCTTTCCAGCTCAGGGCTCAGCCCAGGAGAAGGCACAGGGAAGGGAGGACAAGGGCCTTCCTGTGGGGCTGACTCCCAGGAGGGGCAGGACCTGGGAGAAGAAGGAGTGTAGGGACAGCCTGGCCGGGGTTACTGGGGCCCCTGGCGTGGGGGGCGGTCAGGCTGCCCAATGGGGCTGCCCGTCCTGGACTCGAGGTGGTGCTTTCTGCTGGAGCTGAGAAAGGTTAGCCCTGAGATGGGATGGGGGCCGCCCAGGGTGGGCGACCGGGCCCTGACAGGAGTCCCTCAGGGAGTGACCACATCCCCCCGCCAGGGTCAAGGGAGCCTGCCCTGAGACCTGCCCGGTGTACTCTGGCTGCACCAGGGGCCCACCCCACTTGACAGCCCCAAGGCCCTTGCAGGTTCTGACCTCCCAGCATCCACCTGCCTCTCCCTGCACCCGAGCCACACACCCTGCGTTTCAGAAGTGGCACCGCTCGTCAGCTCCCTCCCGCCCTACCTCCCCAGGGATCCTCTGTCTCTCCATCCTGTGATCCCTGAGGGATGGGCTCCTGGCTGGGCTCCTCTTACCTGGCCCCAGATCCCTTCCCAGCACCAGACCCAGGTCTTTAGCCGCGAGCCCTGCTGCCTCCCTGGCCTCACCGTGAGATGCCCAGAACGGGGCCCTGCCCATCTTCTCCCCCGTTCTCCTAGGGCTACAGCCCCCATTGTCACCATGCCTTTTCCCCTCACGGGACAGTGAGGGCTGTAGCTCTAGGGGAATGGGGGAGAACAGGGGCAGGTGGGCCCTCAGAGACCTGCTGGACAACAGCCCTGAGGCTGGGCCAGGCGTCCCCTCACCCTGTGGCCATAACCCTTGCATCTCACCGGGGTTGTCTCCAAGTAGACAGGGCCAGACCCTCAGGCTGCCCCGCTCCTCTTGTGCTCACTTGCCGACAGAACTGCTGAGCGCCCAGGGGCCTGACCTAGCCCAGTCTCCATTCCCACCGGCTCCCTAGATGGGCCCCACACCTCTGGCCTAACAACCTCGGGCTGGACCTGCAGGGGAGTCAGGGAGGAGTTCTGTCCCTGGAAAGGAGGTTGACCCGACCTGGTGAGACATGTCCTGCGTCAGAAAGGCCTTTCTAAAAGCAAACCCATCCCTGAGCTGAGACAGGTGCTTTAGGGGTGAGGGGAGTGCAGAGGACTCACTGTACAATCCCCAAATGATCGACGTTGTTGTTGTAGCTTCGAAAAGGCTTAGGCCCCTTGTCCTCTGGCAGCCCAGCTCGGTGTCCCTGTAGCCCAGAGGGAGCCTTGGTGAGGGGTCCAAGGTAAAGGGTGCAAGGGCCTGGGGGCATTGGCCACCCGTCCCTGCCCTGTGCTCCTAGGGAGCCCAGGACCCTTTGACCAGGGCACACTGGAAGAGGCCTCCCTCCAAGAAGCAGACCGACTTGTACCTTTTCGTATTTCATAATGATGTCCTCTCGCTCTTGTGCCCACCAACTGCCCGCGACCTCTACCACGTCCATCCTGTGAGACAGAATTGTCTAAAGGTCACACTGTACGCGGCGGCTTCGGAGAACACCTGAACCGCTCTCGCCGGGCTCCCAGATGCTGGCTGGCTGCGTAACCCCCATTCCACCGCCGCCCCCAGGGAAAAAGGGGCCAGACCCAGTGGCCCACAGCTGCTCCAGTCTCTGGAGTCTCAAGTCCCAAGCAGGGGTGGGCATCTTCCCAAGGACTTGAGTACAGTGGGACCTAGACAGAGAATCCTGTTGTCCCCCAATGCCATGAAATGGGGACACACCGGCCCCAGCAGGTTGAATGGTTTCCACCTGCCAAGGGTGAAGGGCCCATGATGGGCTATTCCAGGGATGTGGAGGCAGACTGGGGTCAGCGACCAGAGGTCTCTGTGCAATCGGCCTCCTGGGATGCTCAGGGCCTCAGCGATGCCCAGTTTCCTACAGGGAACAAGATCTCTCCCGACTGCTCGGTTCTACTCCGCTCATCACTTTGGCTACCGTGGCTCTTCAGTCTGAACAGTGAAGCCACTTTAGGAATAACGCCTGTTGAGCAGGAGGGTGTTGGGTTTGGGGGATGAGGAAGATCTATTGTACGCATGGAAACCACGTCTCTCGCGGAGGGACTGTGGAGTCCACCATTCTGAGCCGTCCCAACAGGAGGAGGCTTCATTTTCCTGGGTCACTGAGGAAGAACAGTGGGTCCTTGGTCCTGGAGAACAGCTGGATGGACCGTCCCTCCTGGGAATACTCGAGGCAAAAGGAGGGCGAGGCCTCAAGAGGACCACGCAGAGCAAGAAATACCTGGGGAGAACCCTAGTGCCCGGACCCCTTTGAACACAAGGGAAGATAGTCTCCCCTCAGCCAGCCCTCCAGGGCTCCTTCATTTTCCACAGCTGCCCAAGGGCAGCAGGCTCCCCCGGACAAGGGACCATGTGTGTTCAGTGGGGCCCACAGCGACCATCAGGACCCAGCTTAGGGCACAGAGGTGTTCTGAGGACCGTCAGTGGATCTGTACCAGTGGCTCTATACCAGTGGCTCTGCCAGGACCAGGCTCTGCCCCATCGGGATGGGAAACCTGGGCAGATTTGGGATCTAGGGCAGGGAGGTCACAGGGTTCAGGCCTGAATTCCAGCACAGCACACGGCAGGGCTGAGAGCAAAACTCAGGGTCATGTCCGGATTCCCAGGCCGGTTACTGCCTCTCTGACCCCAGACGTCTCATCTGTCGAATGGGGACATTTGGGAACAGCACCCACTCTACGAAGCCACCATGGAGACGAAAGAGCCAATCGTCTACACGGGCAGTGTAGAACGGGCGCCTGGTGAGTGCTCAGGGATGACCCTCCTCGGTAGCTGCCCCACAGAGGCCAACACCGCCCGCACCGTAGCCACTGCCCCCAAGTCCGCCTGGAGGGAAGAGAGCAGGTCACGCTCACCTGATTCTGATGAATCAGCTGGCCTGGGTCATGCCTCTCAGGGAGAAAACCTTTGAGTCCACAGAGCTGCTCACAGATACCACTGCCTGTGTGTAACTGCTGTAGACCACTGAGGCAGACCAGAGAGCAGATAGGTGCTAAGCACCAGTGACATTCTGAGGTCATGGCACGAATCACAGTGGGGCCTTGCCCGGGTCAGCAGCACCCAGAGTCAGGGTCCTCCGCTGCCTGAGGCGTCAACATGCCTGCCTGCAATGTGTTTGTGCACGTGCGTGCACATGTGTATGTGGGTAAACACATCTGTGCACGTGTGTGCTGCTTCTCTGGCCAGGCCCGGCTGCCCCACTCATGTGTGCACCCAGTTCCTCATCACTGTCACCCCCGAGGCCCAGGGCCAGCATCAGAGCATCCATGGCTGCTCCCTAACCTCAGCCCTCCCTGCCCAGGGTGGTCCTGGGATACACATAGCGGTGGAGGGAAGTGACTGCTGCTGTTGGATCTCAGAATACAAAAGCTAGTACTATTACCTAATGGTCTTTTTAGTGTCTCTAATGGTATCGCTTTTTCATTTCTGATATTTTAACTGGGTATTTCTCTCCATGACCCTTGGATATTCTAGCTAGAGGATCCTGTGGGGAAAGTGCCGGGCACACAGTAGGGGCTCACTCTTCTAGACATGTTATCTAAAACCTGGTTCATCTGTCCTTCCACACAGGGCCTAGGGGATGCCAAATTCCAGGGGCCAGAAAGAGCTTGGGATAAAAAGAAACTTCAAGGGGACGGCTTTGACCTGGGCTGAGTCTGCCTGTGCCATCCAACTGGAGTCTCAAGTCCTGAGGCAGGACGTCCAGATGCCCCAGTGCAGGGTCCTCCTGATCAACACCTGCTCCCCTGTACTCATTAGCAACCTCACCCACCCTACTCTCAAAGCACACTTGGCTCTCGTATCCAGGAGCTCTGCATCTGTAGATTCAGCAACAGCAGATGGAAAATATTCAGAAAATAAATTGGACGGTTATGTTTCTATTGAACATGTGCAGAGTTTGTTCTTGTCATTATTCCCTAAAGAATCCAGTATCACGACCATTTATGTAGCATCTGCATTGTATTACACATCATGAATAATCCAGAGATGGTCTAATGTCTACGGGAGGATGTGCATAGCTGATATGTAAATACTAGGCCATGTTATGTCAGAGACTTGAGGATCCATGGATTTTGGCATCCCCGGGGACCCTAGAACTAATCCATGGATACCAAGGGATGACTGTATAAACTCACTCAGGAAGGCTTCTCATTGGAGGAAGGTCCCAGTTCAGGACACACAGGGACATCTCCCTGGACTACTGTCCATTCATCCATCCATTCATCCATTGTCTCCCCCCACCCCCCCATCTCGGACTGTCCCAGTGACAGCCCTAGCAAGAAGAGACAAGAAACAAGTTCACGTTGTCCAGTTTTGAGGTAATGGAAGAAGTTGCACCAGTATGAGAATAGTGGGTCAGTTTTCTACAGGATGCAGAAAGCATATCGGGCAGCCTCGGGGTGCGGAAAGGAGCCTGGCCTCTCTAGCAGCCACACAGGCCTGCAGTAGGATGGGGCTGTGGCTGGCCATGTGGATCACTTGGGCCTCATGAGGGGAAAGGAAATACCAGGGGGGCAGAAGAGGAGCATGGGGGCAGCTGGTTGCCTAAGGAGAAGGCACCTCAGGGAAGGGGACTGTATTCATTTGTTTTCACACTGATGTAAAGAAATACCTGAGATTGGGTAATTTATAAAGGAAACAGGCTTAATTGACTTGCAGTTCCGGAAACTTACAATCATGGCAGAAGGGGAAGGGGAAGCAGGCACCTTCTTCACAAGACGGCAGGAGGGAGTGAGTGGAGAACCAGTAAGTGCCACACTTTGAAACTATGATCCTCCTACCTCAGCCTCCCAAGTAGCTGGGACTACAGGCACATGCCACCACACCCAGCTAATTTTTGTACTTTTTATAGAGACGAGGTATTGGCATGGTGCCCAGGCTGGTATCAAACTCCTGGACTCAAGCAGTCCACCTGCCCCAGCCTCCCAAAGTGCTCGGATTATAGGCATATCAGCCAGCTGATGGAGCATCTTTAATATCATATTTTTACTGTAACTTTTCTATATTGAGAAATGTTCAGGTATACAAATACTATTGTGTTATAATTGCCTATGGTATTCAGTACAGTAACATGCTGTACAGGTATTTTGTAGCCTAGGAGCAACAGGGTATATACCATGTAGGCTAGGTGTATATAGCCTAGGACATACTGTGTAGGTTTCTGTAAGTACATTCTATGATGTTCACATATTGATGAAATTGCCTGACAACATATTTCTCAGAACATATCCCTGTTGTTAAGCAACACATGACTATTCCCTTGATTTTTTATTTTTTCAGAGACAGGATCTTGTTCTGTTGCCCAGGCTGGAGTGCAGTGGTGCCACGATTGCTCACTGTAACCTCAAACTCCTGGGCTCAAGTGACCCTTCCCACTTCAGCCTCCTGAGTAGCTGGGACTACAGGCACATACCACCACACCCGGCTAATATTTTTGTATTTTTTGTAGAGGTGGGGTCTCGCTATGTTGCAAGCTGGTCTTGAACTCCTGGGCTCAATCAGTCCTCACATCCTGGCCTCCCAAAGTGCTAGGATTACAGGCGTGAGCCACCACACCCGGCCCAGACTCTTTAAGTTGGCAAAATATTCAGTTATGGAAAGCAGAATGCTGGAGGATGACCAAAGGGATAATGAGTCCTGATTCATGTTGACCCTATGACTTACTGCAGGTTGAGTGTCCCTTATCCAAAATGCTTGGGACCAGAAATGTTTTGAATTTCATATTTCTTTTGGATTTTGGAATATTTGCATTATACTTACTAGCTGAGCATCTATAATTGCAATATCCAAAATCTAAAATGTTCCAATGAGCATTTCCTTTGAGCATCACGTTGGCACTCAAAAAGTTTCAGATTTTGGGTGGGAATTGAACAATGAGAACACTTGAACACAGGGCGGGGAACATCAGACACCAGGGCCTGTCATGGGGTAGGGGGCTGGGGGAGGGATAGCATTAGGAGAAATACCTAATGTAAATGACGAGTTAATGGGTGCAGCAAACCAACATGGCACATGTATACTGATGTAACAAACCTGCACATTGTGCACATGCACCCTAGAACTTTAATTAAAAAAAAAGAAAGAAAGAAAAGAAAAAGTTTCAGATTCTGGAGCATTTCAAATTTCAGATTAGAGATATTCAACCTGAACACAGCTTCAAATAAGGCTAATTTATTTATTACATGGATCCTGACCTTGAGTTAAGTATTCAGAACAAAAATAAAATGTCCCAGCCTGGATAGAGTGACAATACTTTCTCTCCATTTCTATCTCAAGCTATTAAAGATTACCTGCGGCAGCATTCTTTTGTTGGAACTTGGTTAAATACATGTTCATTCCTTTCTTAAAGTCCTGAGAAAACACAATTTTTAAAATCCAGGGAAGTCAGATCTCAGAATTTATAGTATATTTGTATATTAGTAATCAAAAACAAATTTACTCAAATACTCAAGTATCAGATACACTGAAACACATATATCCTTCTGATGCCTACTGCCTTTTATTTAATAATGCGTACTCTATGCCTTCTATTCTTGCTCTTAAGTTTTATAACAGCCTCCCATTTCCACTCCCAAACACACCTGCACATCACTCATCTAAGAGACCACAGTAGTCAACTTCAAATAATTGAATTCTCATTCTTTTTGGTCATTAAAAAAAATGACAAGCCAGAAACTATTTGGGAACTTAATCCAAATAAAGTGAGACTTTTTTTCATGCAAAACTCTTATGATTTCACCATGAAAGAATGAAATACTTAAAGTTTTTTTTTTTTACCTTATCCCCAATGTAGTCATGCAGCATTCGGATGACAGATGCACCTTTGCTATATGATATAGCATCACATATCTCATCAACCTCAGATGGATGGCCCACACTGACCTGGCAGACAGTGTGATTCAGGGTTATGACAGGAAGCAGATAGCCTGTAATACTGAATTACATAAAACGCTTTCTAGGAAAACCCTTCTAACTTACATTTTTCTGCCTTTAACTCACTCATAATGTATAACGATGGTCCTCAAAAAAATGTAGTAACTAATAATAATAAAGTTGAATAGAACATGATTCCTGTCATCCCTTAGAGCTTGGGTTCCAGTCCTGGCTTTGTTCTGCTGGGAAAGAAGCCACTATGGTTCTGTTTATTTTTGGGGTAGTTGCAGAGGAGTGATGAGGAAGACATGGAGGTGAAGAACATTAGATTTCTTGCACTAATTGTAATGAATTACAATTATATGGGAGCCTAATTAAATATGTTGAAGTAGGATTATAACTCTAGTTCTTTAGATACAAAATTTATATATATAAACTGAAGTAGGGATAGGCTAAGTCAAGAGAATTAAAGTATTCACAAAACAGACCCTGACAATAAAATATGTCCAGAATTTTCCTTGACATAAACAATGGAACCATAGTGTTACCCAATAGGTATGACTTCTCCCATACTACTCTTTTTCTTTTTTTTGGCAGAGTTTTTTGCTCTTGTTGCCCAGGCTGGAGTGCAATGGCACGATCTCGGCTCACCGCAACCTCTGCCTCCCAGGTTCAAGTGATTCTCCTGCCTCAGCCTCCCGAGTAGCTGGGATTACAGGCATGCGCCACCGTGCCCAGCTAATTTTGTATTTTTAGTAAAGACGGGGTTTCTCCATGTTGGTCAGGCTGGTCTCAAACTCCCGACCTCAGGTGATCCACCCGCCTCAGCCTCCCAAAATGCTAGGATTACAGGCGTAAGCCACTGCGCCTGGCCAGACCAATTTTTTTTTACTGCCTACCTTTAAAAGAAATGTTTAATTAGAACTTAGACTTACTAGCTTTTCAAGACTAGAAATATGAACCAGTAAAATCACCCATGCTATTTTCTCTTCTTTTCAAAGTCCAAAGTATCTATGTAACAAATTACGTATTTCATTGTAAATGAGAGCAGTCATAGGCTAATGGTTAGAAAGTATGGCTCACTTCAATAGGATGGCTGTTATCTAAGGCGTCAAGCTCCTGGGCACGGGTGTAATCAGCAGAAACAAACTGAGTCCAAATATCATACTCTGGGAAGCAGTGGTCTACACACAGATATTCAATCCAGGATGCAAAACCTTCATTTAACCAAAGATGAGTCCACTATTCCTAAAAACAGAAGATGAAAATACTTAAAGAAATTGAAATGATTGTCATTCTACTAATCTAAAACACTCACATGTCCCTTCCACTATATTCCAAAACTCACAATTTAATGACCTAAAATTCAGTTCAAAACATTTCGCAAAGAACTCACATTTCTGAAAAAGAGAGAAGACTAAAAGAGATGTCAAGAAAGGCCAACTGGTGATATTAGAATTATATCTGAGGGTCATTTTCTTTTCCTTTCTTTTTTTTTTTTTTTTTTTTTTTTTTTTTTTTTTTTTTTTGAGACAAAGTCTTGTTTTGTCACCAGGCTGGAGTGTTCACCAGTAGCTGGGATTACAGGCATGTATCACTATGCCTGGCTAATTTTTGTATTTTTAGTAGAGATGGGGTTTTGCCATGTTGGCCAGGCTGGTCTCAAACTTCTGACCTCAAGTGATCCACCTGCCTCGGCCTCCCAAAGTGCTGGGATTACAGGTGTGAGCCACCATGCCTGGGCCAAAGGATATTTTCAAAACATTGTAAATAACTTCTCCCCCAAACCCAGACAGGGTCTCATTCTGTTGCCCAGGCTGGAGTGGCAGGGGCACCATCGTAGCTCACTGCAGCCTTGAACACCGGGGCTCAAGCAATCCTCCCGCCTCAGCCTGCCAAAGTGCTGGGATTACACACGTAAGCCAGTGCACTCAGTCCTAAGTAACTTTTTAAATACCAAAGGTAGAAAAGGAAGAAGAGGGAAAAAAAAAAATAAGCCCATATATGGAAAAGGAAAAGACAGCAGATAAATATAGGCAAATAGAGGTGGAAAATATAATCACGTAGAATTTAGTATAGTAAAGGATTATCTCTGAAAAACAAAAACAGAAAACTATCAGAGCCAAATAAAGAAAAATGGAAATGACTGGGGAAAACCACTCACTAATGAGTTGAATGTTCAAGAGAAACTGAGAAAGAGTACTGCTTATATAAAAATTATGTGAAATTAAACAAAAATGTAGTTTAGTAATGAATGGTGTTTAAGCACTTATGGAATATAAAATTATCACCTGTTAAATAAGAATGCATAGTAAATGGAATGGACAAAGAATATGAGTGACAGATAAAATCAGTTTTTAAAAAATTTTAAAGATCTTAATCTAAATTTTATTAAAGTTGATTAAGCCTATTAGTGAAAGAAAGCAGGCCAGGCACAATGGCTTGCTCCTGTAATGCCAATACTCTGGGAGGTCAAGGCAGGAAGATCACTTGAGCCCAGGAGTTTGAGATAAGCCTGGGTAACACAGTGAGACTCCATCTCTAAAAAAATTAAAAAGTAAAAAAAAATTAGCTGGTCATGGTGACACACACCTGTGGTCCCAGCTACTTGGGAGGCTGAGGCAAGAGGATTACATAAGCCCAGGAAGATGAAGCTGCACTGACCCATGATTGTGCCACTGCACTCCGGCTTGGGTAACAAAGTGAGATCCTATTCTCCATCCCCAACCAGTCCCCCCAGAAAAGGCCAGGTGTGGTAGCTCATGCCTGTAATCCCAGCACTTTGGGAGGCTGAGGTGGGAGGATTGCTTGAGCCCAGGAGTTTGAGACCAGTTTAGGCAACAAAGTGAAACCCTGTCTCTACAAAAGGCAATACAGTGAAACCTTGTCTCTACAAAAAGTGCAAAAATAAGCTGGGCATGGTGCCACACACCTGTAATTGCAGCTACTCAGGAGGCAGAGACAGGAGGATTGCTTGAGCCCAGAGGTCAAGACTGTAATGAACCATGATTGTGCCATTGCACTCCAGTTTAACTGACAGAGTGAGACTCTGTCTTAAAAAAAAAATTATTTTGATATTAAGTGATAAGTGGCTATTTGCCTAGTAGCTTCCTAAAATAAACTAGCATAAAATGAAACTTATTTTCCAACCTATCCCTAAGCCCTTGGAATTTCAGTTCTAATAACTAGAATAGTTACATAAAACCAGTAAAAAGTTGTTTAATAAGAATGTACACATTTCCCCTACTAAAATTTATTGCTTGTAGTTTCAAAATAAAATCATAAAGTTATCTCAAAGCCAAGCAAAAAAATTATTTGGTACAAAGTAGCAAACTCGCTGCATTAGAAGAAAAGGCCATTTCTTCACATATTTGAATACAGGCACCAACACATAGTTCCACATGAAATTATATTTCTTTTTTTTTTTTTTTTTGAGATGGAGTTTCGCTCTTGTTGCCCAGGCTGGAGTGCAGTGGCGTGATCTCGGCTCACTGCAACCTCTGCCTCCCAGGTTCAAGCGATTCTTCTGCCTCAACCTCCAGAGTAGCTAGGATTACAGGTGCATACCACCACGCCCAGCTAATTTTCTATTTTTTTTTTAGTGGAGATGGAGTTTCGCAACATTGGTCAGGGTGGTCTCAAACACGTGACCTCAAGTGATCCACCCGCCTCGGCCTCCCAAAGTGCTGGGATTACTGGCGTGAGCTACCGTGCCCGGCCTGAAATTATATTTCAAAGAATTTTTTTCACCTGTAAAATTTTAAACATCCAAAATAAAAGGAAAAGATTTATTTTCAAGGGTTGACTTTCTGTAGAAACTCTCTGAGACACGTAACAGTTGATAAATGTCTTACATTCTTATTTATATAACGTATGGACTCAATCTACATTCAAATCAGGTTCTGCTCTTTGGCAGCCTAAAATGTCAGGGAATCTAGCTGGCTCCAGAATATCCAGTTATTTAATTGCAGAGGTACATCTAGTTCACTTATTAAATCCTGTGCTCCCAAGCTCTAACACAGTTGGCATTCATAAATAGTATTTACTTAGAGTAAGAGTGAAAAATCAGGACTGAAGGACAGAGATCATTACTGCAAACATTATAAGGATTTCAACAGAACAGCTGGAATTTTAATACAGCTTTATTCTGCAGTCACTCTGCAGTTTGTTTACTTTTATTTCATTAAATTTCAACTTAACATTTTAGGCAATGAAAAAACTGACTCCTAAAAACATTTCTCTCTAATTAAAGATCAGTCTGTTATTCATCAGGTTACTTTTCAGCTGTGAGTCAGATTAACAAATAAGATTCAAGAAACTACAGTTAGCCTGGAATCTCACTGCATGATTCATTCATCTACACCTAAGAGGAATCTTTTCCTCTCACCCAAATTAGTATCTTGACTTTTCCCATTTGCAGACAAATTTTAGAACAGTTTAGGAAGTGTCTGTTGAATAAAGACTGTCCATATGCCCTTGTTCAATGCAGAGATTCTGATAAGCCCTTTCAAAGTGGACCTTTTAAAATAATACTTTTCTATCACTCAATTATTTTTTGGCACAGTGTTGCAGCCAAACTTGAAATACTATGTAGCCAAAATAATGTGGAGTAGGATGAAGATAAATATATTTGAGCACTTAAAAATATTAAATACCATAGTAACAAGATTTCCAAACCATTGATGGGCAAGTTCATGTCCCACAACCAGAGCAACCCACTGGCGGGATGAAGAACAGGAATTTTTTGGATCAATAAGCAATGCAGTCTCCCTATGTTTAAAAAAAAAAAAAAGAGAAACAAATTTAAACAATAAAAGTGGGCATGCATAAGTTGGGAAGATTCAGACAGTAAGTCAGATGGACAAGTTAGGCTTTAGAGATATTAGGAAAATATTTCCTAATATGGAAAGAAAAAGTTTCACGAAGATTAAAGACTACCCCAACAGAATTAATACAACAGAATATCAAAGATGTGACACAAGTTTAATTATCAGTTTGTTGATAGAATAGCTGCCTGAAATTTTGGGAAAACATTGTCTAAGGGATTAGCGATTACTGTGCTAGATGGAGAGAGAAGAAAGTCCTTTCATTAAATGAGGGGAGTGGTGGAGGAAGATGCATTCCATAGTCCCAAAAACAGCACTGAGCCGGCCGTTCAACACTTAGCTCATCTAAGAAGGCAATTGAAAGTAGAAGGCAAAAACTTGTTTACAGACAGACTCTGCTTTTAAAAGTTATTCAACTCACATGTTTATGTTGTGGTGACAGACATGTAAAAACTTGGCTAGAAGATATGAAATTAGGGAAGGTTCTCCAAGCTGGATAAATAGCTATGAAACTACTGGCAGGAAAGAAAGGCACTGCAATGAGAAACTTAGCCAAGAATATATCTAAAAATGCTACTACCGCCAGATGCTCACTTTAAAATCTTACACCCTCAGACAGTAGCACCAAAGGGAGAGGTGTCCATCTGCATTCTTGAAATGTGCATGGAAGTGGGGGAAGGTAGAAAAATTTACACCATATCGTAAAGCAGAAGCTACTCAACTGTGATTAGGAGGGAAGCCCTTTTGAAATCAGTGATTTGAAAAGATAAGGCAGGGTAATACATCATTAACATACCTATAAGTAACAAGGTCCCAGTTCTCCATGGCACCTTCACAAAATAAATATAAACATTTATTGAGATATATATATATATATATATATATATACTCTTGCATCAAAAGTCACAAAATTTTAAAAAGTTATTACAATTCAGCAATAAAATGAAATTTACTTTACCAGCTGCAAAGTCTGCAATAGCAATGAGATCAATTTTAGGTAGAGGATAAGGAACATTGAAGTAGTCCTTATAAAAAGGCAAGGTTTTAGCAGCAACCTATAAAAGTATAAACAAAATAACCATCTAATAAATATGTTATTATAATTCATATTGAAACCCACAAAGGAATCCTGTTGCAAGCCAATGTATCTTAAATTACTAGAAATGAATCCCAGGGAGCCCTACCTCCGAAGACTGCCTTAGCTCCAAACTTTGAATACAATGGCCAAACTTTAATCCATTTATAACTTGATATGAAAAATATAACTACATATTTTCCAACCCATTCCCTAGAGAAATTCCACTCTTATATTCTCTTAATTATTATTTTGTAAAATAACGAAACACCAAGGTTGGCATTTCCTAAATTCTATTAAAAATAAACCAAGTAGCACAACTTTCAGATTAAATTATAAATAACTGTACTAATAATTGACCAGAAATGTAAATTCCCCAACCTGGAGTTATGGACTGCTGGAACAATCCTCTTCAAGTACATTTACCTCTAATGCAAATTTTCCTTGTTCTGCTTTGCCAACAGGAGTGTAAACACAGACACACACACCATCTTTTGACCTTGTTTCTACAAAGTCATATTCACCCACAACAAATGCCACCAGATATGTAGATGTAACAGGTGTGCGGGCAAACTTCACTTCCACTAAATTTTCATCATCAGGGTATGGTTTCCGGTCAATTACATTCTTTAAGAAAGAAAAAAAAGAAAAATTTAAATAGGTTTACATTAATACCATAGAGCAAATACCAGCCAAAAACTGTAGGCTTTATTGCATCTCTTTCCCCCTTTCTATTCTAGCATGGCTTATTTCTCTACCCCAATTCATCCAGTGCTTTTATGCTGTCTTTAAGAAGGAAAGTGGTCTGATAAAACACTCATACTAAGAAGCTGGAGGCTGAAGTGTTAAAACTACCAAGGACCTGTGAGAGAAAAGAGGAATGGACTTTTCTCGAATACTTATTATAAGCCAGGCATTGGGATGATTTAAGTAAGGGCTTCATACTTTTCAACTGACATAAGTTTAGGAGAAAATGACTATTAATAAAAATAAAATAGGGGCCAGGCGCGGTGGCTCACGCCTGTAATCCCAGCACTTTGGGAGGCTTAGGCGGGCGAATCACAAGGTCAGGAGATCAAGACCATCCTGGCTAACATGGTGAAACCCCGTCTCTACTAAAAATACAAAACATTAGCCAGGCATGGTGGGGGGTGCCTGTAATCCCAGCTACTTGGGAGGCTGAGGCAGGAGAATGGCGTGAACCAGGGAGGCGGAGCTTGCAGTGAGCTGGGATCACACCACTGCACTCCAGCCTGGGCGACACAGCGAGACTCCTTCTCAAAAATAAATAAAAAAAATATAATATAATTGTAGAATCTCCCATTTCAAAGGATACAAACTTCTAGATCGAGGGCATTCTCTACCAAAGTTGGCTCTAAGCTTATTTGTGAAGAAATTTCAACTTTACCTTTGGAGTCCCTAATTTCCTTTGGTGTTCTCCCTCTTTTTCCTATTCAGGCTCCATTTCCTCAAGCTCTCTCTATTCTTCCTTCCAAGGAAGACTTATTCAAGAACACACTGATAAATTCACTCATACTAAAGTGTGAATGAATATTTCTGCTTAATGTATTAGCCTCCTCTTCTAAGAATATGTGTGAAGAGAATGACATTCTATTTATGGGATGCTCTCCCCCAGTAAATACATAAAAGAGTTATTTTCAGGTGCAGCAGGTTTTTCCAAGTTCCCCACACAAGACAGTCCTAGACAACACACTTCAAGTGGGGAATGCTTACCCTGTTCATGAATGAGATCAATAACACTGGTGAAGAGAATACATTCCAAGAATACAAACAGCCAGAAACCTAAATATACTTCATTATGCAGCTACATCTTTTGAATTCTTTTAACTTTTTAAAAAGATAGAGACAGGGTCTTGCTCTGTTGCAACCTTTTTTTTTTCCCCCCGAGATGGAGTCTTGCTCTGTCACCCAGGCTGGAGCGGAGTGGCGCGATCTCAACTCACTGCAGCCTCCGCCTCCCAGGTTCAAGCAATTCTCCTGCCTCAGCCTCCCAAGTAGCTGGGGTTACAGGTGCCTGCCACCATATCTGGCTAATTTTTGTATTTTTAGTAGAGATGGGGTTTCACCATGTTGGCCAGGCTGGTCTCGAACTCCTGGCCTCAAATGATCCACCTGCCTCAGCCTCCTGAAGTGCTGGGATTACAGGTATGAGCCACCATGCCTGGCCTATTTTTTTTTTTTAAGAGATGGGGTCTTGTTCTGTCACCCAGGCTGGAATACAGTGGCGCAATCATGGCTCCCTGTAGCCTCAAACTCCTAAGTTCGAGAGATCCTCCCACATTAGCCTCCCAAGTAGTTAGGATTACAGACACCTGCCACCATACCTGGCTAACTTTTAAGTTTTAAATCTTTTGTAGAAATGAGGTCTCACTATGTTGCCCAGACTGGTGTCAAACTCCTGGCCTCAAGCAATCCTCCTGCCTTAGCCTCCCAAAGCACTGAGATTACAAGCAAGAGTCACTGTACCTGGCTTTCTTATGACATTTAATAAGTCAAGACCTTTTTCTTTTTTTTTTCTTTTTTTTTCTGAGATAGGGTCTGGCTCTGTCACCCAGGCTGGAGTGCAGTGGTGTGATCTCAGCTCACTACAACCTCCGCTTCCTGGGTTCAAGTGATCCTCCCACCTCAGCCTCCCAAGTAGCTGGGACTACAGGTGTGTGCAACCACACTCAGATAATTTTTGTATTTTTAGTAAGGACAGGATTTCACCATGTTGGCCAGGCTGGTCTTCAACTCCTGACCTCAAGCGATCTGCCTACCTTGACTTCCCAAAGTGCTGGGATGACAGGTGTAAGCCACCATATCCAGCCCAAGACTTTTGCTTTTAGTTACTATAAATCTATTAAACTTGTCAATTTACCTCTCTAAATTAAAAGAAGTAGATAATCTTATAAATGTATTTAACAAGGAATTTGACAAGGACAAAATCCTCCAAAAATAAAGCTATCAAGAAAAAGAGGTCTTGGCTGGGCATGGTGGCTCATGCCTCTAATCCCAGCACTTTGGGAGGCTGAGGCAGGAAGACAGATTGACCCCAGGAGTTTGAGACCAGCCTGGGCAACATAATGAGACCCCAACTCTACAGAAAAAAAAAAAAAAGAAAGAAAAAGAGGCTTATTGAAAATAAAGAAAACTATTATTTATGTTCCTATAATATACCAGCACTGTGGTAGGTGGTTTCATATTATCCCATCTAATCAGCAAACTAAATCTGCTAAAGCCTATTAAAATTTTAGATAAACTTATAAACACATACATACCATGTTTGATAAAGCTACTCTGTCTTTAGGAACAACCAATGAGATATCAAAAGTTGCTTTGATAGCAGGCTCATCCCAGCAAGGAAAAGCCCTTCGGGCATCAGTAGCCTTAAGAAAAGAATATGAAATATAAATACCTTAGAATTAACCTAACAAGTTATTTCATAAAGCAGTCGCCATTTCCCTCTGTCATTCATTCATTCCCTTGTTCAAATATTTACTTTCTCTTCAGTGCCAGGCAACAAGCTAGGCATTAACTAGAAAGAAAAGACAACACTTGCTACCACTGCCATTCCAGCAAATATCCAGGAACAGTGTCTGCTATGGATTTTAACAATATATTATAATTATTTACAACTAAATTTTTGTTTACATTTTAACATTTCAAATTTAATGCAAATGCCTTCAAATCAATAATGTTAACACAACACAGAGCACAGAACAGTAAAGAGTATGCTATAAGAATTCAAAGTTGGGAAAACATGGTAAGTTGCCTCTCTGGCTTTTATTTTTGAATTAAAAATAAAAATATTCTCAATCTTTGATGTGCTTTGTTCTTTATCTGGAATGGCAGCAATGGGAATAAAGACAGATGCTCTATCAATTCAAGACAGGTCATTCATTTAATGGCACTTCCATATGCTACACATAAAACTGTCGCCACTTGACCTACTTGAGTCCTTACTCTTTCATTAAAAATTTAAAAAAGAGCAACCTTATGAAAGCAAAATAAAACTTAGGGGTTCTGCAGGGTATCAGTTATAAAGGAAAGACACTTCAGTAAACAGAATTTTCCATTTATTTAGTAAATAAAATGGAACCAATGACAAGATACTGTATCATAAAAAGAAACAACAGACTGGGTGCAGTGGCTCATGCTTGTAATTCCAGCACTTTGGGAGGCCGAGGTGGGCGGATCACCTGAGGTCAGGAGTTCGAGACCAGCCTGGTCAACATGGTGAAACCCCGTCTCTACTAAAAATACAAAAATAAGCCAGGCATGGTGACACATGCCTGTAATCCCAGCTACTCGGGAGGCTGAGGCAGGAGAATGGCTCGAACCTGGGAAGCGGAGGTTGCAGTGAGCCAAGATTGCACCACTGCACTCCAGCCTGGGCGACAGAGCAAGGCTCCGACTAAAAAACAAACAAACAAACGAACAAACAAACAAACAAACAAACCAAAGAGGTAGAAGAAACTTGGCTGACTACATTCTCAAAAACATTAAATAAATAATGAATTCTATCAATGAATAAAAAAGACATCTGAAAAGAAGGGAGAGTATAAGGAAAGAAATGGCAGCACAGAAGCATTTAAATTAGAAGCAGCAGCAGTAGAGAAATGAATTTATACTAAAGGAAATTAATGACAGATAACAAGATTTAAGTTTGAAAATATCTAAAGGACAAAGTGATAAAAGCAATTAAACATAATTTGAGAGACAGATACTAGAGCTAAACTGAGTATTAACTGAGAAGGGAATGGAATGGATATCACAGTGAAGATATAACAGAAAAACTCTTTCACACTGAAAAATTACCTGAATCTAAAAATCAATAGGGTTCACCAAGTACTATGCAAAAATCAATGAAAAGTGAACACCTGGTTTAAAAAACAGTTTAATTTTCGATATCAAGATATAATTTAACAAGCAAGCAGGAAGAAAATAAAGCAAAACGAAACAACATCTTACCTACAAAGGAAGAAGAAACATTTTAGTCTGTGACCCCTCCTCTTGAAAAAGTGAGATGTAGAAGACTTTGGAAACAATATTCACAGACTTTTGAAAGTGAAAAATTGTAAGCTGATTGTACTACTCTTACAATTGAATGAGCTGGGCCTATTACTCATGGCAAGAGAGAACTCACACCACAGGGAACCACTGGTGTCTCCATAAGAATGTAAGAAAGAACCCACTATACGATTTGGGATTTGGTTTACATGATTTGGAAGAGGGTCTAAGTAAACAGGGATTCACTCTAGATTGAGTGCTGCAAGAAGTCCTATGAGGCAATTCTATGGGTATGTATCTCAATAAATCTTATCTATACGGAGGCCAGACTAGAGCAAATCTAAAACCGTAATTGGTAAAGAAGCAGTAGTCACTCATTTTAACTGAGAGATGGAGATGTTTGATATTTTGCGGGTAGCATAGTGATCCTGTATGTACTGTACCTAGGCAAAATTATGGATCCCTTGTTTTGTCTCACTTTATTATGGTCTCAAGTAGCCTTGTCTAAAGTTGGTATTCTGTAATATTATGTCTAATAGGGAGAATAACACGGGCTAGCTGTGAGTGCCAGACAACCTCTGGATGTCAAAAGTTGCTCTTTTTACCTTTTTTCATCAACAAATCTATATACCCAGTAAATCTGGTCATGTATAAAGGCAAATGAAAGATTTTTCAGAAAAGCAAAGGTTTAGGAATTACATTACCCACATACCTTCTCCTAAAAAAAAAATTGTTTAGAGACATACATCAGCCAACCATTCCAGGATGAAGTGTTCAAAGTGGGTAGAGAAAGGCATTGGAATCATTCAAACACAGAATTAAACCTAAATATCTGTGGCAAATATTATTCTAAACAGAAGGTAACATAAAATTATTGAAAGAGAAGATACATCAGGTAAAACAAATTAGTAGTAAACTGGATAAAAAATTTTAGGTTATCCCAAACAAGCAAACAATATAGGGATATGGGCAGAAACATAAGAATGGATATCATGAATTGTTTCTTTATCCATACTGAAATTTATAGAAATAAATTTAATTAGATTTAACACTTAAAAATACGACTAGCAGATTCAAAACAATGTATATAATTTGCAAATACCTGACAAATAAAAATCATCCTGGCCTACGTAGGACAGCAAATATATATATGTGTGTATATATATATGTATACACACACACACACACACACACACACACACACACACAGAGAGAGAGAGAAAAAAAATCAAAGACAGCACAGATACTACAGTAAGATAAACAAAAGATGTCAAAGAAGGAAAGGAATTCTAGAAAACAGCTAATAATACTGTAGGAAAAGCCATAGGTGTCAAATACTAAGAGAATGATTTTAAGAAAGGTACACAGTATATAGGCAATTCAGGTATCAAAATGTGTCGTGTGTTTGAATGTCTGTGTGTATAACTGTATATAATCATTCCCCAACCCATACCCTTAATTCCCTCCTTTCTATAGAGATAATGGCTAAATATAAAATAAAAATTCTAAAATTGTGAATACAATCATGGCCAAGGGCACCTAGCCTCAAATAATCACCCCACATAATAAACACACCTTTGTCAGAATGCCTAATTTAAGAATAATAATATTTTAGAGAAGAATAACCCATACCTCAAACTGTGTTACAGCAGCATAGCGCACCTCTCCAGAAGGGGTAGTATACTTACTTCTATAGAAACCTTTCATTTTGTCATTCAGCTCTCCAACAAAATCTATCTTTAAGGTTCCCGTACCTGTGATTGAAGATAAATAAAAAACACTTTTATGGAGATGTTAAACACAGTTACCAAAAATATGTCCTCAAGACACTATATTCAGTTAGCTATTTACAATGTTCAAATCATTCCTTCCTTTTTCAAATATTCCTCCTGGCAATGGAGAGAATACAGTACTTACTAAAGTAAAAGGCAGACTAATCCTAAAATAACTCTTGAAAGTCATGTTTAGGGTGACTGCCTAAAAAGTTATTAACTTAGTCTCAAACTACCAATATGTGAAAATAAGAACAGGAAAGGAAACAAACATTTATTCTTAAATGCCTGATATGTGCTATTGTGCACAGTGCTTTTAAAATATATATAACTATTTATAAACCTGGAAGTAGATATTGTCCTCATTTTTTCAGATGAGGAAACTGAGGCTGAGAAGCTAAATAACTTGTCCAGTGTCATAAAATTAGTAAGTAGTGAGAATGGGATAAAATGTTAAGTCCAGAATCCATGCTCTCTGCCAATTATACATGTGAATTGGTCCTTTTACACAACTTCATGCATAGAAAGAGAAATGTAGCCAATTACTCTATCAAGATAAGACACTAAATGTTTACTCCAAATGGAACACTGATTGCATAATTTTGTAAGGAGCTATAGGGAAGACCAATGATTTGATCAGCAACAGGGCATAAAACAAATTCTTACAAGTCACCTCAATCATTTGAAATCTGACAAAGAAATACATTTAATTAATAAATTATTAAATGCAAATAAAAATACAACTTAAATATGTATTCTATTGTATAAGAGCAAAAACAATTTAGACAAAAAAGTGAGCTTTTTTGAGTTTATATACTTTCTTTTTTATAACATAAAAAATTATAATTATTATCTAGTAATCATCTGCTAAATACAGATGCATGGCAAAACAGTAATCCCATTCTGTGTTTTACAAATCAAGTCACGAAAAAACGTAGAGGAATGGTGACTTTTTAGTTGACCATTTTAAAGGCCCTACGTATATCAAGATTTAAAGCATGGGAAGTCTAACAAATCAAAGATAGGGCATGACTATAAAGTAATTAACCAATCATACCAAACTTTTATATCCTAATGTTTCAAATTGTCATTTTGGAACGCTAAAGAGCAATGACATTTGACATTGTTCAAAATGTTGTGACTTTCTCTTTCTCTCTTTTTTTTTTTTGAGACAGAGGCTCACTCTGTTGCCCAGGCTGGAGTACAGTGGTGTGATCTCGGCTCACTGCAGCCTCCGCCTCCTGGGTTCAAGCAATTGTGCCTCAGCCTCCTGAGTAGCTGGGACTACAGGCGGGCACCACCACGCCTGGCTAATTTTTGCATTTTTAGTAGAGACAGGGGTTTGCCATGTTGGCCAGCTGGTCTTAAACTCCTGGCCTCAAGTGATCCACCCACCTTGGCCTCCCGAAGTGCTGGGATTACAGGCATGAGCCACTGTGCCCAGCCCCTCTGACACTCTTTTGAATGATCTCAAAGTCAAATCTTCATCTTATAAAATTGAATTTGCTTTTGGAAAGGACCAAAAGTTATGGGGAGTGAGAGTCTACAGAATAAGTGAATGACAAACTACAAACTGTCTCTAGCCTGATGCCTCAAACTGGTTCTGAAAGTAATTTAAGTGAAAATTTCAGACCTTTAGAGCAAAGTCACCACTAATGAAAGTGCTATATTCTTAATCATTCTGAGAAAAAAACAACTCAACTGAAGCTTAATTGAATAGACATTTGTGATGTTTATTTTTTAGAAATCAGATATTTGTAAATATCTAAAGAGGACAATGAATACTTTTTTCTTTAAAGAGAATGACAGGTTACTGGGACAGTATATATGGATATAGTAAAATAATTGATAATTCTAAATGATACTAAAAAATTAAACTATAAAGCAAAATTTAAATTAAAAATTTTTAATTTCTATTTTCTTTAGAAGTTCACTTAATTTTTTTAAAAAAGCAAATGTATTCACATTAATAAAGTTTGCAAAGAACGTCTAACAGATTATAAAAACCTACTACCTTTAATGGAAACTATATGATGGAATTTTATGTTACAATTCCATAAGTGGAATTGCCCAGTCTGTTTCACTAAGTCAGTCAACTGTTAAGATGTTTTTTAAATATAATTCATATTTCATGGTAAATCTACTTGCATTTTTTCCTAGTTGGAACATAAGTGGTTTTAAAACTCATAACTAAATAAGAAAGACTGCTTACACTTTTACTCGGTTTTAAATCTCCAAGGCCATCAAACCATAACAAGATATTGACAGTGACCACTTCCAAAAAGTGGCATACTAAACAAAATACAAAGTATTGGAAAGAGTTATTACCTGAAATTCAAACAAAACACAAGTTAAAGTATTTAAAAATCATTAATAAGTTTAATTAGTGTCACATTATATGATACCAATTACAAAGTATTTACTTACTATTCATATAGTAGAATTTTAGGGCAAGTAGGAGAAAAAATGACTTTTTAATAAATTTCATTTATCAAATTTACACCATATTAATGAACGGATTGCCAAATTGTCTAATTTTATACCTATCAACACACATAATTTACACCACTTCCTCAAATTAGATACCTTATTTCATATCCAATGTATGAAATATTTATGTTTGGGGTTGTAAACCTTTTGAAACATACATCAAGCTCGTTTATAAAGTAAACAACTGAAAAATTGGGACTTCCATCAAAAACCTTAAATGTTTAAAGCTTAGGAGAGTATAACAATTGTAAAACCTGGAGTAAATCTTGAAATACTTTAATAATAAGAAATTTAATGAGTCTACTAAATGCTATAAAAATAAAGAGATTAATTTATACAAAAAGGGAATAAAGATCGTTGCCTTTGTGTCACCACCTCTTTTTTTCTTTGGAAAATGGAGTCTCAGTCTCAGTCTGTCACCCAGGCTAAAGTGCAGTGGTGCAATCTCGGCTCACTGCAACCTTCGGCTCCCGGGTTCAAGCAATTCTCCTGCCTCAGCCTCCTGAGTAGCTGGAACTACAGGCGTGCGCCACCAGGCCTGACTAATTTTTGTTTTTAGTAGAAACAGGGTTTCGCCATGTGTCACCACTTTTTATTATCTTGTTTTTGACTCTTCAAAATGCTGACAACTACCAGTGTTTCTCCATATAAATGCCACCCTCAGGACCCTCAGCCACTAATTCTAAGGTTGTTAGACCTTACAATAATTATGGTAATTTAATCACTATCCCAGAATGGTGCCAATTTCAGAAAAGTAGGTTTTACTTAGCTGTATAATAGCTTGCATTACTGTTAAATTTGATGAGGCTAAACACAAAGGTTATTAATGTCCTCCTAAGATAAGCTCAGTATTTGCTTCATTATCAGATAGATCACTTGTGCAATCTGTCTTGAAAAAGATTAACTTCATTTTTAAAGCAAACCTTGGGAAAATGTGAAAGCCAATGGTTTCAAACAGATATTCAATAATTCAATATTGTCGGCTGGGCGTGATGGCTCACACCTGTAATTCCAGCACTTTGGGAGGCCGAGGCGGGAGGATCACGAGGTCAGGAGATCAAGACCATCCTGGCTAACACAGTGAAACCCCATCTCTACTAAAAATACAAAAACAAAATTAGCCGGGCGTGGTGGCGGGCACCTGTAGTCCCAGCTACTCGGGAGGCTGAGACAGGAGAATGGCATGAACCCAGGAGGCAGAGCTTGCAGTGAGCTGAGATCGCGCCACTGCACTCCAGCCTGGACGACAGAGCGAGACTCCATCTCAAAAAATAATAATAATAATAATTCAATATTGTCACACCTGCAAGATAATTTTTCTGTTCTAATATTTATATCAGTTGTTATATTAGCTCAAAATTGTTATATTGGCCAAAAATATCAAAAATTATGTTAAATCATACTATACTAATGGTCATAACCTTCTCTAACTTGTTTGTTATTATTTGAAATAGCTTCACCATTTAGCATGTCTGCTGTAAACAGACCTTATCAAGAATGATACATCTCTTATATACTAGTAATAAATGGCCTCCAATATTTACAGTTAAGGGGAAAAGAAGAAAGGTGCAGAACATTATGTATGGCATGGTGATTTCTGTGTTCTTAAAAAGTATATATATAAATGCTTACAAAAGCAGGGTATAGTTTTGAAAGGAAAATTTCATTTCATTCTGTTGAGGAATGGAGCTGAGAAAGAAGACAGGGTAGACTGGCAAACAAAATTTCATTGCATAGCATTTGAATTTCAAATTATGTAAATGTACTATGTTTTTGAAATATTTAATTTGAAAAATAAAGATAGCACAATGTGGTGGTTAAAAGTGCAGACTTTTGAGTTAAACTGCTTGGGTTTAAATCCCAGCTATGTTACTTACTAGCTATGTTACCTTGGACAAATTATTTAAGTTACTGAAATCATTTTTCTGCCTTAGTTTATCTACAAAATAGAAGTAACAGAATCTGGCTGGCGTAGTGGCTCATGCCTGTAACCTCAACATTTGGGAGGATGGCAAGATCCTCTCTCTGAGGTAGGAGGATCACCTGAGGCCAGGCATTTGAGACCAGCCTAGGCAACATAACGAGACCCTGTCTCTACAAAAAAATTTAAAAATTAACCAGATGCACTGTCATGTGTAGGCAGTCCTAGCTACATGGGAGGCTGAAGTGGGAGAATCACTTAAACCCAGGAGTTTGAGGCTGCAGTGAGCCGTGACTGCACCACTATACTCCAGCCTGGGTGACAGAGAGACTTTGTCACAAAACAAATCTACCTCAAAAGGTTGTTGAAAGGACTAAATAAATTAATATTTTTGAGGCACTTAAAACAGTACTTGGCACAGATTATGTCGTGTGTGTGTGTGTGTGTGTGTGTGTGTGTGTAATACATATCTTCTATCATGTTAGAAGTTTCTGTCTACTCTTCCCTGGTGAATTCTAGCAAATAAACTGATTCCTTTTGATAAATATAGAATGTTTAACTTTTTAAATTTAATGAAAAATGGTTACCATATTTCCTAATGCTGAACAACAATTCAATCTACGCTTTTATTTTCTATACTGGCTAGGTTTATATATCTTTTGGGACTATTTTTAAATATCAGTTTTTTAATATTTCTGCCCCTCACTTCACTTATTTCATTTGTTTCTGCTCTTAAAACTTTCTTCTACTTTCTCCAAGTTACCTTTTGTTTTTATGAGTTTAATGCTTAGCTAATTAATTTTCAGTCTTTCTTCTTAACTAAATATTCTAATATTTTATCTGCATATGAAACATGTTTATCCCTAATGTTTCATATGTGGTAATTTCATTATTCAGTTCTAAATATTTTCTAATTTCCATAACAAGTCTTCTTTGACTCAATTATTCAGAGGTATAATTTTTTCAAATATATAAAAAGGGATTTTTTTCATTTCTCTTTTTCTATTGACTTCTAATTTTTTCACAGTGTAAACACAGAATATATATAGTCTGTAATGATATAGATTTAAAACTCTAAAATTTTTTAAATTTCTATCAAAGTAATAGTTCACAGTTTAAAATACGTAAGCTCCAGGCCCTGCTCAACACTAGGCCCTACTCCCCACACCCTGCCCCTAGAAGCAATCAATTTCAAACTCTGTGACTTCTAAATGTCTTGCTTACACAGCTATTTTTTCTTTTCCTTTCTTTGAGACAGTCTTGCTCTGTCGCCCAGGCTCGAGGGCAGTGGTACAATCACGGCTCACTGCAGCCTTCAATTCCTGGGCAAGCAATCCTCCCACCTCAGCCTCCCAAAGTGTTGGGATTACAGGCATGAGCCACGACCACGGCCTATTTCTTCATTTTTCAACTTTAGACATTTTCTCTTCACTGTAGAAAGTCATGCTTTAGCTAATCCATCCCCCACTCCAATATCTTTTACAAAGAATCAAATTTTCTATGACCTTGCAAATCTGAAAATATTTTTACTCCGAAATTCAAAGTTGGGCTAAGCATGCAATCTTAGGTTGAAAATCAGATTCACTTTGTATTTTGAATGAACAGCTTCATTAGAGTCTAAGTTTCCACTGTTCCTAATGGTAAGTCTAGGACTATTCTGATTCCTAAATTTTAAAGGTAGTATGCTACCTGCCTTCCCTCCTATTGCCCCCTATCCCAGACAGGAACTTTCTGGGAGTTTTACTTTATCGCAGAAGTTCTAAAATTTCAGTCAGTGTGGCAATTTTTACATTTTTTAAGCTAGTCTCTCTCAATGGTGTACCTTTGCAAACTGAAGGCTCCTGCTCTATCAGTTCAAGGAAATGTTCCTGTCTTTTTGAGTTTCTCTTCTGGCCGGGCACAGTGGCACACGCCTGTAATCCCTAGCACTTTGAGAGGCCGAAGTGGGCACATCACCTAAGGTCCGGAGTTCGAGACCAGCCTGGCCAACATGGTGAAACCCCAACTCTACTAAAAATACAAAAATCAGCTGGGCGTGGTGGTGTGTGCCTGTAATCTCAGCTACCCAGGAGGCTGAGGCAGGAGAATCACTGGAACCCACGAGGTGGAGGCTGTGGTGAGCCGAGATTGCACCACTGCACTCCAGCCTGGGTGACAGAGCAAGATTCTGTTGCAAAAATGAAAATTAAAAAATCCTCTTCCCATTTCCTCTGCTTTCTGTTTTACTAGATGGATGTTGGTTCTGCTGGACTGGTTCTCAAATCTATTTTTCTGTTTTCTATCTGTTTTTTCTACTGCTTGGAAGTTTCCTCAACTTCATCTTTAACACTTTTACTGGGTTTTTTATACCTATCATAATTTCCAAGTTTTCCTGCTGTAATTCTTCCTATCTGATGGCATTCTGTCCTGTCCTTGTTTAATGCACGCAATGCTTTCTCTTAACTCTCTAAGGATAGTAATTAGCTATGGGTTTGTTTTTTTTTTAACTTTCTTTAGATTTGTCTTTGCTTTTTCCAACTTCCTTTATTTCTATTATACTTATAATTTTGCTTTTTGCCCTATCTTTCATTAGAAACTTTTCGCAAATGTCTGTTAAATGCTACCCCAGTGACTTTGGGCTTGGTCATGCTACTTGCTTTGGTCAATGAAATGTGAGTAGACATCAAGTATACCACCATCACACAGAAATTTTATTTTTTATTTTATTTTTTATAGAGACAGGGTCTCACTACATTGCCTAGGCTGGTCTCGAACTCCTGGGCTCAAGCAATCCTCCTGCCTCAGCCTCCAAAAATGCTGGGATTACAGGTGTGAGTCACCACGCCTGGCCATGCAGAAGTTTTAAATGTGTCTTTGTGGTCTAGCTTTCTCCCCATCCCTGAGCCTCTGCCCTCTGCCATGCATGATACAGAGAGTGGCTGCTCGCTGACTACTAGTCCTGGAAAGACAGTTGGGAGCCAAGTGGAGCCAGCAGAGTTGGTGATATGGCTGCATATGATCAGCAGTCCTCATGGCCCATGTGTAAAAAAGAAAGAAATCTCAGTGGTTATAAGCCACTGAGATTTGTGATCCTATCTGTGGGTTAAATTATATACATAAATTTATATATACATAGGAATATTTCTAGACAGATTCACCAGACAATGGAAGTAGAAGAAATCAGCGAAAGAATCTCCTTCCTTTTCAAATTATATTCTTCAATAGCTTTTAATACATGTTCATGGCAAAGCATTTTTTGTTTTGTTTTGTTTTGTTTTTTGGGACGGAGTCTCACTCTGCCACCCAGGCTGGAGTGCAGTGGTGCGATCTCGGCTCACTGCAAGCTCCACCTCCCGGGTTCACGCCATTCTCCTGCCTCAGCCTCCCGAGTAGCTGGGACTACAGGCACCTGCCACCATTCCCAGCTAATTTTTTGTATTTTTAGTAGAGACAGGGTTTCACCGTGTTAGTCAGGATGGTCTCGATCTCCTGACCTCGTGATCCGCCCGCCTCGGCCTCCCAAAGTGCTGGGATTACAGGCGTGAGCCACTACGCCCGGCCCATTTATTTTTATAATAATTACACATAAAGGGCCTCCAAGAGCACTGAAATAAAAGACTAAACATCTCCAATTTAAATTTTTTCTAAAAATAATTTTATATTAATTCAATAGATTCTCAGTAGGAAAATTGTGAAAATCAGACAAAAGATATAAATAAGAATAAAAATCACCAATTATGTCAACACCCAGACATAATTATCATTTTATTTGTGCCATTTAGAGACATGATTCACCACCTTAAATATGTAATTTTATATTCTTCTTTTCAATTTTACATTATAATAAGCACTTTACAGGGTTAAGAATTCGCAAACCTCACTTTTAATTGCTAAGTATATTTCACTATATAGATATATCATTCCTGGCTTGATCATTTCCTTAGTGTTGAACAAATATATTAATTATAATTTTTTACTACCGTAAGTAATATCTCAGACACTTCTGGGCATAAAGTATTTTCTGTATTTATGACTTTTCCTTGGGATATATTCCTATTAGCAGAATTGCTGGGTCAAAGGACATGAACATATTTAGGCTCTTGATATACTGCCAGAATGCTTTACAAAAAAATTACATGGATTTATACTCCCCCCAGCGATATCAAGGCAGCCATATCATTGGGAATTTTTAAAATTTCAGCTCACATGAGAAGCAAAAATTTCTCATTACTAGGAGGCTCAATATCTTTTCGCATGTTTATTAGTCATTTACATTTTCTTCCTTTTGAATTATCTGTTCCTTTTCATTTGTTCATTCATCAAAGTCTTAGTACTTCACCAATTGATTGGTATATAATTTCTTCCACATATACTAAGCTCAGAAAGTCTATTTCTTTGTGCTTTTATACCTAACAATAGTAACATATCAACGTATCTTTCTTTCTGTGCCCTCAATAACACAATACCTATTTGATCTCTGGTTGTATATCAAAATCATCTGTGACCATTCACTTCAGGGATTTGGATTGAATTAATAGAAGATGGAGCTAGGTAAAAGTATTTTGTTTGTTTGTTTTAGACAGAGTCCCACTCTATCACCCAGGCTGGAGTGCAGTGGCATGATCTCGGTTCACTGCAACCTCCACTTCCTGACTTCTGGCGATTTTCTTGCCTCAGCCTTCTGAGTAGCTGGGAGTATAGGGATGAGCCACCACACTGGGTAATTTTTGTATTTTTTGGTAGAGATGGGGTTTTGCCATGTTGGCCAGGCTGGTCCCTAACTCCTGGCTTCAAGTGATCAGCCCGCCTTGGCCTCCCAAAGCGCTAGGATTGCAGGTGTGAGCCACCACGCCTGGCCTAGGTAAAGGTATTTTTAAAAAGGTAAAACTGGAAAACAATACATTACATTCTAGGATAGAATGATCTTTAGTTTTTGTCCTGTTTTTCTTGGCTTGTTTGTTTAAAGAGAATATAGAGTGACAGGAGGTGGAAACCCTGCTTTTCGTAGCCCAACTTCCGCAGAAGGAAATGCTGGTGGCCCAAAAGTTGCAACAAACCTCTTTAAAAAGCTCTTAATACAGCTGGGCGTGGTGGCTCCTGCCTGTAATCCTACCACTTTGGGAGGCCAGGGCGGGCAGATCGCTTGAGATCAGGAGTTCAAGACCAGCCTGGCCAACATGGCGAAACCTTGTCTCTACTAAAAATACAAAAAAATTAGCCGGTGTGGTGGTAGGCACCTGTAATCCCAGCTACTCGGGAGGCCGAGGCAGGAGAATCACTCGAACCTGGAAGGTGGAGGTTGTAGTGAGCCAAGATCATGCCACTACTCTCCAGCCTGGGCAATAGAGTAAGACTCCGTCTCAAAGTAAAAAAAAAAAAAAGCTCTTAATACTTAATCTGCTAATAACAACGAGGGAAAAAATGGCATACAATAAATTTCTCTGGAGGAAGTCAGATGTCACTATATTCATCACGAGATTTTACAAAAGCTATGTCTCTTACCTGTTTGCAGAGTACTAGGGAAAGACAAGGTGACTTTTTCATCTTCATTCTGATAGTTAAATCCTGTAGCATGTATTTCTGGAATGAGAAAAAAAAATACTTCACAATTCTGACTGGACTGACAAGACGAAATCAAGACTGCAACATTTTCAAGAGCAAAATCTCTACAAAAACTAAATATTCTTAATTTGGTGAATTAAGTTCCTATTAGCAAGAGTTTCATTTCAAATGAGCCTATTCTAGGTTACATTAACTACATTAAATATGCTCCTTAAAAATAATTACAAATTCTTTAAAATTCACAAAACGTCAGTGATGTACAGGAAAGAAGGCTTTATAAATGTGATGCTTTTCTATCAGATTCCTGTGTGACTATGATATTGTGATATTGCAGTCTTACTCATGAACATTTGAGACTTGGCAACTTGCCAAGATTTCAGTGTTAAAGATACATCAAGGAAAGGTCTGTTCCCCAAAGGTAAGTAGCAATTCAAACTAAGATATAAATCATACCCACTTCTGGTAAAATTCTTTGTTGTGGCCAGGCGTGGTGGCTCACGCCTGTAATCCCAGCACTTTGGGAGGCCGAGGCAGGCGGGTCACCTGGGGTCAGGAGTTCAAGACCAGCCTGACCAACACGGAGAAACCCCGTCTCTACTAAAAATACAAAACTAGCCGGCTGTGGTGGTGCATGCCTATAATCTCAGCTACTTGGGAGGCTAAGGCAGGAGAATCGCTTGAACCCGGGAGGCAGAGGTTGCAGTGAGCCAAGATCGCATCATTGCACTCCAGCCTAAACAACAACAGAGAAACTCTGTCTCAAAAAAAAAAAAAATTATTTGTTGTTACATGAAAACAGGTATGCAAATTGAATTAAGGCTTTGACTTACTCTCTGCCAGGAATGAGAAGAGACTGCTTATTTGACTGATACTTTAGGATGCTTGGACATGTTAGGGAAATAACCAAAGACACCAACTTCCAACTATGTCCTATCCCCATTCCAAATGAAAAGCTGGCCAATCAGGCCGGACATGGTGGCTCACACCTATAATCCCAGCATTTTGGGAGGACGAGGCGTGTGGATCACCTGAGGTCAAGAGTTCGAGAACAGCCTGGCCAACATGGCGAAACCCCATTTTTACTAAAAATATAAAACTTAGCCAGGCATGGTGGCAAACGCCTCTAATCCCAGCTATGCGGGAGGCTGAGGCATGATAATTTAGAATTGCTTGAACTCAGGAGGCGGAGGTTGCAGTGAGCCGAGATTGTGCCACTGTACTCCAGCCTGGGCGACAGAGCGAGACTCTGTCTCAAAAAAAGAAAAAAAAAAAAAAAGTATAAGGTAGGATGTAGAGAAACTGGAGCATATATTGATAGTGGGAATGTAAATGGTGCAGCCACTTTTGGAAAACAGTTTGGCAATTCCTCAAAAGGTTAAATACAGAGGTATCATGTGATACAGCAATCCCATTCCTAAGTATATGTCCAAGAGAAATGAAAACACATGTCCACATAATGTTTGTATACAAATGTTCATAGTAGCATTATTTATAATAATCCCAAAATGAAAACAACTCAAATGTCCATCAACTGATGGAATAGATAAAATGTGGTATATCCATACAACTGAATGTTATTTGACAATAAAAAGAAATGAAATAGCTGACACATGCTACAACGTAAATAACCTTGAAAACATTATACTAAGAAACCAGCCACATATTTGTCCATAACAGGGCAATCTATGGAGGCTGAAAGTAGATTCATAGTTGCCTAGGGCTAGGTGATAGAGGGGAAATAGGCAGGGTACTTTCTTTCTGGAGTTCAGAAAGTGTTCTAAAATTGATTGTGATGATGGCTGTACAACTCTGTAAATAGACTAAAAACCGCTGAATTGTATGCTTTAAATATTAATAGATGACATGTATGGTATGTGAATTATACATCAATAAAGCTATTATTGAGGTGGGGAGAAAGGAAAGTACTACAGAAAGACAAGGGAGGAGAGGTGGCCATGAGTACCTTTATCAGTCACAGGATGCTGTGGGTAACAATGATTCAGATTACATAACATTTTACAGGCAAGATGCCCATAATTCTTCCTTTCTTTTATGAATCACCCAAATATAGGATTTCAAATGTTTCTGCTGTCACTATGGTTCACACATTTTTATAAAGCCAAAATCTCTACAAAACCAATTAAGAAACTGTAATTTCAGATTTTAAAAGAACTTTAATAAATCCTCTAATCAAATCTTCCTCATTTTACAGATGAAGAAAATGAGACATATAAAGTTAATGGTTTGTCACATGTTAACTAGCTAGACTACAACTCAGTTCCCTCACTTCTATTGCCAAAATTATTTCTACAATCACAAGCTAGCTCCTAAATTTGTTTGGTTTTGTTTTGTTTTTTGAGACAGGGTCTCACTTTGTTGCCCAGGCTGGAGTACAGTGGCACTATCTCAACTCACTGCTACCTTTCCCATCAGGTTCGGGAGATTCTCCCACCTCAGCCTCCGGGGTAGCTGGGGACTACAGGCGTGAGGTGCCACTAGGCCCATCTAATCTTTTGTATTTTTAGTAGAGACAGGGGTTTCCCCAGGTTGTCCAGCCTGGTCTCAAACTCCTGGATTCAGGCAATCTACCCACCTCAGCCTCCCGAAGTGCTGGGATTACAGGGCTGAGCCACCGTGCCTGGCCCAGCTCCTAAATTTGAATAGAAATCAAATTTGACAAGAATCACTTCAATGCTTAAGAATGTTCCTTTCTGGGCTGGGCGCAGTGGCTCACGCCTGTAATCCCAGCACTTTGGGAGGCCGAGGTGGGTGGACCATGCGTGGTGGTGCATGCCTGTTATCTCAGCTACTTGGGAGGCTGAGGCAGGAGAATCACTTGAACCTGGGAACGGAGGTTGCAGTGAGCCAAGATGTGCCACTGCACTACAGCCTGGAGACAGAGTGAGACTCTGTATCAAAAAAAAAAAAACAAAAAACCTACAGCTGTTGAATAAAAAGGTAAACAACCCAATTTAAAAATGGCAAGACTTAAACTTCACAAAGGAAAATTTATAAATGGCAAAAAAAAAAAAAAAGCACATAAAAAAGTGTTCAGCATCATTAGCCATTAAGGAAAGGCAAATTAAAATCACAATGACATATCACTACACATCCATTAGACTAGGCTATTAAATGACTGACAATAAAAATGTTGCCCAGGGCCAGGCATGGTGGCTCTTGCCTGGAATCCCAGCACTTTGGGAGGCCAAGGCAGGAGGATCACCTGAACCCAGGAGTTCAAAACCAACCTGGGCAACACAGGAAAAATAAAAAAAAATTAGTCATACGTGGTGACACAAACCTGTGGTCCCAGCTACTCCAAAGGCTGAGGCAAGAGCATTGCTGAAGCCTAGGAGGTTGAAGCTGGAGTGAGCCATGAACATGCCACTGCACTCCCATCTAGGTGACAGAGTGAGACCCTGTCTCGAAAAAGAAAAAAAAATGTGCAGGGTGTAGCACAATAACTAGAAGTCATGCTGGTGGTGCCTCTTTTACTATTCAGACTGTAAGCATTTTCCAACCCCAGGGTTTCTGCATCTGCTTGCAAAGTCTCCAGATATCTAAACACTTTATGTCATTCAGGCCTCTGCTCAAATCACTTTTTTTTTTTTTTTTGAGACAGGGTCTCACTCTGTTGCCCAACCTGGAGTACAGTGCTGCCATCTTGGCTCACTGCAACCTTGACCTCTCAGGTTCAAGTGTTCCTCCCACCTCAGCCTCCCAAATAGCTAGGACTACAGGCGCCCACCATCACACCCGACTAATTTTTGTATTTTTTATAGACATGGGGTTTCACCATGTTGCCCAGGCTGGCCTCAAACTCCCGAGCTCAAGTGATCCTCCTGCCTCAGCCTCCCAAAGTGCAGGGATTACAGGCATGAACCACCACACGAAGCCTCGAATCATCTTTTTTTTTTTTTGAGATGGAGTCTTGCTCTGTCGCCCAGGCTGGCATGCAGTGGCATGATCTTGGCTCACTGCAACCTCCGCCTCCCGGGTTCAAGCACTTCTGCCTCAGCCTCCCGAGTAGCTGGGACTACAGGCACGCACCACCACGCCTGGCTAATTTTTGTATTTTTAGTAGAGACGGAGTTTCAGCACGTTGGCCAGGATGGTCTCAGTCTCTTGACCTCATGATCCACCCGCCTCGGCCTCCCAAAGTGTTGGGATTACAGGTGTAAGCCACCACGCCCAGCCTCAAATCACTTCTTTAAAGATCTGTTCTATCAACTTGAAGAACAATCCTCATTCTATACCCTCTTGTGATTTTACAGCACTTATCACTACTTTACATCACATATTTGCTTGTTGCCTGTCTTCTCAAATATCAGAAATGTTGATGCTTGATTTTGTTCACAGCTCTACTTCCAATGCTAGCAGTTTCTGGCACATAGTGTGTGTTCAGTAAGTATCTGTAGAATGAATGAATCACTTCAAAAGCAACAGACTAAGTAATTATGTCATGGAGATCATTAATGCTACTCATATGAAATATATTAATGAAAAATCACATTTACTAATGTTATGTGAATAGAGACATGGCTAGGGATAAAATTTCCAGTCACAACATAATATACTGATTCAAATAAGGATCTATCTCAAACCTCTTAGAAGATAATATTTGCTCTGGAACTGTTAGACTGTTTAAAGGGTAGAAACCCATAAATACTGAAGATGCATATGAGAAGTCTGAGGAGGCTTCACTGGAGAAAAAAGTATTTCTAAATTAATGTTTACATTAATACTAATATATAATTAGTATATTTATATATTATAGTAATATATAATACTGATATGATAAATGAATAATTCATTCACTAATACAGTTTGCAATATATTCATAATTGGAAATGTATATATGTAAATTAAGCATTGTACATAGACACTTCACTATATATCGTGTATCAATACAACTTAAACTTGATCGAAAACTTTTAAAAATGGAGTATGAGAGAATCTTATAAGGTATATATGATTATTCAATTCTCTAAGCCTCCGTTTCCACACCTATAAAATTAAAATCATATCATTACCTAATTCTTTCTTTTTAAAATTGAGATAAGGGTCTCACTATGTTGTTCAGGCTGGTCTCAAACTCCTGGGCTCAAGCACTGGCAATCCTCCCACCTCAGCCTCCTGAGTAGCTGAGATTATAGGAGTATACCATTGTGCCTGGCACCTGCTTCTTAATTAAAGATTGGGGGCCAGGCACGGTGGCTCACACCTGTAATCCCAGCACTTTGGGAGACCGAGGTGGGAGGATCACTTGAGGTCAGGAGTTTGAGTCCAGCCTGGCCAACATGGTAAAACTAAACATACAAAAATTAGCAGGGCATGGTGGCGTGCGCCTGTAATCCCAACTACTTGGGAGGCTGAGGCAGGAGAATCGCTTGAACCTGGGAGGTAGAGGCTGCAGTGAGCTGAGATCGCACCACTGCACTCAGTCTGGGCAACAGAGTGAGACTCCATCTCAAAGAAAAAAAAAATTATATAATATACTCTTATATAAAACACACAGCACAGTTCCTAGTTATTGTTAAGAAACATTTTTCAGGGCCGGGAGCAGTGGCTCACGCCTGTAATACCAGCACTTCTGGAGGCCAAGGAGGGCGGATCACGAGGTCAAGAGATCGAGACCATCCTGGCCAACATGGTGAAACCCCGTCTCTACTAAAAATACAAAAAATTAGCTGGGTGTGGTGGCACGTGCCTGTAGTCCCAGCTACCCAGGAGGCTGAGGCAGGAAAATGGCGTGAACTCGGGAGGCGGAGCTTGCAGTGAGCCGAGATCGTGCCACTGCACTCCAGCATGGGCAACAGAGCAAGACTCCATCTCAAAAAAAAAAAAGAATCACTTTTCTAGATCATAACACACCTTACAGTTCTTTATTGATCCAACTGCAATTGGTCCATTATATACATATATATAACAGCTTTTGCTGAAACTACTTATTAGGCCTTTTAAATATAATTAGCATTTTAAAATCTATAAACATATATATTTGGGTATAAGCATCTATGTGTAAGTGTGTTAGTCATCTATTAAATAGAAGTAAAATTTGATTATAAACATAGCATGTATAAAACCATGACCAGGCTGGGCATGGTGGCTCATGCCTGTAATCCCAGGACTTTGGGAGGTCAAGATGGGCAGATCACCTGAGGTCAGGAGTCTGAGACCAGCCTGTCCAACATGGTGAAACTCCATTACTACTAAAAATACAAAAATTAGCCAGGCGTGGTGGTGCACGCCTGTAATCCCAGCTACTCGGGAGGCTGAGGCAGGAGAATCGCTTGAAACGGGGAGGTGGAGGTTGCAGTGAGCTGAGATCACGCCACTGCACTCCAGCCTGGCTGAGAGAGCGAGACTCCGTCTCAAAAAAAAAAAAAACAAACAAACAACAAAAAAAACCATGGCATTATAAAATGACCATAAGCAAAATCAAAAGAGAAGTATATATTGGGGAAAAAATGCTCCAACTCATGATGGAAGGTTAATTTCACTCAAATATAAAGACCACGTTTTAAAAAATCAATAACAAGAATAAGAATAACACTGAAATTTAAAATGGACAAATATGAATAAATTACAGAAAAAGGAAACATAAATGGTTTTTAAAATATAATGAAGAGATTCTTTTTTTTTTTACAATTAACTAAACTTTTTTTAAAATTAACTAAAGTTGGTATTTCACTAGGACGATTTAGCAGATGAAATGGGTTTTAAGTTTAGAACACCATTTCTTCTTCCTTATTACATTTCCCTTTTTAATGTTAGCCCTCTACAAACACACACGTATATACACACACACACACACACACTCTGCATCAAAAAAGCCTTCCTACATTAATACTTGAGCATGATAACCTTACAATGAAAGGTAAATCATTAGTTGAATCATGAAACATTTTCTTCCCCTTGTGGAGAAAAATCAAATTGCTTTTCCTCTGCTCTTACACCACAATCATCAACACAGTAGACTTCTGTGACCAAATGTGTGGGGATTTCTCCCCACCAACAAGAAGCAATCAGTTCTGCAGAAGATACCACCAGCTGAGCACCTTCTAATCCAATTCAATTCTCATGCTATCTACCTGGAGATAGCATTAGATCCCACAGGCTGAGAGAGGGCTCAGTCTCACAAGACTGCCCCCACTTCAGACACTAGTTGTAAGGCCAGGCCTCATCCAGAACTTCTGGCCAACCAGCTTCAAGTCAGTGTTCCCATGACCCCCTTCTTAGGTTTGATTAATTTGCTAAAGCTGTGCCCAGAACTCAGGAAAACACGTGTACTGGTTTATTATAAAGAATAGCACAAAGAATGCAGATGAAGAGGTGCACAGAACAAGGCATGTGGGAAGGGGTGCAGAGCTCTCATACCCTCCCTGGGTGCACCACCCTCCAGGACCCTCCACGTGTTCAGCTATCTGGAAGCTCTCTGTACCCGGTCCAGGACTTCACTGGACCGTCACGACTGAAGCATGGACAACCGGGTAGAAATATGATTGGACAAAGTAGGACCTAATGCTAACAGACTGAGTGGGGAAACCTAGCAAGGCCTCTCTGTTCAGAGTCTTCTTGGCCTCTCTGTGCAACTTCTTTCCTCCCAAGTACAGGGCAGGATGCCTTCTGAAATGGGGGTCTTATGACCTCCAATCAGACAAGGTAGGTCAGATAATTTCTTTGCTGTCAGCTCCAAGACAGAATGTTGGGGGATGATCAGAGTATATTTTTAGTTTCTATTGCCTGCTTGGGGAGAAAAAGGAGCAGGTAAAAGCAAGGCAAGAAAAGGTCAGAGAGCGATTCTGTTTTCTGAAGCCTGCTTCTGAGGTTTAAAGTGCCCCAACGTTATTACAAAAGACCATCTTTCACTTTTATTGATCTGAAGCTGTACTGAAGCCACTTCAAAAACCAAGAATAAAAGGCCAAATATTTCAATAAAATATATGTATATTGTTTTAGTCACTTAGGAAATAACAGGGACTATGGGTGTTCTATGACAGAAACTGTGGATGAAAACCAACATATGTATCATAATATCATAGCACCCTCCCCAACCTTTTTTTTTTTTTTTTTTTTTTTTTTGTTTGAGACAGGGTCTCACTGCATTGCGTAGGCTTGTCTTGAACTCCTGGGCTCAAGCAATCCTTGTGCCTTGGCCTCCCAAAATGCTGGGATTGCAGGCATGAGCCACTGTGCCAGGCCCCCTTTATGTCTATACATAATAAAACTTAATCACATAAAAGGAGGTATAGGGAAAATGAGAAGTACAAGATGGTATTTCAAGAGGCAACATTAAAAAAAGATTGAAATTTTTTAAAATAGCTGAAATCATTATTGCTTATACCATCTATACAAGCATCTAGTGGATTCTGCCTAGGCATTACATTGAGATACAGAAATAAAATCTTCTAAAATTTCAATATCAGAAGTGCCAAGTCAACTGTACTTCAAATTTTCCTTTACAAATTATCTATTTGAAACTCAGAATGTATTTTCCTCCAAGCCACTGCTATACTTAAACAAGTAATCTAAACCACATAATTCTATATAGCCCACATATACCAGTGTAGCTCAGTACTAGATCAAACACATTGTGAGGTTTTATTTTGTTTTTTTATTCAGATAGCAACTTCCCTATCATATTGTTTATGTGGTTTTAGAAAGCAGTTCAGGTGCAAAAAAATAAAGTTCACAGTTCAAAGAAGGCCTACAGTGACTACCTGCTACTTGGAACATACTTTGTTTCTCCACAAAGCTGAAAATAATGTTGCAATGGGAAAGAAAACACATCATTCTGGAGGATATCCAAGGGGGATTCAAGTGAAAAATGGAACCAAGAACTTACTTTGCAAAGCTTCAAGGTGACCTCCTTCTCACCGTAGGGCATAAAAGCCAATCAGATATATGCATAGTTACAGTTCAAGCAGTACCTATACTGACAGGTCCCATATTTTCAAATGGATTTCACATTTATATAACATAGTGATGGTTCTATCCTATTAGGCTATCTAAAAAGTCTAAAAAGAATGAGCATGTGCCAAATATAAATCTGGTTCAACAGAATCAAAAAATTCCTTCTAGGGTGCCCCTGCTCTTAATAAATGACTGTGAACTATTTCATTAAAATCACTCAGGATTCTGGACCAGGATTTCCATTGATTATGTGGTCTTACACGGTTACTTAATTTGTCTAGGTCTCAGTTTATCTTTTTTTTTTTTAAAGGATTTTATATTTGGGTAATAGAGGAGTATATAATTCAAACTAATTATCTCTCTCCTACTTGACACCCACAAAACTAAAAAAGCTGGAAGGAAGGGAAAACTTCTCCTTAAAAGAATCATAGAACAAGATAAGGTGATCAAGATGAAGAAGAGGATGAAATTCCATGAAGAGGAAGCTTTGCATTCTAGGCCACTTTTGCTCTGGGGTCATTTGCTGATCTAGCAGAGATGTAGCAGATTTGGAAGCTGAGGCTATAGGCCCCAGGGACAAAAGTGGAAATCCAGGGCCCATCAACACTGGGGGCTTTGTGGCTGGGTGGGCACTGTGTCTGTAATCCCAGCATTTTGGGAGGCGAGGTGGAAGGACTGCTTAAGCCCAGGAGTTTAAGTAACATAGTCTATCTAGGTAGCACAGTGAGACTCTGTCTCTATTAGAAGAGACAAGACAAGACAAGACAAGAAGCTTGAGTAAATGACCCCCTGCTTTGGGCTTGAAACCAAAAAAGTGATATCCTACCAGGAAAGATGAACAAGAAGAAAAGCAGTCCACAAGTGGAATGTGATTAAACTTCTGAACATCTGAAGCCCAGACACTGGAAAAAGATGAACCTTAAGTATTAGTAACCAACGGGGAACAAAACAAAGCTCCCCTAGATACTAGCAAACTATTCATATACCTGCTTACTATGTTCAAAAATATAAAATCCCAATCCTGAAAAATTTGGCAAGTAACGCGAAGTTACTTTAAAAAAACAAACAAACAAACAAAACCCCCAAAAAAACCCAAAACCAAGCAAAACAAAGAAAACAAGCAAATCTGGAAAAATTAATTCTAGAACAAAAATATGTAATAAGAAAAAACAGGCCAGGCACGGTGTCTCATGCCTGTAATCCCAACACTTTGGGAGGCTGAGGTGAGAGAATCCCTTGAAGCCAGGAGTTCGAGACCAGCCTAGGCAACAAAGCAAGACCCCATCTCTACTAAAAAAAATTAGCCAGGCACCATGGTAGCGTATATCTGTAGTTCCAGCTACTCAGGAGGCTGAGGTGGGAAGATCACTTGAGTTCAGGAGTTTGAGGTTGCAGTAAGCTGCGATCCTGTCACTGCACTCTGGCCTGGGTGACAGAGCAAGACCCTGTCTTTTTTTTTTTCCCTCTTTTTTGAGATGGAGTCTCGCTCTGTTGTCCAGGCTGGAATGCAATGGCGCAATCTCGGTTCACTGCAACCTCCGTCCGCCTCCCGGGTTCAAGCAATTCTCCTGCCTCAGCCTCTCAGGTAGGGGGGACTACAGGCATGCGCCACCACGCCCGGCTAATTTTTTGTATTTTTAGTAGAGACAGGGTTTCACCATGTTAGCCAGGATGGTCTCGATCTCCTGACCTTGTGATCCACCCACCTCGGCCTCCCAAAGTGCTGGGATTACAAGCGTCAGCCACCACACCCAACCGCAAGACCCTATCTTAACAAAAAAAGAGGCCGGGCATGGTGGCTCACGCCTAGAATACCAGCACTTCGGGAGGCCAAAGCAGGCAGATCAGCTGAGGACAGGAGTTCAAGACCAGCCTGGCCAACATGGTGAAACCCCGTCTCTACAAAAACACAAAAATTAGCCAGGCGTGGTGGCAGGCGCATGTAATCCCAGCTACTTGGGAGGCTGAAACAGGAGAATCGCTTGAACCCAGGAGGCAAAGACTGCAGTGAACCGAGATCTAGCCACTGCACTCCAGCATGGGTGACAGAGCGAGACTCCGTCTCAAAAAAAAAAGTGGGGGGTGGGCCAGGTGTGGTGGCTCATGCCTGTAATCCCAGCACTTTGGAGGCTGAGGCATGTGGATCACTTGAGGTCAGGAGCTCAAGACCAGCCTGGCCAACATGGTGAAACCCCATCTCTACTAAAAATAGAAAAAATTAGCCAGGAATGGTGGCACAAGCCTGTAATCCCAGCTATTTGGGAGGCTGAGGCAGGAGAACTGCTTGAACCTGGGAGGCAGAGGTTGCAGTGAGCCGAGATCACACCACTACACCCCAGCCTGGGCAGCAGAGCGAGACTCCATCTCTAAATAAATAAATAAAAATTAATTAATTAATACAAATAAAAACCCACAAAAATGAGCCAGGTGTGGTGGCGTACACCTGAAGTCCCAGCTACTCGGGAGGCTGAGGCACAAGAATTGCTTTAAGCCGGGAGGTGGAGGTAGCAGTAAGTTGAGATAGAGCCACTGTACCCCAGCCTGGGTGACAGAGACTCTGTACAAAAAAAAAATAACACGGAATCAAATCATAATTGCCTGGGGAAGGAGCAAGGAAAAGGGGAGAAAAGGATTATAAAGGGGCATGAGGAAATGTTCTAGGGTGATGAATATGCTCATTACCTGGTTACATTCATGAGAAAACTTATCAAATTACATATTTTAAGATGTACCCTTTATAGTATGTCAACATTACAGGTACTCTCACAAAGCTATCAACAAAAATAGGAAAGAAGCAGCAGCAAGCAACAACAGCCATAACTACTGCCTGGAGAATTTCCCCCAAAACAAACAAACCAAAAAAAGTGTGGGCTGCAGCTAAAAGCAGTACATTTTTAGGATTAAAATTTATATTTAAATGAATATAATAGAAAGAAGGACTGAAAAGTAATAAGCCAAACATCCATCTCAAGACTTCTGTTTGTTTTTTGTTTTTTTTTAAGGGCAGTCAAGTGAAGCAGTGGGAGTGAAGGAGGAATAAAGAAATCTGTAACTGGCTATGATTGATGAGTTATAAACACCACTGCACTGGGACCAGCCTAAAGAAGTTTTTTTAAATCTGCAAAGTAGACCGGGCACGGTAGCGGTGGCTCACACCTGTAATCCCAGCACTTTGGGAGGCCAAGGCGAACCGATCACTTGAGGTCAGGAGTTTGAGACCAGCCTGACCAACATGGTAAAACTCCGCCTCTACTAAAAATACAAAAATTAGCTGGGTGTGGTGGCACATGCCTTTAATCCTAGCTATCAGGAGGCTGAGGCATAAGAATCACTTGAAACCAGAAGGCAGGGATTGCAGTGAGCCAAGATCACGCCACTGCACTCCAGCCTGCGTGACAGAGTAAGACTCCGTCTCAAAAATAAAAAAAAAAAACCTTGCAAAGTAAACCCAAAGGAAGCAGAAGTTAATAAGGAAATAATAGTTAACTGAGGTCTACAAAGCAATGGTTAGTTCTTTGAGAAAAAAAGCAAGAAAACTGAAAAAGATCTGGGATCAAGAAAAAAGTAAAACAGGCTGGGTGCGGTGGCTCATGCCTGTAATCCCAGCACTTTGGGAGACCACGGCAGGTGGATCACAAGGTCAGGAGTTCGAGACCAGCCTGGCCAACATGGGAAACCCCATCTCTACTAAAAATACAAAAATTAGCCGGGCGTGGTGGCCTGCGTCTGTAGTCCCAGCTACTTGGGAGGCAGAGGCAAGAGAACTGCTTGAACCCGGGAGGCAGAGGTTGTAGTGAGCCGAGGTCACGCCAGCACAAGACTCCATTTCAAAAAAAAAAAAAAAAGTAAAACAGAAGGCACAAATAAATAAAATGAGCCCTGACTACTACCTAACTTCCCTTCTAATTCTATTAACTTGAAACTATAGCAGAGCTTCCCTAACTGTGGCAGATCCAAACATGTATTACAGGTTTATCAAGATAATAATTCCCTTGGCCCTTGGACCAGCCTGGTAGGCCTAGAGCAATGAAAGATCTCTGATACCCTCCAGTTGTGAGCCTCCTCTTCCTTATGTACCAGGAAAACATCAGTTTCTACTAATGCCTTGAAAAAAAGTAAGGAAGCATTGATTTGGAGAACAACTAACTCTTCCAGCTTCACACTTAAGAACAGCATACATGGCCGGGCGCGGCGGCTTGTGCCTGTAATCCCAGCACTGCGGGAGGCTGAGGCAGGCGGATCACCTGTGGTCGGAGGTTCGAGACCAGCCTGACCAACATGGATAAACTCCATCTCTACTAAAAATACAAAATTAGCCGGCTGTGGTGGTGCATGCCTGTAATCCCAGCTACTCAGGAGGCTGAGGCAGGAGAATCACTTGAATCCGGGAGGCTGAGGTTACGGCGAGCCGAAATCATGCCATTGCACTCCAGCCTGGGCAATAAGAGCGAAACTCCATCTCAAAAAAAAAAAAAAAAGAACAGCATACACTACAATGTTACTAACATTATGCAATCAGTGTTTTCTCTACATTTAATGCAAAAACTACATAATTTACAGCAGTTTTTTATGCTCTCCATTTTCTTAATATTTAAAATACTGTAAAGAATCTTTACAATTAGTAAGTATCTTGATGGTAGTCCTCAAAGGGAAGTAAAATACAAGTTAAAGCTGGTAACAAAATAATCTCAAATACGAAATAATTTTGTTACCCATAAAGTTACTAGGATAGAGCACATGAAGAAATGCAGACCTGACAAGTCCCCCTTATCTGCAGTTTCACTTTCCACAGTTTCAATTGCCTAGAGTCAACTACAGTCTGAAAATATTAAATGGAAAATTCCAGAAACAAACAATTCATAAGTTTTAAACTGTACTGTTCTGAATAGTGTGATGAAATCTTGTGCCCTCCCATTCCATTCTGCCCAGAACATGAATCATCCCTTTCTCCGACCTATCCATGCTGTATATATATGCCACCCAGCCCATTAGTCACATAGTAGCCATCTCAGTTATCAGATTGACTGTCAATGTATCACAAGGCTTGTGTTTAAGTAACCTTTATTGTACTTAATAATGGCCTCAAAGCACAAGAGTAGTGATGCTAGCAGTTTGGAAATGTCAAAGAAGAAGAGTGAGTATAATACAATAAGATACTATAAGAGAGGCTGGGCACAGTGGCTCATGCCTGTAATCCTGGCACTTTGGGAGGCTGAGGCAGGAGGATCGCTTGAAGCCAGGAGTTCAAGACCAACTTCAGCAATAAAGCCAGACCTGACTCACAAAAAATTTTTACAAATTTGCTGGGTGTGTTGGTGCATACCTATAGTCCTAGCTAACTGGGAGGCTGAAGCAGGAGGATCACTTGAGCCCAGCAGTTTGAGGCTGCAGTGAGATATGATGGCACCACTGCACTCCAACCTGGGCAACAGAGACTCTGCCTCTAAAAATAAATAAATGAAATAATTTTTTTTAAAAAGAAGATATTGGCTGGGCGCGGTGTCTCATGCCTGTAATCCCAACACTTTACGAGGCTGAGGGGGGAAGATCACCTGAGGTCAGGAGTTTGAGACCAGGCTGACCAACATGGAGAAACCCTGTCCCTACTAAAAATACAAAATTAGCCAGGCGTGGTGGCGCATGCCTGTAATCCCAGCTACTTGGGAGGCTGAGGCAGGAGACTTGCTTAAACCCGGGAGGCAGTGGTTGCAGTGAGCCGAGATCACACCATCGCACTCCAGCCTGGGCAACAAGAGTGAAACTGCATCTCAAAAAAAAAAAAAGATATTGTGGCTCACACCTGTAATCCCAGCACTTTGGGAGGCCGAGGCGGGCAGATCACGAGGTCAGAAGATGGAGACCATTCTGGCTAACACGGTGAAACCCCGTCTCTACTAAAAACACAAAAAATTAGCCGGGTGTGGTGGCATGCGCCTGTAGTCCCAGCTACTCAGGAGGCTGAGGCAGGAGAATCGCTTGAACCTGGGAGGCAGAGATTGCAGTGAGCTGAGATCGCACCATTGCACTCCAGCCTGGGCGACAGAGCAAAGTCTCAAAAAAAAGAAAAGAGAGAGAGATGCACACAACATTCATGTAACTTTTATTACAGTATATTGTTATAATGGTTCTATTTTTTATTAGCTTTTGTTAATTTCTTACTATTTCTAATGTAAAAATTAAACTTTATCATAGTACATATGTATAGGGAAAAACATAGCATATATAAGTTTTGCTACTATCTGTGGTTTCAGGCGTACCATTGGGGGTCTTAGAACACATCTGCCATAGATAAGGAGGAACTACTGTATGACAGACTTACTCCATTTATCTAGATTTTCTTCGTTTCATTCAATGTATATTTATTAAATCCCTACTATATGTCAGATACCAGGGAAAACCACAAATGAAAAAGAATGAATCATAATTACTGGATCTTTTTTTTTTTTTTTTTTGAGTAGAAGTCTCTTGTCCCCCAGGCTGGAGTGCAATGGCGTGATCTTGGCTCACTGCAACCTCTGCCTCCCAGGTTCAAGCAATTCTCCCACCTCAGCCTCCCGAGTAGCTAGGATTACAGGCGCCTACCACCACACCCAGCTAATTTTTGTACTTTTTTTTTTAGTAGAGACGAGGTTTCACCATGTTGGCCAGGCTGGTCTTGAACTCCTGACCCTAGGTGAGCCGCCCGCCTCGGCCTCCCAAAGTGCTGGGATTACAGCCATGAGCTACCATGCCCGGCCCCTCAAGGATCTTAAGATTCCATTGAAAAGTAGTACAGACATGACACAAACAAATAATTGCAATATGGTGTGGTTACATTAATGACAAGCAATAGAGTGGCAAGTACATGGACCCTAGATCCAAACCGCCTGGGTTTGAATCCTGGCTCTAACATTTATCAGTTTTATTACCTAAAGTAGATACCCTCTCTGTGCCTACGGTTGTTCTCTATATGAACAGGTAATGCACTTAGTGCCTGGTATAGAGTAAACACTAAACTCATCATTATTTTTATAATTATCACTATTAAACATTATATTATGAAAAATGTTTCACTTGGTTAGGCACCTAACCTGAACTGGAGGTTAAAAAGAAGATAAAACGTTCCCTCTATAGTCAGCAATAAGCCAACTAAATTCCTAAAACAGCAGTCACTAAAGCAATCCATATCACCTTAAGGCTATTTAAATAACGTTTTAAAACTTACCAAGTATAACTAAGACAAAATTTAAAACTATTCTACGCTCATATACTTTGTATATAGCCATATGGAAACCTACACAGGTTCTTTATCAGACAGCCCCTCAATATTATTCAAAACCAACAAATGTAAAAATGAAAGAATGCAAATACACTGCAAACTTCATGTTCTTTATCTCTGATTTGCACTAAAAAGGAATAAAGGGGCTGGCTAACTATCACTTGCTCCTTCTAATGCTGACATTTATTTGGCTCCAGTTTGAACTAATGATACTTAAGGGTTGTTTATTTGAGAATGGATCTATCCTGCATAGAAACCAGAATATACTTCACAGATAAGCATAGAAATCCAAACAAGGGCCAGGCACAGTGGCTCATATCTGTAATCCCAGCACTTTGGGAAGCTGAGGTAGGAGGACTGCTTGAGTCTTGGAGTCTGAGACCAGCCTGGGGAACATTGCAAAACCCCATCTCTACAAAAATTAAAAAATTAGCCAGGTGTGGTGGCACATGCCTGCCATCCCAGCTCTCCGGGAGGCTGTGGTGGGAGAGTAACTTGAGCCCAGGAGGCTGCAGTAAGCCATGACTGTGCCACTGCATTCCAGCCTGGATGACAGAGAAAGACCTGTCTCAAAAAAAAAAAAAAAAAAAAGAAATCCCAACAAACAAGATCAGAAATTAGAAACTTAAGACTTTTGTCTTAATGTTAACACTATATAAACTCTTCCTCTTTGAAAAATATGCCCTCTGTTTGTCACTATTGTCTTGGCAATTCGTTATACTTTCTCACAAGCAAAGAAACCTATTTCAGACTTGCGTTCACACTTATCAAACTATCACTTAAACAGAGTATTTAAGGTCTGGTGCAGTGGTTCACACCTGTAATCCCAGCACTTTGGGAGGCCAAGGTGGGCGTCAACAGTTTGAGAGCAGCCTGGCCAAAATGGGGAAACCCCATCTCTACAAAAATTTAAAAATTAGCCAGGTTTGGTGGCACACACCTGTAATCCCAGCGACTTGGGAGGCTGAGGCACAAGAATCGCTTCAACCCAGGAGACGGAGGCTGTAGTGAGCCGAGATAGTGCCACTGCACTCCAGCCTGGGCAATAAGAGTGAGACTCTATCTCAAATAATAATAATAATATTTAATAAAAACTCTTTGAATGACACAAATTACCACTTAGGCAAAAAGAACCTTGGTATTTACAGGGGTAAAAAGTTCAAATAAATAATAAACTTCATTTATTATTATATATAAGCCAAGGGAATTTATTATATGCAAGGGAATCACTGTTCAGACAATGAGCTGAGGGGCCAGAATTTGTGAGACAGAAGGGGTCCTTTTCACACAATATTTACTTGAAGTTTCACAATAATCAAAGGTATCTGCTTTTAGCCCAGTTATTCATGTATACACATCAACAAGATTTAAATTAACCAAAATGTTAAATGTTTATTAAGCTGCCACCATATAATGTAGGTTTTGGAACTAGTATTTAAATGGAAGAGTATATCTTCAGAGTAAAGTTCCATTGAGAAATAGAAAAGTCTGTAAAACCAGGTCTCGTCTTATAACAAGAAACTGATACTGACTTCTGTAACAAAGCTAAATAGTCTCTTGATGTGTAGTTGGCACAATTCCAGAAATCTAAACTACTAGCAAATTTGCTTATATCTGGTATAACTGGGCCGGGCGTGGTGGCTCATGCCTGTAATCCCAGCACTTTGGGAGGCCGAGGTAGGTGGATCACCTGAGGTCTCGAGTTCGAGACCAGGCTGGCCAACATGGTGAAACCCTGTCTCTACTAAAAATACAAAAATTAGCTGGGCGTGGTGGTGCACGCCTGTGATCCCAGCTACTCGGGAGGCTGAGGCAGGAGAATTGCTTGAACCTGGGAGGCAGAGGTTGCAGTGAGCAAGATCATGCCATTGCACTCCAGCCTGGGCAACAAGAGTGAAACTCTGTCTCAAAAAAAAAAAACAAAAAAACATATATATATATATATCTGGTATAACTGTTACTATATCTAAAGAAAGGGATGAGAAACAAACCTTTAATTTCTACTTGAAATGATTTTTCATTTTTGCAAAGAGAAAAGGGTACATAACTAATATCCAAACAGAGTTAATAAAAGCCTATTAAGGATTATTTTAAAACAAGTTATTTAAAAAAAAAAAAAAAAGTTCTACTAGTTGCAGTGAGCCGATACTGCACCACTGTACTCCAGCCTGGGCAATACAGCAAGACTCCATCTCAAAAAAAAAAAAAAAAAAAAAAACAGACACATGCCCATAGGTCTTTTAGGATGACTGCACATATCACAAAAAAATGGCCTTTTTCTTCAAATAAAAACTTACACAAAGAAGCAACAATTGGCCAGGCACGGTGGCTCACACCTTTAATCCCAGCACTTTGGGAGGCCGAGGCGGGCGGATCACAAGGTCAGGAGATCGAGACCATCCTGGCTAATACGGTAAAATCCCGTCTCTACTAAAAATACAAAAATTAGCTGGGCGTGGCGGCGTGCGCCTGTAGCCCCAGCTGCTGGGGAGGCTGAGGCAGGAGAATGGCGTGAACCCGGGAGGCAGAGCTTGCAGTGAGCCGAGACTGCGCCACTGCACTCCAGCCTGGGCGACAGAGTGAAGACTCCATCTCAAAAAGAAAAAAAAAAAAAATTAAAAGAAGCAACAATTTCATGCCTTAAAAGTAATTTTCTGATTTTACTTTTATCTTTTTTATTACATATATATATATACACACACACACACACACACACACACATACATACATGTGGAAGCCCAAATCTATCCCTGTTCCCAATCCAAACTATTTTTTTTTTTTTTGAGACAGAGTCTTGCTCTGTCGCCCAGGCTGGCGTGCAGTGGCACAATCTCCGCTCACTGCAACTTCCACCTCCCGGGTTCAGGCGATTCTCCTGCCTTCAGCATCCCAAGTAGCTGGAATTACAGGTGCCTGCCACCACGCCCAGCTAATTTTTGTGTTTTTAGTAGAGACGGTGTTTCACCATGTTGGCCAGGCTGTTCTCAAACTCCTGACCACAGGTGATCCGCCCACCTAGCCCTCCCAAAATGCTAGGATTATAGGTGTGAGCCACCACACCTGGCTGCCCCCAATTCAAACTTTAACAACTCATACAACTTCCCATTCTCTTAAACTCTAAAATTACATGGGCTTACACATGACTTCAGGTTTTTTCCTGTTGCTGTGGTAGAAAAGTGTTGAGAAATGTACCTTAGCTAGTTCTGAAGGAAAATATTTTTTTTTTGAGACAGAGTCTCTGTCACCCAGGCTGGCGTGCAGTGGCACGATCCTGGCTCACTGCAACCTCTGCCTCCTGGGTTCAAGCAATTCTCTGCCTCAGCCTCCTGAGTAGCTGGGATTACAGGCACCCGCCACCACACCCAGCTAATTTTTTTATTTTAAGTAGAGATGGGGTTTCACCATCTTCGCCAGGCTGGTCTTGAACTTCTGACGTCATGATCCACCCACCACAGCCTCCCAAAGTACTGGGATTACAGGCGTGAGCCACTGCACCCAGCACTGAATATATATTATGTATCTAAAATAATTTAATGTTTTATCAGAATCTCTCTTCAAATCTTCTTTTCCATTAAGTTTTCATTTCTCTCCTGACTCTCTTAGTAAGAACACTAACTGGGCTTCCGTGAGATACAGATCATTATGAGCTTAGCAACATTCGGTTACACATATTCAAAACTTTTCAGTCAGGTCGGGCGCGGTGGCTCACGCCTGTAATCCCAACACTTTGGGAGGCTGAGGCGGGTGGATCACGAGGCCAGGAGTTCAAGACCAGCCTAACAAACATGGTGAAACCCCATCTCTACTAAAAATACAAAAATTAGCCGGGTGTGGTGGCACACGCCTGTAATCCCAGCTACTCAGGAGGCTGAGGCAGAAGAATTGCTTGAACCCCAGAGGTGGAGGTTGCAGCAAGCTGAGATCGTTGGGCGACAGAGCTAGACTCCATCTCAAAAAAAAAAAAAAAGAACTTTTCAGTCACCTGAATTCTATCCCGACATTTTTAGTACAGGAAGATAAAAAACAAACTTGAGCTGAAACCATGCCAGCTGGAAGGTACACATTTATATTACTAGATCTACCTATCTACATACCACTTTAAAACCACACATCGAATTTAAACATTCTCTACCTGCAACAAAGAAAGCCTTGTTGCTTTGATATACCTGGCTAAAGTACTTCTATTTTTCTCCACAGTTAAAGAAATTAAATAATCACTCTTTCATTTACCAGACAATTTTTTAAAAGTGGCACTCATTCAAGTCCATTTGAAGAATCTGTTCTTCCAGCAGTTTGATCTAATTTACAATCAATTGAACTTAAGTACTTCTTCGGAACAGTATGTTCAACTGCTACTACTTTGACTTTCTATAGACAAAATAGTTTAAGAAAAAATCATAAATGTTATGAGGCCTTAAAATGAAACTTCTTTTCAGTATAATGTAAAGGAGAGAGGAAATCAAAATATAAAATGTAAGTTAAAAGATCAAATGTGTAAATTATTTTATTTTATTTATTTTTTTATTTTTTTTTTTGAGACGGAGTCTCGCTCTGTCGCCCAGGCTGGAGTGCGGTGGCGCGATCTCGGCTCACTGCAAGCTCCGCCTCCCGGGTTCACGCCATTCTCCTGCCTCAACCTCCCGAGTAGCTGGGACCACAGGCGCCCGCCACCACGCCAGGCTAATTTTTTGTATTTTTAGTAGAGACAGGGTTTCGCCGAGTTAGCCAGGATGGTCTCTATCTCCTGACCTTGTGATCCGCCCACCTGGGCCTCCCAAAGTGCTGGGATTACAGGCGTGAGCCACTGCGCCCGGCCTTAAATTATTTTTTATTAAAGAAGTCTCAGAGTAACCAATAACCATTTTGACAAGGAATGTCTAGGTGAAATCAAAAGTAAAAAGGCAACCAGGTGTGGTGGCTCTTGCCTGTAATCCCAGCAACCTGCGAGGCCAAAGAGGTCGGATCCCTTGAGCCCAGGAGTTCAAGACCAGCCTGGGCAATATAGGAAGACCCCCCCCATATCTATAAAAAAATACAAATACGAATATTAGCCAGGCATGGTGGTACACGCCTGTAATATCAGCTACTTGGGAGGGTGAGGTGGGAGGATGGCTTGAGACCAGGAGACAGAGGTTGTGGTAGTTGAGATCATGCCACTGCCCCCCAGCCTGGGTGACAGAGCGAGACTCTCTCAAAAAAAAAAAAAGTAAAAAGCAATCCAGCTCCAATACTGATGTACTTGTAAGAGTTTATGCCAAACTTGGTATCTATTTAAAAATCAGCTCATACGGGAATAAGATTTCCAGTCAAAATGGACTACTTTCATACTAAAATTATAAGGTCTAAAACAGTTCTCGGCCGGGCGCGGTGGCTCACGCCTGTAATCCCAGCACTTTGGGAGGCCGAAGCGGGTGGATCACGAGGTCAGGAGATCAAGACCATCCTGGCTAACACGGTGAAACCCCGTCTCTACTAAAAATACAAAAAAATTAGCCAGGCGTGGTGGCGGGAGCCTGTAGTCCCAGCTACTCCGGAGGGTGACGCAGGAGAATGGCGTGAACCCGGGAGGCGGAGCTTGCAGTGAGCCGAGATCGCGCCACTGCACTCCAGGCTGGGGGACAGAGCGAGACCCCGTCTCAAAAAAAAATAAAAAATAAAATAAAATAAAACAGTTCTCATTTTATAGACACTAATCGAGTTCCACATTCTATACCATGTTTCTTTTTAGCATGTTCTTCCCCTGTAACTAACTCCATTATTTAGCTTCTAATCTTCATATTGTCTCATAAAGCAAATGTTTTTCTCTGAATTAGGAGTATGACTTATCTCAATTTTAAACTATAGTACAAAAAGAAAAAAAAACTTTAAGAAAAACATAAAAACGAAGCCTCTTTGAGGAGCCTTTCATGTTCAAAGTACTTAATTTTTCAAATAACTCATCAGCTTTATTATGCGTATTATATTCATTTTATACTTATGAAAATATGATTTCCCTAGTACCACAAAATAAGTTAATCTTGGAAGTGGAATTTTAATTGTGACATTTGCCCGGGTGTGGTGGCTCACATCTGTAATCCCAGCACTTTGGGAGGCATGCAGATCACCTGAGATCAGGAGTTCAAGACCAGCCTGGCCAACATAGCAAAACCCTGTCTCTACTAAAAATACAAAAATTAGCTAGGTATGATGGTGGACACCTGTAATCTCAGCCACTCAGGAGGCTGAGGCAGGGAGAACTGCTTGAACTCACGAGGCAGAGATAGCAGTGAGCTTAGATGATGCCACTGCACTCCAGCCTGGGCATCAGAGCAAGACTCTGTCTCAAAAAAAATAAAAATAAAAATAAATTTAAAAGTAAAATAAATTGTGACATTTATTTCACAATACTGTTAGGTTATACTATTCAATATTTCCCATAAACATTTTACCCTTTTTCTTTTTCTTTTTTTGAGTCAGGGTCTCACTCTGTCGCACAGGCTGGAGTGCAGCGGCGCAGTCATGGCTCACTGCAGCCTCGGCCACCTGGGCTCAATAGATCCTCCCACCTCAGCCTCCCAAATAGCTGGGACTACAGGCACGCACCACTATGCCTAGCTAATATTTTTGTTTGTTTGTTTGTTTTTGTTTCGCCATGTGGCCCAGGCTGGTCTCAAACTCATGGGCTCAGGGATCTGCTCGCCTCAGCCTCCCAAAGTGCTGGGATTATAGGCGTGAGCCACTTCACCCAGCTGAATTTACCCATTTCTAAAGTAACAAACACTGAAGTCTTAACCTGAAAATGTCTCTCTCTCTCTCTCTCACACACACACACACACACACCCCACATATGCACATGCAGACAGCAAATTAAAATGGAAAACAGCTCTTACCTTCATCTCCTTCTGGTGCATATGAAGCTGTAATAATATCAATATCAGCACAATTCATCACAATCTGATTAGTCGCCTGCCTCACCTAAGGGGAAAAGGAAAATCAACAGTGTCAGAAATAGCCTAGATTAATAGTATATACAACTTGGCCAGGTGTGTTGGCACACACCTGTAATCCCAGCACTTTGGGAGGCTAAGCAAAGAGGATCGCTTGAGCCCAGGAGTTTGAGACCAGCCTGGAAAACATGGCGAAACCCCATCTCTACAAAAAATACAAAAATTGGCCAGGAGTTGTGATGTGTGCCTATAGTCCCAGCTACTCGGGAGGTTGAAGTGGGAGGACTGCTTGAGCCCAGGAGGTTGAGGCTGCAATAAACTGTGATTGTGCAGCTGCACTCCATCCTGGGCAACTGAGCAAGACTCTGTGTCTCTCAAATAATAATAATAATGATGTTCGTAAGACTTGAACTAATATCACAGTCAATTTTTTAAAATCCAGACTTCGCTAAAACCTAGACTGAGAATTTATGCATCAATGGTACAAATAAATGAAGTTTTAATAATCCAAAGCAACTCATATTTTCCAAATTATATTAAAAACAATAATGGATGTTTAAGTATTTCACATCACTTACATCTAACCAATGAGCCAAATAAAATAATGTTTTCTACTTAAACTTTGATTTTAAACTATTAAAGGGCTGGGCACAGTGGCTCATGCCTGTAATCCCAACACTTTGGGAGGCTGAGGCAGGAGGATTACTTGAGGTCAAAAATTCAAGACCAGCTTGGGCAACACAGTGAGACAAAAAAAAATTTTAAATTAGGAGGGTGTGATGGTACCCACCTATAGTCCTAACTACAGGAGAGGCTGAAGGAGGAGGATCCCTTAAGCCCAGGAGGTCAAGCAAGGCTGCAGTGAGCTATGATTACATCACTGACCTCCGGCCTGAACAACAGAGTGAGACTCTGTCTCAAAAAATAAAAATAGGCTGGGGGCATCGGCTCACACCTGTAATCTTGGCACCTTGGGAGGCCGAGGCAGGCGGATCACTTGAGGTCAGGAGTTTGAGATCAGCCTGGCCAACATGGTGTAACCCCATCTCTACTAAAAATTAGCCAGGTCTGGTGGCACACACCTGTAATCCCAGCTACTCACGATGCAGGGGCAGGAGAATCACTTGAACCCAGGAGGTGAGCTTGCAATGGGCCGAGATCGCACCATTGCACTGCAGCCTGGGCGACAGAGTGAGCCTACGTCTCAAAAAAAAAAAAAAGAATACAAAAATCAGCCAGGCAAGGTGGCATAGGCCTGTAATTCCAGCTACTCAGGGGGCTGAGGCACGACAATTGCTTAAACCCGGGAGGCAGAGATTGCAGTGGGCTGAAATCCTGCCACTACACTCCAGCCTGGTAACAGAGTGATACTCTATCTCAAAATAAATAAATAAATACGTTTAATTTCATAAAAATCTTAATTAGGAAACATTTCTTACAACATATTGCAATAATTATATATTTTAACCTGCACATCAAACTCACCATGAGGCCTTCTGTGAGGATAGAGGAAGAAGGCTGATACTATAAATTATGTCAAAACTTTATACAATAACTCTTACCACCGAGTGTGGTGGCTCACACCTGTAATCCTAGCACTTTTGGAGGGTCAGGCAGGCAGATCACTTGAGGCCAGGAATTCAAGACCAGCCTGGCTGACATAGAGAGTAGAGAGACCCCATCTCCACTAAAAATACAAAAATTAAGGCCGGGCACGGTGGCTCACGCCTGTAATCCCAGCACTTTGGGAGGCCGAGGCAGGCGGATCATGAGGTCAGGAGATCGAGACCATCCTGGCTAACATGGTGAAACCCCGTCTCTGCTAAAAATACAAAAAATTAGCCGGGCATGGTGGCAGGTGCCTGTAGTCCCAGCTACTCGGGAGGCTGAGGCAGGAGAATGATGTGAACCTGGGAGACGGAGCTTGCAGTGAGCGGAGATTGTGCCACCACGCTCCAGCCTGAGCAACAGAGCAAGACTCTGTCTCAAAAATAAATAAATAAATAAATAAACAAACAAACTAGCATCTTGGTCCATGTTTTCCTGTGCACACATGAGAGAATTTTTCCATGGAAAGGAACCTAATAGTGGACTTTCTGGATTGTTGGACATAAATCTTCAACTTTACCAAGAACTGCCAAATTATCCTCTAGAGTGGTGTCAACTGACATTCCCATGAGCAAAGAATGAAGAAATCCCACTTTCAGCATGTTCTGAAAAACTTTAGTATTTTTGACAATCTAATGGGTATTAAATGATAGTCCTGGCCAGGCACAGTGGCTCACGCCTGTAATCCCAGCACTTTGGGAGGCTGAGGTGGGTGGATCACTTGAGGTCAGGAGTTCAACACCAGCCTGACCAACATGGTGAAACCCCATTTCTACTAAAAAAAAAAAAAAAAAAAAAAAAAAAATTAGCCAGGCCTGTGGTGCGTGCCTGTAATCCCAGCTACTTGGAAGGCTGAAGCAGGAGAATCACTTGAACCCAGGTAGTGGAGGTTGCAGTGAGCTAGATTGAGCCATTGCACTCCAGCCTGGGCAACAAGAGCAAAACTTTGTCTCAAAAATTAAAAAAAAAAATTTTTGTACTGATAGTCCATTGGTTTAATCAGAATTTCCCTGATTACTAATAACATTGGTTACTATGCATCTTTTCTCGTGTGTGTGTGTGTGTGTGTGTGCACGCGCCATTAAGTTTTTCCACTGTGAACTGCTTGTTTAACACTCTTGTGCATTTTTCTTTTTTTTTTTTTTTTTTGAGATGGAGTCTCGCTCTCTCACCCAGGCTGGAGTGCAATGATGCGATCTTGGCTCACTGCAACCTCCATCTCCTAGGTTCAAGTGATTCTCCTGCCTCAGCCTCCTGAGTAGCTGGGATTACAGGTGTGCAACACCACACCCATCTAATTTTTGTATTTTTAGTAGAGATGGGGTTTCACCTTGTTGGTCAGGCTGGTCTCAAACTCCTGACCTCGTGATTCGCCCGTCTCAGCCTCCCAAAGTGCTGAGATTACAGACGTCAGCCACCACGCCTGGCCTCTTGTGCATTTTTCAATTTAGTCATAACCTTGCTTAAAACAAAACTTGTTTTGTTTTAAACAAAACTTCAAATTCATTTCCAGACATTTGAATGTTCTAAATCTAAAATAACAAAAACACAGATGCCCTAAATCACAAAGAAATGCTTCCTGAGGCAGGTAAGTGTAGCAAGCCATGTGGAAGCTGTGCACAACCCCTTAAAAGAAGGAGGTGGTAGCCATTTCTTGGAGCCAAAGAATTATCGCTATGGTGACTGGCAGGTTTAGTGCTGACAGATCTTCCAATTTTTTTTTTTTTTTTTTGAGACGGAGTTTTGCTCTTGTTGCCCAGGCTGGAGTGCAATGGCGTGATCTCGGCTCACCGCAACCTCCGCCTCCCAGGTTCAAGCGATTTTCCTGCCTCAGCCTCCCTAGTAGCTGGGATTACAGGCATGTGCCACCACGCCCGGTAAATTTTGTATTTCTAGTACAGACGGGGTTTCTCCATGTTGGTCAGGCTGGTCTCGAACTCCCGACCTCAGGTGATCTGACCGCCTCGGCCTCCCAAAGTGCTGGGATTACAGGCATGAGCCACCGCACCTGGCCTGATCTTCCAATTTTTTTTTTAAAAGCTACAAATTCAGATTTCATGTGCAGTCTCTCTATTTTTTATTAATGGTAACTAATTCAAGTTTTCAGAAACACTGTATAGACCAAACAAAATCTGTGTGCAGATCAACAATGCTCTTAGACAACTGAACATACCACAAAACTAGGTAAGAACATCAGAGTAGTACGATATCTGCATGAAAGACCTGTATACGGGTAATCATTTATTAATAACCAATACATATTTAAACATGATTAGCTGGCAACTAAAATTACCTGCCTAAATGAGAGACAGTAAATTGCAAAGTCTATAATGAGCTATTCAAAATCTGTAACACATAAAGTGAAACTACTTTGGCTTACAAAAAAAAATGCTTCTCATAAGTCTTCATGTTTCAAAACAAAGACGTCATTTAATGAATGGCTTATCTTTTAAGCAGCAATATTCCTTCACACTATTTCACCAAAACATACCTAAATAGCACTAAAACCTTTGTGTCCAACTGGCGATTTATAGCACTAAAGTTGAACAAAAAAACAAAAAGAATTCTTTGCCTATTCAGAAGTTGACTTAAAAATTCAGAAACATGGCTGGGCACGGCAGCTCATGCCTGTAATCCCAGAACTTCGGGAGGCCAAGGTGGGTGGATCACGAGGTCAGGGGTTCGAGACCAGCCTGGCTAACATGGTGAAACCCCATCTCTACTAAAAATACAAAGATTAGCTGGGCGTGGTGGCAGGCACCTGTAATCCCAGCTACTCGGGAGGCTGAGGCAGGAGAATCGCTTGAACCCAGGAGGTGGAGGTTGCAGTGAGCCGAAATCGCGCCATTGCACTCCAACCTGGGCGACAAAAGCAAGACTCCATCTTAAAAAAAAAAAAAATCAGAAACACAAAGAAATGAAGCACTTACTGGGGTATGCTCCAATGGGTAAAATGAATAAAAACCTTTCTGAGTTTGAAGTTTATGCCAGCAAAATAATAACTGTGGTTTAGTTACTGGTCTTAATCATTACCTAGGCAACCACACTTTCATCCATCAACATCTACAGTGAATTTCACAGTAGCCAAGCAGTTAATCCACCAATGTCAAGATACCTGTACAACATTATACATGCCAAATCACACAGCACATTACTACTGCAACCATTTGAGAGAAAGTATTTGTGCATTTTGGAAAGGCACCATGCACAACATCCAATTTCAAGTACCTTCCAACTCCTCCTGTGTTTAGGGGAAACTCATCTATTTATACTAATGAATTAAGCTGTTTCTTGAATTGCTACTAATTTTTTTTTTCCAGGATACTACCATTTCTGGAAGGGTGGGAGGGAGGAACCAAAGGAACAAAGGTACTTATCTTAAAAATAGAAATCCATTCACATTTTAAAAATTGGTCAGCATCTTGTCTTATATTAGAGATGCACTTATTTAAAAAGTTGACCAATAATGGGATAATCTATGTAAAGTCTCTGTTTTAGCACTTAGTGCCTCATATGTAGTCATCACTTAATAGATGTTAAGACATACATATACACACACACAGGTTAAATTGTGCTCTCATATCATCTAACAGCATTCACCTAACAGTTTATAAAGCTTCTGATCAGAATGATATGAAGTTTAAAAACTATGTATTGTATTATATGGCACTTTGGATATCAGCATATGTGTACTACCCCAAGAAGGTAATTTAAAATATCTGTCTGGACATAAGTGTATGTGCTGACTACAACGCAGTATAACACTGCTCTTTGTGATGCTGCTCTTCCAAACAGTAGTGCTGACCTGATGGTGTAGTACATGATTTCTCACCTTTGACACCTTCATATTAGTAAATATTAGCTGTGTGTTCCACTATCAAAAAAACAGGTAATAATTCAAAGAAATTTCAGCATTAAAATCTTCAGTTTCCCAGTTTAAAACACAAGTGAAACAAGGTTGGCATATAAAAGTGCACTGATAACAAGCTCATTTTCAATTTTTCTACTTGATGTTATTAAAGGATAGAATGTTAGTGTATCCTTGCTTTGTTTCAAACCCAGGATTAAGTCTTCTTGGCCTCCTATATAGACTGCACTTCAACTGAGCCAAATACTAAGTAAGGGCTGTACCAAAGAGGCAGCTTGACGCCTGGTAACAACTTTACAATGGAAGTTTCCTATGAGCTAGGGAGGCAGAAATCGGAGATAACATTTTCCTGAATGAGTCTTTACTATAGTCACTCAGGAACATATCTTACATGTACGATAGTAAGACTCAAGAGGGTTTTTTTCTGATTGTCAATGTCCTGAGACTTCAGTAAAAGAAAATCTCCAGTGTGACAATTCCAAATGCCAGTCTGAAGCCTGAGTCAATTTGCCTAATAAAACTGATTTCACCATTAAAATAGCAATAATTGTTGCCTTGGTGGAACAGTTCTATAATAGCTAAAGACAAGAAGAAGCAGATAATTAGTAAACTCAAGTTGAGCCAAGTTTTCTAACAAGAAACACTGAAAAGAGCCATTTGCAGAAGGTCAAAAATAATTACCATTAATGTAAAAATGCAAAAGGCACAGAATATTGGTATGTGATGTTTGTGGCTACTAATATGCAATTAAAGTTTTAAACTATACGTAGGAATAAAAAGGAATAATACGCACCTACCTGAAGAAAGAAGTTACTTCTAGAGGCAGGGTGGGACGAGATGGAAACGGGCTTTAGTGGTATCTGTGACATTTTATTCCCCCCCAAAAAAAGCATGCACAGTCTGATGAAAATGGGGCAAAATGTTAACATCTGTTTAATCTCATAGTGTGTGACTTTCTTGTATTTCTAAAATACTTCCTAATTTAAAATAAAATTTTAAAGAGATTACAAGTGACCAAATAAACCAAGAACCACATACTTGTATGGTGTTCAAAACAAAATCACTAAAATCTAGAGAACTAATCTCAGTTAACAACAAAAGCCATCCGAAGGCTCAGTTATTTCCAACTGACTCACATACAGATTAGAGTAAGATTTACTTCACAACAAGAGCAGGCTCATTTATGTGGCAAAGTTCGGAGAAGCTTCACAGATAATTTACTACTCAAGACCACATTTACCCAGGTTGTATCAGAGTATCAGTTGTATCTAGAACCAGGAAGCTAAAAAGAAAGAAAAAAAAAAAGGCCTGGATGAAAAGCCAAAATAGGTGATACAAAGTCCGTACAATAAAACACATACCCTTTACTCAGAAGAGAATCCAACAAACTCTCACACAGCAATTGATTTTTTAGCCCAAACAAGCTTGTTTATCTGGCTACTAAGGCTTCTTCAGATGAAGTTCAGTAAAATACAAGAGGGAAGAAATTGCACAACAGGCAGCAACAAGGCACAATAAGCAGCAAGAAGAATCTGAGAGTAAGGAAAACAAAACAATTTTAAAGAACAGACACAGGCTAGCCGGGTGCGGTGGCTCAGGCCTGTAATCCCAGCACTTTGGGAGGCCGAGGCGGGTGGATCACAAGGTCACGAGTTCGAGACCAGCCTGGCCAATATGGTGAAACCCCTTCTCTACTAAAAATTCAAAAATTAGCCTGGCATGATGGCAGGTGCCTGTAGTCCCAGCTACTTGGATGAGGCAGGAGAATCGCTTAAACCCGGGAGGCGGAGGTTGCAGTGAGCTGCGATCACGCCACTGCACTCCGGCCTTGGCGACAGAGAAAGACTCTGTCTCAAAAAAAAAAAAAAAAAAAAAAGAACAGATATGGACTAGGCGCGGTGGGTCATGCCTGTAATCCCAGCACTTTGGGAGGCAGAGGCGGGCGGATCACCTGAGGTCGGGTGTTTGAGACCAGCCTAGCTAACATGGTGAAACCTGGTCTCTACAGAAATACAAAAATTAGCCAGGTGTGGTGGCATGCACCTGTAATCCCAGCTACTAGGGAGGCTGAGGCAGGAGAATCCCTTGAACTAGGGAAGTGGAGTTTGCAGTGAGCCGAGATCGCACCACTGCACACTCCAGCCTGGCCTAGGCAACAGAGTGAGACTCTGTCTCAAAAAAAAAAAAAAAAAAAAAAAGAACAGATATGGCTTGGCGCGGTGGCTCACACTTGTAATCCCAGCACTTTGGCAGGCGGAGGCAGGCAGATCACCTGATGTCAGGAGTTCAAGACCAGCCTGGCCAACATGGTGAAACCCTGTCTCTACTAAAAATACAAAATTAGCCAGGCGTGGTGGTGCATGCCTGTAATCCCAGCTACTAGGGAGGCTGAGGCAGGAGAACTGCCTGAACCCGGGAGGCAGAGGTTGCAGTGAGCCGAGATTGTGCCACTGCACAATCTCCCTCCTGCCATCTTGTGAAGAAGGTGCCTGCTTCCCCTTCCCCTTCTGCCATGATTGTAAGTTTCCGGAACTGCAAGTCAATTAAGCCTGTTTCCTTTATAAATTACCCAATCTCAGGTATTTCTTTACATCAGTGTGAAAACAAATGAATACAGTCCCCTTCCCTGAGGTGCCTTCTCCTTAGGCAACCAGCTGCCCCCATGCTCCTCTTCTGCCCCCCTGGTATTTCCTTTCCCCTCATGAGGCCCAAGTGATCCACATGGCCAGCCACAGCCCCATCCTACTGCAGGCCTGTGTGGCTGCTAGAGAGGCCAGGCTCCTTTCCGCACCCCGAGGCTGCCTGATATGCTTTCTGCATCCTGTAGAAAACTGACCCACTATTCTCATACTGGTGCAACTTCTTCCATTACCTCAAAACTGGACAACGTGAACTTGTTTCTTGTCTCTTCTTGCTAGGGCTGTCACTGGGACAGTCCGAGATGGGGGGGTGGGGGGAGACAATGGATGAATGGATGGATGAATGGACAGTAGTCCAGGGAGATGTCCCTGTGTGTCCTGAACTGGGACCTTCCTCCAATGAGAAGCCTTCCTGAGTGAGTTTATACAGTCATCCCTTGGTATCCATGGATTAGTTCTAGGGTCCCCGGGGATGCCAAAATCCATGGATCCTCAAGTCTCTGACATAACATGGCCTAGTATTTACATATCAGCTATGCACATCCTCCCGTAGACATTAGACCATCTCTGGATTATTCATGATGTGTAATACAATGCAGATGCTACATAAATGGTCGTGATACTGGATTCTTTAGGGAATAATGACAAGAACAAACTCTGCACATGTTCAATAGAAACATAACCGTCCAATTTATTTTCTGAATATTTTCCATCTGCTGTTGCTGAATCTACAGATGCAGAGCTCCTGGATACGAGAGCCAAGTGTGCTTTGAGAGTAGGGTGGGTGAGGTTGCTAATGAGTACAGGGGAGCAGGTGTTGATCAGGAGGACCCTGCACTGGGGCATCTGGACGTCCTGCCTCAGGACTTGAGACTCCAGTTGGATGGCACAGGCAGACTCAGCCCAGGTCAAAGCCGTCCCCTTGAAGTTTCTTTTTATCCCAAGCTCTTTCTGGCCCCTGGAATTTGGCATCCCCTAGGCCCTGTGTGGAAGGACAGATGAGCCAGGTTTTAGATAACATGTCTAGAAGAGTGAGCCCCTACTGTGTGCCCGGCACTTTCCCCACAGGATCCTCTAGCTAGAATATCCAAGGGTCATGGAGAGAAATACCCAGTTAAAATATCAGAAATGAAAAAGCGATACCATTAGAGACACTAAAAAGACCATTAGGTAATAGTACTAGCTTTTGTATTCTGAGATCCAACAGCAGCAGTCACTTCCCTCCACCCCTATGTGTATCCCAGGACCACCCTGGGCGGGGAGGGCTGAGGTTAGGGAGCAGCCATGGATGCTCTGATGCTGGCCCTGGGCCTCGGGGGTGACAGTGATGAGGAACTGGGTGCACACATGAGTGGGGCAGCCGGGCCTGGCCAGAGAAGCAGCACACACGTGCACAGATGTGTATACCCACATACACATGTCCACGCACGTGCACAAACACATTGCAGGCAGGCATGTTGACGCCTCAGGCAGCGGAGGACCCTGACTCTGGGCGCTGCTGACCCGGGCAAGGCCCCACTGTGATTCGTGCCATGACCTCAGAATGTCACTGGTGCTTAGCACCTATCTGCTCTCTGGTCTGCCTCAGTGGTCTACAGCAGTTACACACAGGCAGTGGTATCTGTGAGCAGCTCTGTGGACTCAAAGGTTTTCTCCCTGAGAGGCATGACCCAGGCCAGCTGATTCATCAGAATCAGGTGAGCGTGACCTGCTCTCTTCCCTCCAGGCGGACTTGGGGGCAGTGGCTACGGTGCGGGCGGTGTTGGCCTCTGTGGGGCAGCTACCGAGGAGGGTCATCCCTGAGCACTCACCAGGCGCCCGTTCTACACTGCCCGTGTAGACGATTGGCTCTTTCGTCTCCATGGTGGCTTCGTAGAGTGGGTGCTGTTCCCAAATGTCCCCATTCGACAGATGAGACGTCTGGGGTCAGAGAGGCAGTAACCGGCCTGGGAATCCGGACATGACCCTGAGTTTTGCTCTCAGCCCTGCCGTGTGCTGTGCTGGAATTCAGGCCTGAACCCTGTGACCTCCCTGCCCTAGATCCCAAATCTGCCCAGGTTTCCCATCCCGATGGGGCAGAGCCTGGTCCTGGCAGAGCCACTGGTATAGAGCCACTGGTACAGATCCACTGACGGTCCTCAGAACACCTCTGTGCCCTAAGCTGGGTCCTGATGGTCGCTGTGGGCCCCACTGAACACACATGGTCCCTTGTCCGGGGGAGCCTGCTGCCCTTGGGCAGCTGTGGAAAATGAAGGAGCCCTGGAGGGCTGGCTGAGGGGAGACTATCTTCCCTTGTGTTCAAAGGGGTCCGGGCACTAGGGTTCTCCCCAGGTATTTCTTGCTCTGCGTGGTCCTCTTGAGGCCTCGCCCTCCTTTTGCCTCGAGTATTCCCAGGAGGGACGGTCCATCCAGCTGTTCTCCAGGACCAAGGACCCACTGTTCTTCCTCAGTGACCCAGGAAAATGAAGCCTCCTCCTGTTGGGACGGCTCAGAATGGTGGACTCCACAGTCCCTCCGCGAGAGACGTGGTTTCCATGCGTACAATAGATCTTCCTCATCCTCCAAACCCAACACCCTCCTGCTCAACAGGCGTTATTCCTAAAGTGGCTTCACTGTTCAGACTGAAGAGCCACGGTAGCCAAAGTGATGAGCGGAGTAGAACCGAGCAGTCGGGAGAGATCTTGTTCCCTGTAGGAAACTGGGCATCGCTGAGGCCCTGAGCATCCCAGGAGGCCGATTGCACAGAGACCTCTGGTCGCTGACCCCAGTCTGCCTCCACATCCCTGGAATAGCCCATCATGGGCCCTTCACCCTTGGCAGGTGGAAACCATTCAACCTGCTGGGGCCGGTGTGTCCCCATTTCATGGCATTGGGGGACAACAGGATTCTCTGTCTAGGTCCCACTGTACTCAAGTCCTTGGGAAGATGCCCACCCCTGCTTGGGACTTGAGACTCCAGAGACTGGAGCAGCTGTGGGCCACTGGGTCTGGCCCCTTTTTCCCTGGGGGCGGCGGTGGAATGGGGGTTACGCAGCCAGCCAGCATCTGGGAGCCCGGCGAGAGCGGTTCAGGTGTTCTCCGAAGCCGCCGCGTACAGTGTGACCTTTAGACAATTCTGTCTCACAGGATGGACGTGGTAGAGGTCGCGGGCAGTTGGTGGGCACAAGAGCGAGAGGACATCATTATGAAATACGAAAAGGTACAAGTCGGTCTGCTTCTTGGAGGGAGGCCTCTTCCAGTGTGCCCTGGTCAAAGGGTCCTGGGCTCCCTAGGAGCACAGGGCAGGGACGGGTGGCCAATGCCCCCAGGCCCTTGCACCCTTTACCTTGGACCCCTCACCAAGGCTCCCTCTGGGCTACAGGGACACCGAGCTGGGCTGCCAGAGGACAAGGGGCCTAAGCCTTTTCGAAGCTACAACAACAACGTCGATCATTTGGGGATTGTACAGTGAGTCCTCTGCACTCCCCTCACCCCTAAAGCACCTGTCTCAGCTCAGGGATGGGTTTGCTTTTAGAAAGGCCTTTCTGACGCAGGACATGTCTCACCAGGTCGGGTCAACCTCCTTTCCAGGGACAGAACTCCTCCCTGACTCCCCTGCAGGTCCAGCCCGAGGTTGTTAGGCCAGAGGTGTGGGGCCCATCTAGGGAGCCGGTGGGAATGGAGACTGGGCTAGGTCAGGCCCCTGGGCGCTCAGCAGTTCTGTCGGCAAGTGAGCACAAGAGGAGCGGGGCAGCCTGAGGGTCTGGCCCTGTCTACTTGGAGACAACCCCGGTGAGATGCAAGGGTTATGGCCACAGGGTGAGGGGACGCCTGGCCCAGCCTCAGGGCTGTTGTCCAGCAGGTCTCTGAGGGCCCACCTGCCCCTGTTCTCCCCCATTCCCCTAGAGCTACAGCCCTCACTGTCCCGTGAGGGGAAAAGGCATGGTGACAATGGGGGCTGTAGCCCTAGGAGAACGGGGGAGAAGATGGGCAGGGCCCCGTTCTGGGCATCTCACGGTGAGGCCAGGGAGGCAGCAGGGCTCGCGGCTAAAGACCTGGGTCTGGTGCTGGGAAGGGATCTGGGGCCGGGTAAGAGGAGCCCAGCCAGAAGCCCATCCCTCAGGGATCACAGGATGGAGAGACAGAGGATCCCTGGGGAGGTAGGGCGGGAGGGAGCTGACGAGCGGTGCCACTTCTGAAACGCAGGGTGTGTGGCTCGGGTGCAGGGAGAGGCAGGTGGATGCTGGGAGGTCAGAACCTGCAAGGGCCTTGGGGCTGTCAAGTGGGGTGGGCCCCTGGTGCAGCCAGAGTACACCGGGCAGGTCTCAGGGCAGGCTCCCTTGACCCTGGCGGGGGGATGTGGTCACTCCCTGAGGGACTCCTGTCAGGGCCCGGTCGCCCACCCTGGGCGGCCCCCATCCCATCTCAGGGCTAACCTTTCTCAGCTCCAGCAGAAAGCACCACCTCGAGTCCAGGACGGGCAGCCCCATTGGGCAGCCTGACCGCCCCCCACGCCAGGGGCCCCAGTAACCCCGGCCAGGCTGTCCCTACACTCCTTCTTCTCCCAGGTCCTGCCCCTCCTGGGAGTCAGCCCCACAGGAAGGCCCTTGTCCTCCCTTCCCTGTGCCTTCTCCTGGGCTGAGCCCTGAGCTGGAAAGGGACAGAGCCAGTCCTTTCTGGGGGTCGGCACCCAGGCTGGGGCCGCTCCAGGCCCCGTGCAGTTCCTCAGCTCTGCCTGGGTTGCCTTACAGTGAGACGGAGCTGCCTCCTCTGACTGCGCGGGAGGCGAAGGTAAGAGCCTGATGCGTGGAGGGGCTGGTCCAGGGACGTAGGGACTGGGCGGGTGGTCAGTGAGGCAGAGGAAGCAGCTGGCCTGAGCGGTGGCGGGTGAGGGCAACACGCTGTCACTGGGAGGGGCAGCAGTCCCTGCTGGACCTGACCCCAGGTTGCTGTTCACTTTGGCAGTTTGATAAAATTCCAAAAGGAGAACCACAGTCCTGGCTTGGGGGTGGCTGCGCGCTTGTGTCAGGACCCCACCTAGAGGCTGGGACCTAAGACTGGTGTGTCTGTGGCCTGAGGATGGTACATCCCGGGGTCCCAAAGCCAGCCCACTGGTGCTCATTTGCTCAAAGGCTCTCAGCCCTTGAGGTCTGCCCTTCCCTGGCTCCTTCCAGCTGGCTCCCACCAGGGCTCCAGAGCCCAAGACCCAGCATCCGCGGGCGGCTCTGGGAAGCCTGGCAGCTCCGCTAACTCCAACATGCCTCATTTGACAGCAAATTCGGCGGGAGATCAGCCGAAAGAGCAAGTGGGTGGATATGCTGGGAGACTGGGAGAAATACAAAAGCAGCAGAAAGGTAACGTGTGGAGGGAGGAAGCACTCTCTGCAGAGACAGGGGACAGGCACCCATGGCTGTGGCCTGGCACCATCAGCCTCTCAGAGGGTGGGCGGCACACTGTCCTCGCCCAGAGGACTGCAGGCCTGGTCGCCAGATTTCCTGCCTATTCGTGCAAGCGTCACCTTGCAGGGAGGGAATCTGAATCTAGGGCTGGGACTACCCGGAGCTCAAGGCTAGGGATGCCCTGGGGACCTGAAGGAAGGAAAAGGTTCAGATCAGAGTTTCGACTCTGAGTGTCCATCCACTCTTTCAGTCCTGGGAAGGGAGACCCTGTCCCAGCTTGATCTCACCTCTACTGAGGAATCATGGGGCCAAAACCGACAATTTCCAGAATCCCCGGGCTCTGGTCCTCACTGGGGTCACCCCGTGGCCTGTGACACCAGATTGTTTTCTGCCTACAGCTCATAGATCGAGCGTACAAGGGAATGCCCATGAACATCCGGGGCCCGATGTGGTCAGTCCTCCTGAACACTGAGGAAATGAAGATGAAAAACCCCGGAAGATACCAGGTACGCTCAGCCAGAGCACAACAAACAGGACAGGCCGTGTCGGTGCCCAGGTCTCCAGCTGGAGGGAACGTCAAGACCACCCTGGGGAGCTGGGGGTGAAGGTCAGATGAACACCCTGGGCACAGATGGTGACACAGTCACCACAGACAAACTCAGCTCTGGTGACCCTCCCTGGCTTCAGTAACAAGCCAAAATGCAGCTTTCTGCAGAAGGAAACCTTCCTTCTGTCCTTCCTTCCCGAAGTGCTGACTGTGGGCTGACTGCCACTGGGGGCAGGGAGTCTTCCATCTGTTCTGAGACTGCTTCCTCCTCTTGGCCCTGCCCTACAGATCATGAAGGAGAAGGGCAAGAGGTCATCTGAGCACATCCAGCGCATCGACCGGGACGTAAGCGGGACATTAAGGAAGCATATATTCTTCAGGGATCGATACGGAACCAAGTAAGCCTACGGGAGCCACAGGGTCCCAGCAGAGATGGGGTGAATGAGAGGGATGGGGGCTTCCCCGGAGCAGAAGCCAGGGTCACCCAGGAGGGATGACACAGCTGCCAAGAGCTCTCCCGGCCCAGGGAGCAGCCGGCACCATGAACCGAGCACCTCCCTGGTTCCAAGCCCTGGGCCAGACTGGAACATGTGGGGCCAGAACCCAGGAGGATCCTGAGGAGATGGAAGGCAGCAAACAAAATCATGCACAATGGTGAAGGGTGCTCTCCCTGACCCATGGGGACCCATGGTAGGACCCACGGGAGGGTGGCAGGATAGAGGGCCCATGAGCCCCCGCCAGGCAACAGTGACAGCACCAAATGCTGGGAGAATTAGGGGTCCTGGAAACTCTCATCCAGGTCCGCTGGGAACATGACATGGCACAGCCACGTTGGCAGCCCGTTGGGCAGTGGCTCACAAAGCTCGATGGACTTGAACCACACATCCCCAAAGTGTCACAGATATTGAACCCACTGATTTGCAAACTGACATCCACATGAAACCAGCATGCCAGGTTCACTGCTTGACTCCTCGTCACTCACACACGGAGCCTTCGGGGACGGCCTTCAACACGGGGATGGGGAGAGCAAGGCTGGTCCTCCCTTCAAACGGAAGACCCAGTGAGAAAAGGGAACGAGCCGGTGATGCCCGCACGAACGTGGGTGGATCCTAGATGCATTTTGCTGAGGGACAGAAGCCAGACCCAATAAGCTACCACAGTAGGATTCCCATTCCTAGGCCATTCTGGAAAAGGCCAAACCACAGGGACTGAGAAGCAGTCTGGGTGGCCAGGGGCTGACGGATCGGGGAGAGGCTGGTTGCATAGGGGCCACCCTGGAGACTTGGAGGATGAAGGAGTCGCCCCAGGAGGGGCTGGAGCGGTGGCCGGGAGACTCTGCACATCGGTTTGGAACCGTGGAGGAACTGTACACCCACAGACTGAACTGGCGTGTGTGCAAACTGAAAAAAAAAATCATTCAGAGTGAAAAGGATCAGGCAAGTCACTGTACAACTGGGCTATTTGCATGTCACAGATGTGGATTTTACTGAAACATTTCTTCAAGAGTCTCAGGCCCTGAAGAGCTCACTGCTTATCTGGTGAAACATCTGAACCTGAAATGGGATTTGCTGTTAGGCTTTGTAGACAAAGTGAAATTAACAACATCTGCACAAAACAAACCAAAGCCCCCTTTCTCTGTTTCCTAGGCAGCGGGAACTACTCCACATCCTCCTGGCATATGAGGAGTATAACCCGGTGAGTATTCCCGGCAGTGAGGTTCCCGGGCCATATTTCCATATTGACAGGAGTGGGTGTCTGGTGGGGGTGTCGTTGCTTCTTTTAAAGTTAGTATTTGTGACCCACCAGGATATAGGAGGTAGGATGTCAGCTCACCGCTGGCATAAACCTCCAAGGAAGGGGGTGGTCTCAAGGGGTCAAGCTGAGACACAAAGGAGTCAGGGCCGGGACTCCTGGTGTCACCTGGGCCTGACCACCACTTCTCAGAACAAGAAATGACGCCCTCCTCCTGGGGCTGCCCCAAAGCCCAGGAGCTTGGCAGCATCGCACACAGGATGGTGCTATCAGCAGACATTTTGGACAAGGTGCTGAAGTGCCTGATGGACTTGGCTCTTGTCATGAAATGAATGTGCATCCTGAGGAAGCCTCTTTTTCAGAGGAAGCCTCTCCTTCAGAGGAAGCCTCTCCAGTCACCTCTGCCCTCTCCAATGACATGAGTCCTCCCAGGTGACCTCAGCCCTCCCAGGTGATGTCCTTCCATGGTGACTCTGGCTCTTGCAGGAGGTGGGCTACTGCAGGGACCTGAGCCACATCGCCGCCTTGTTCCTCCTCTATCTTCCTGAGGAGGATGCATTCTGGGCACTGGTGCAGCTGCTGGCCAGTGAGAGGCACTCCCTGCAGGGTAAGTGAACAGCTGCCCCGGGGACCTCCTGCAGCCAGACCTGGGGATGGCCACCCTGGCCGGGTGATCACAGCTTTCAGCCAAGGCACCCTCCTTGTGTCGCCAGCTTGTTGGGAGACTTTAGAATGTCTCTGCTGAGGGTCCCACAGGAGTCCACGGCTGACCCCCAAAGCCCAAATCAGACGCCTGTCATCCCCATCAGCAGAGGGCATCTCATCCTCCCCGTGGCCACCCTCTGTGTCCTGGAGCCACGCCCTCCGGCTCTGATTCTGTGCAGCTGACTCTCCCCTCCCTGAGAGTCCTCCTGCCCTCCAGCTGCCCAGGCTCCTGCTGCCATCGGTGCCCACGAATGGGCCGACCAAGCCCAGGTGGCAGCATCTCCCCATCCCCTGTTCCCTGGCCCGACCCCACTACCAGGAGATGACCGGGAAGCCCAGCGCCCACCCAGTTCCGGCCACCCTGTCGTGGCCTGAAAGTCAGGCTTGCCCTTTTTGCACCCTGGCCCAGGAGGCCTCCAGGGGAACCTCCAGCCAGGCTCCAGGGAATGTTCCCGCCCCACCTCCCCAGGGTAAAGGCCGCATGTTGGGGTCACCAGATGGGAGGGTGGGAGGCCTTGGGGTTTGGGGGCCTCTCCAGCTGCCCAGCTCTTGCAGCTGATGGCTCCACATCTTGGGGGAAGGCTCTGATTTCATGATGGGCTGGGGGCTTCTCAGGATTTCACAGCCCAAATGGCGGGACCGTCCAGGGGCTCCAAGACCAACAGGAGCATGTGGTAGCCACGTCACAACCCAAGACCATGGGGCATCAGGTGAGTTTATGGTCCCCTCAGCTCTTCCCAGAGGCCCTGCCTCCCGTGGGGCTGTAGGAGCAGGGGGGCTGGAGCCCCTCGTGGGGCTGGTGACTGGCTGAGTCCCAGCCAGGGCCTGACCTGGGACGTCGGGTTCTCCATGGGCTGGGAGTTGGTTTCCTTTCCTGCCCTGGAGGAGACAGAGGCACAGGGATGGGGGCCCAGCTCCCGCAGAGCAGGGCAAAGGGCAGTGTGTCCACCGGGAGTGTGGGAAGGTGACAGTGTTGTGGGGAGCTCTGGACACCGCCCAGTGTTCTGCACTAGGGGAAGGGTCTTCAGAGGCCCTGGAAGAGGGAGGTTTTTAGGGCAGCCCAGTGGCCTGAGCACCTCTGTTGCTTCCATCAGGACAAGAAAGATCTATGTGGGCAGTGTTCCCCGTTAGGCTGCCTCATCCGGATATTGATTGACGGGGTAAGGAGGCATAGGGAGACCCTGGCTCAGGGACCTTCCTTGCCCTGCAGTGCCCTGCTTCCCCAGCCCGGGGGTCTGGCTCACTCCCAGCCCACAGGAGGCTCAGGCGGGACCCCAAAGGACACACAAGCAAAACCCTCTGCCCAAGGGGGGTCATCCCAGGGCCATGGCTGGGGCTCAGGCCCAGCCTCATGGGCAGACTGGGCCAGGACCCGACTTGAGAGGGCTCAGGGAAGCCTCAAGCCCTGGGCAAGCCCCTCTCTCCAGGAGCCACATCCCCACTCAAATGAGTGCCCCCCATGAGGAGCTTCAAGACCTTGTCTGACCCAGCGTCCTGGAGGGCTCAGGCGACCCTCATGGGGAAGGTCACTGACTCTGGAGACTGAAGCCCCAGTGTGCGCAGCTCGAGCCACCAGCCCCAGCCTGGAAGGACCAGGTTCTTTCACACCTGCTGTCCCCACAGATCTCTCTCGGGCTCACCCTGCGCCTGTGGGACGTGTATCTGGTAGAAGGCGAACAGGCGTTGATGCCGATAACAAGAATCGCCTTTAAGGTTCAGCAGAGTAAGTCTACGTGTGCCCAGCGGGGCCTGGGGAGCCCTGGGGTCAGACCCCGACTGGCCCGAGGGCAGCTTCCTCACACTGTCCTCATGATCCTCTGTTCTGGCCCAGAGGGAGGTCTGGCCAGGTGGGCTGGGCAGGACACTGTGACACCGAGCCCATCCCCCACATGACCCAGATGAAAGTCGAGAGTGTGGTGAGCACTTCCCTGTCCGGATCGCCCCCCAGCCACAGTCTCCTGTGTATATCTGGACACCTGGGGTGGCCACAAAAGGATCCGGCACCGCCCAGTAGGAGACTGAAGTGGCCACGGGATATGAGCTGTGACCATTCCCAGGTAACTCCCCTGGCCTGATATCCACCCTGTCCCTAGAGCGCCTCACGAAGACGTCCAGGTGTGGCCCGTGGGCACGTTTTTGCAACCGGTTCGTTGATACCTGGGCCAGGGATGAGGACACTGTGCTCAAGCATCTTAGGGCCTCTATGAAGAAACTAACAAGAAAGCAGGGGGACCTGCCACCCCCAGGTGGGCTCCAGTGCCATGTCCCCTCCCATGTCACCCTCTGGGGTAGTCAGTAGTAGGGGAGTGCCCGGGACCCGCAACCCTACTACCTGGGCCTTCCTCTTCACCTTTTCTTCCTCCTCTTCCTCCTGGACTCTAAGAAAGTACAGGAGGCCCACCGGTCCTCAGGGCAGGCGCTCAGTGCGTGTATACTGGACATGCTGTGCACGCAGGAGGGGGATGTGGGCAAGACCCTCCAACAAGCCCCCTCCCACTTTCCACGGTGTCTCCCTCTCCCCCTCGCAGGGCCCTCCAAGTTACTAGACGAGCCCAGACCCATTTGTGGGAGACCCCGCCCCTCCCTGCAAGCACCCACAGCCTCAGAGAGCAGCAGAGGCCCCTCACTCCTGCACGCTCCTCCAAGGTTGCCAGGACAAGAAGCCTGGAGCCAGGGAGACAAGGGAATCCGTGTCCCTGACCCACAGAGCATTCAGGGAGAGGGCCCAGAGCCAGAGCCAAGAGTTCAGCCAGAAGTGGGAACGGTCAGTCCTGGCATGGACTGGGCAGCCCAGGAGGGCAGAGGGTGACCCACGTCCGGGCCCAATCACCCACTGCGGAGACGGGTCCCCACGTGAGGTGACAAGGGGCTGGGTGACATCCAAGGCCCCTCCCACCTGAGTTCTGACTGGGGGCCGTATCCCAGGCCCAACAGCCCTGGGACGAAGGTGTGTGGCAGGAAGCCCCCAGCCAGTCTGAACCCTGGGGGCAGTCCCAGGAGCCACCCGCCATGCCACGACAGCTTCCCCACGCCAGGCAGCATGCACCCCTCCCTCTGGGATCAGCAGACTACAGGCGTGTCCTCGGTGTCAGGCCACGGGGGCCACACAGAGACCCCGAGGACTCCGAGATGCAGGCAGGTGGGGCCCAGCCCGGAAAGGCCTGCGTGGGCTCACTGGAGATGCTGACCGCGTCTGTTTTCCTTTCAGCCAAACCCGAGCAAGGGTCGTCGGCATCCAGGCCTGTGCCGGCTTCACGTGGCGGGAAGACCCTCTGCAAGGGGGACAGGCAGGCCCCTCCAGGCCCACCAGCCCGGTTCCCGCGGCCCATTTGGTCAGCTTCCCCGCCACGGGCACCTCGTTCTTCCACACCCTGTCCTGGTGGGGCTGTCCGGGAAGACACCTACCCTGTGGGCACTCAGGGTGTGCCCAGCCCGGCCCTGGCTCAGGGAGGACCTCAGGGTTCCTGGAGATTCCTGCAGTGGAACTCCATGCCCCGCCTCCCAACGGACCTGGACGTAGAGGGCCCTTGGTTCCGCCATTATGATTTCAGACAGAGCTGCTGGGTCCGTGCCATATCCCAGGAGGACCAGCTGGCCCCCTGCTGGCAGGCTGAACACCCTGCGGAGCGGGTGAGATCGGCTTTCGCTGCACCCAGCACTGATTCCGACCAGGGCACCCCCTTCAGAGCTAGGGACGAACAGCAGTGTGCTCCCACCTCAGGGCCTTGCCTCTGCGGCCTCCACTTGGAAAGTTCTCAGTTCCCTCCAGGCTTCTAGAAGCATCTGGGCCAGGGCTCATGGCTGGATAATTTCCCTAGGCTTAACAACCCAAGCAAGCTTCGCGTCCTCGTTTTATTTTTGGTTAAACTTATGAAAATGTATTAAGAAAGAGTGCAGCTCGAGAGAGATTCAGAGATGGAACACACCAGACCCCAGATCACAAAGCCAACCATGCCCAGCCCCTCCCAGCACCCCCAGCCCCACGACCATCGTTCTGAATTCTGACGACACCGTGAGCCTGCCTTTGTACTTCAAACTCATGGAAGGATAACCACCTTCATGTTTTGAAATAAATGTTTCCTGTTGAAATGATTTTAGATTTTAGACAGAAATATTGAAAAGGCACTATAGTATCCTCCTATACCTTCCATCCAGCTGCCCCTAATAATGATGTTTTGCAGTCCCATGGCACATAAGAAATTTAGGCCGGGTGTGGTGGCTCACACCTGTAATCCCAGCAATTTGAGAGGTCGAGGCGGGAGGTTCAGGTTCACTTGAGTCTAGAAGTCTGAGACCAGCCTGGGAAACCTAGGTGGACCCGGTCTCTAGAGAAAAGTCAAAGAAATTAGCCAGGCATGGTGGCGTGTGCCTATAGTCCCACCTAGTCAGGAGGCTGAGGCAGGAGGATTGCTGGAGCCCACGAGTTCCAGGAAGCAGTGAGCCATGATTGCACCACTGCACTCCAGCCTGGGTGACAGAGTGAGACTTTATCTCTTAAAAAAATTTAAGAAATTTAATGTGGGTACAGTTCTATTAACTAAATAATAATGTGAACTGTTATCTAAGGTTATGAAGGCTAGAATTATCCCATTTTTGCCTAACTTCTCGTACCTGTCCCAAGATCCCACCTTGGACTCACCCTCTGCCTTCAGCTCACGTCTCTTCAGCTTCCTCCACATGGTCCAGCAAACACACACCTGGGCTGAATGGTAGAGCTGATTGCTCATACACAAAGGTAGACCGGTGGGCAGGGATTTTCAGACTTACACAGTCAATGAGTTTTCCTTGGTGTTCTGGAGAGCACCGTTTGAGAAACACTTTGACAGTGAATCTAGGCCTCAAGATCCATCAGCTGCTCTAGCTTGAATTTTGCTCAAGCTCAGTGAACACCTGCTCTGCCGGGTGCACGTGAAAGGGGCAAGGATGAGAAAGCTGTAGATAAAGAAGACAGGACGCAGGGGGTCTGTCTAAGCTCTATCCCCTGCCTTCAGCACTGAGGGATGAAATCCAACTCTTAGGGAACGGTGGCCACGTGCTGGGCCAGCCCCAGGCTCTCAGGATCTGACAGTGGGTGACGCAGAGCCAGGCCTTGCCCCTGGGGAGCTCTCCAGCATACACCTCCCTCTCCCCTCCCAGCGTGCCGCAAAGCAGGCGTCAACTCCATTGTTAATGCACGGAGGAGGAACCTGACTGTTAGACCTGGGTTTTCCAGGGTTGCACGGCTTCTGGGAGACGGATGTGACCCTGAGGACAGGGCACAGGCCAGTGTAATGCCAGGATGGAATGAGCTGTGATCTGTGCTGTATAGAGGCCTAGGCCAAGGTGGGACTGACGGATGACCAGGTCAGCCGGGTCACTGAAAACACTCTTGGGTCCTCACCTGCCGGTTCCCAGGAGTCCGGAACTGCCAGGAGAGTGGTGGCAGGTCCCCCATCCTCAGCTGGGTGGGCCTGGATAGAACAGCAAGGCGAGGGCACATTTCCCTGGCCATTCCCTCCAGGCACAGCTGTGACCTGTTCATTCCAAATTTGTGGAAGTATTTCCACACACACAGAACTGCAAATAGCAGTGGACATGGTGAGAGGCGTTTGCACATGGGATAGGCAGGATTTTGGAGGCAGAGCCTCCAGGGCTTGCCGATGGGTTAGCTGCAGGGCTTGAGAGGGAACGGAGAATCCAGGATGATGTGTTCAAATCGGTCCATTCACCTCTTCCCTTCCACGCCTGTGCTGGGCACTGGGAGAGACAGATGCACACAGGAGCCCCGGCCGAGGGGAGGTGTGGGGGGAAGCCCAGAGTGTCTGGGCAGGGTAGGAAACCCAGAGTGTCTACTGGGAGCTGAAGGCTTAGGTCCACCTGGGTGCCGTCCAGGTTCTCTGCATGTAGAAGTATAGGCTGAGCTTCCCGGAGGAGGAGCAGCTGCTGTTGCTGGTGACCAGCACATTCAGGAACGGAGACTACTCTGTCAACAGACAGGGGGATGACCTGAGGTCTGGATGGTCTAGGGGGTGGTAGGGCCCAGGAGGACCCAGGAAAGGGTCTCGGGGATGCAGAACATCCTATGGAGGGCATTTGGGAGTCAGTGCTCAGGCCACTCCGGGTCACTCAGGTCATTTGCCGGCCCCTGTCATAATTATTGCCATATGAGAGTGCCACCCGTCCTATGACATATTTTATATATTTCTGTGAATGGCCTACTTGTTTGTATTTATGAATTTATGTTTAAAGGATGGGCAGGGGTGCTCGAGAGGTCCCCAGGAGTTTCCCTCTGGGGAGAGAGGGGCCCACCCCTTCCCAGCAGCCCTCTGAGCCCCCCGATCGCTTGGCCACAGCCTCTGCCTGGAGAAAGCATCCCCCTCGGAGATATATGGACATCAGAAGAAACCTTTCTCTGTCACCAGGACAAATCCTGTTCTTATTTGAACCAAGGCCAGTTTTCCTAATGAATGCAGGGAGGACAGCACAGATCAATGAAACCAGCAGATAATCCACAAGACTGTTTCCCAGAGCTGGGAGATTTCCTTCCCTGCCAACACTTTTCCTGAAAGGTCTTAAGAATGAGGCAAACAGTTTAAGTCTCTCTTGCACTGTTCTTTTAGTGAAAGAGTTCAATGAGGAAGGAGAGGAAGTGGAGCATATGCTTAGTTTCCAAGCTGGAAAAGTGGCCCATGGTTAACCAAGACTAGATGTAAAAGCACAGGTGGCCGCGGGTCCAGGTGAGTCGGTCCTACGATGGCACGGCTGCTAATGCCAGCAGATGCTCCTGTCCTCTCCTTTCAAGACTGACTTCTTCTGGTCTTTCATTCGTTAAAATAAAATTGACAGGGCATCATCCAAGAAGCTCTACACTTTCCCTTACTTGGATTTCAGACTCTAGATTCTGCTGAGATTTGAGCTTCATGGTGAACACATTCTTGTTGTGCTTGCTGCTGAGGGGTGTGGAGGACAGAGAGATGGTGAAATGGCAAAGTGGCTCTTGAGCATGGGTGGGGGAAGCCCCCACATATCTGAGTCAGTGCCACCTGGACACTACCCTTGGAGCATCCTGCTGAGGTGGCCATTCAGGTTTTCTTTCCTTTCCTTTTATTCCACTGTTTCTGAATCACAAATAAAGATCCAAGGCAAACAGCACATTCAGATCCCCAAGCTCTCCACCTCCAATGTGACCAGGGACGTGCACCACTTCAGGCTCATGCAGGACCCACAGCCTTTGGACCTCAGCTAAGGGACCTGCTTCTCTTCAGCACACGGGGCTTGTTTGTGTTGGGGTCTGAGCCCTGAGCGCATGGTCAAGGAGACCCCCAGGTCTTTCTGAACAGAGACAGCTGGCCTGGCGGCCTCCCTCTCACTGCATGCAAGAGTCTGTTAGGGCGGCTGTCTTGCTTCTGTGTGTTGGGAAATTCAATTTAGGTACCTAAAAATGAAAAGTCCCAGGACATCTCCATGGCTTGGGATCCACAGGAGAGCATCATTGATGCTGGGGACAATTTAAACATATAGAAACCCACAGGGCTACCTTAGACAGGGCACAGGGCACAGCACCCGGGGATGCAGAGTGGAAAGTTCACCACTACAGCCTGGAATTGCCTCTGTGATGCCTTCTTCATGACACTTGGCTGCCTTCGTGGCTGGAAGGCTGAGGCCCAGATCCCAACATGGCCACAGGCTAGCAGCTTGCTTCACCTTCCTGAACTGCAATTTCTCCATCTGAGCCTCTCTCCTAAGAGGAGTGTGCAGGGTCACTTAGCCCATATGGGCCAGAAACCCCACACGGTGCCAGGCACACAGGAGGGCCTCGGCAGATGCTGCCCCCTTCTGTCTCCACCACCCTCCTGGGGCTCCCTCCTGAAACAGCCTCCCTCAGCGCCTTGAGTCTTGCACCCTAACAGCCTCTTGCACGCAGTGAGAGGGAGGCCCCCAGGCCAGCTGTCTCTGTTCAGAAAGACCTGGGGGTCTCCTTGACCATGGGCTCAGGGCTCAGACCCCAACACAAACAAGCCCCGTGTGCTGAAGAGAAGCAAGTCCTTTAGCTGCGGTCCAAAGGCTGTGAGTCCTGCATGAGCCTGAAGTGGTGCAGGTGCCTGGTCACACTGGAGGTGTAGAGCTTGGGGATCTGAATGTGCTGTTTGCCTCGGACATCAAACATCTCACAGACTGCCTGGAAGAAGGTGGAGCAGACTGGGGTTAATGGTCAGCAGCAGCAGCATCCCCACCACTGGGGCTATCCCTTTTTAGGCCCTTACCGTGGGCCAAACACTGAGCCGTGTGCTTCGTGTAACTTCTAAGCACGCTTACCTGATAGGGTGACAGCAAAGACTCGAAGAGGTGCCTGGGCTTGGCACATAGTAGCTATTGCTACTATTATGAATGTTGTTTTGTCTTTGTTTTTGTTTTGAGACAGGGCCTCACTCTGTTGCCCAGGTTGGAGTACAGCAGTGCCATCATAGCTCACTGAAGCCTCAACCTCCCTGGGTTTGAGCAATCCTCCCACCTCAGCCTCCCAAGTAGCTGAGACTACAGGTGTGCGCCACCAAGCCCAGCCAATTGTTTGTATTTTCAGTAGAGACTGGTTTTGCCAAGTCGCCCAGGCTGGTTTCGAACTCTGGGGTTCAAGCAATCTGCCCACCTCAGCCTCCCAAAGTGCTGGCATTACAGGCGTGTGCCACTGCGCCCAGCCATTATGAATGTCAATATTGACATGATCTTGTATCCTTATGCCCACACTGGGAGAGGTCTGATTGTCCCCATGTTCCTGGTGTGGAACCACATGGAAGAGGCCTATGTTATCCCAACAGTGCAGAAGCACAGCCTGAGTCTCTTCTTTGGCTGAGCCAAGGGCGTGCTGGAGAGGCCTGACAGAAGAAGGAGCGGCCCTTGTGACCAGTGCCCTTTTGGTTCACAAGGAACTTCTCCTCTTGTTGAAGTGACTTGGCTGAGCTTGCTACTTCTGCTTTGAGAGTCAAATATCAGGATCAAGACTTTAATTATCCCCAATTTACAGATGATGAAACCATATTGGGCAGGAAAGAAAGTCACCCCAGGAGAGCAAGTTGGACCTGAGCACTGGCTGAGGACAAAGGGGAATGATAATTTGGGATGTAACTTGTTAAGGGGTCTCACAAGTGTTCTTGTGATCCAGGTGTCGAGAGGATACAGCAGAAAGGTTGCCAGGGAGATGAGGGTAGGGTACACCGCAAGAGTGGGAGAAATTAAAGAGAACACGCAACAAAGCCTTGGGACACTGGGAGGGGGATGGACCACCCAGTTTTGTGCTATGGGAGAAGAGAGCAAGAAAAGGAATCTGTGTTAAATCCCGACAGCCTGCATGAGAAGGAAATGCCCTTCATTTTCTTCATCAGCGGCGAGACTGGCATCCCTGCAGCTTTGGGAGACCATGCTAGTGTAGATGCCAGCTCACACCAGCGGGCCTGACTGGGAGACCTTGGGCTGGGGTTCTGGTCTGGGGCTCCTAGGCCTGATGGGAGGAGAGTTCAGCCCCAGGTTTCCTGTACTTCAGCTCATATCCACACAATGGTAATTATTGAAATGAGAGACTCAAAAGAAGATGGAACGTGAACTTTTTTGTTGTCCCATGTGGACACCTGTGTTCGGTTTCCAGTTCTACCTTTGCTGTCTGTGTGTTCTTAAGTAACTCACTTAAACCTTTCTGAGTCTCATTTTCTTCATTTATAAAATAAAAGACGTAACATTTATGTCAGATATTGTCCTGAGGATTAAATGGGAGAATGAACAAGCCTCTTCTGCATTCCCCTGGCATCCAGTGGGTGGAGGCCAGAGAAGCTGCTAAACATCCTGCCAGGTGCAGGACAGCCCCCATCACAAAGAATTGACCGGATCCTGATGTCAGTAAGGCAGAATTGAGGATCCTTGGTGTGGGGGAAAAAGAATAAACTCAGAAGCTTGGCAGATCTCAGTTCAAACCCTGGTTGTATCACCTCTAGCTGAGTGACCTTAGGCAGGTCTGTGAACTCTCTGAGACTCGGCCTCCTCATCGGTAGAATGAGGTAGATAAAAATGCCAAGCTCGGCCGGGCGCGGTGGCTCACGCCTGTAATCCCAGCACTTTGGGAGGCCGAGGCGGGTGGATCATGAGGTCAGGAGATCGAGACCATCCTGGCTAACAAGGTGAAACCCCGTCTCTACTAAAAATACAAAAAATTAGCCGGGCGCGGTGGCGGGCGCCTGTGGTCCCAGCTACTCGGGAGGCTGAGGCAGGAGAATGGCGTGAACCCGGGAAGCGGAGCTTGCAGTGAGCCGAGATTGCGCCACTGCAGTCCGCAGTCTGGCCTGGGCGACAGAGCGAGACTCTGTCTCAAAAAAAAAAAAAAAAAAAAAAAATGCCAAGCTCACCCAGAAATAACCCCGTGCATATATGGTCAACAGATCTTTGACAAGGCCATCAAGGATATACAATGTAGATTCTTTTATTCCTTTACTTTCTTAATAGACTTGCTTTCACTGTACTGTAAAAAAAAAAAAAGGCACAATGTAGAAAGGAAACTCTCTTCAATGAATGGTGTTGGGGAAAGTGCATGAAAAAGAATGAAATTGCACACTTGTTTTACATCATATACAGAAAATTAGCTCAAAGTGGATTAAAGATTTAAATGTAATATCTGAAACCATGTAAATCCTGGAAGTAAACATAGGGAAAAATCTCCTCGACATTGGTCATAATTGGCAATATTTTTTTTGATGTAACACCAAAGCACAGGCAACAAAAGTGAAAATAAATAAATGGGACTACATCAATCTTAAAAGGTTTTACACAGCAAAGGAAACCATGACAAAATGAAAAGGCAACCTACGGGATGGAAGAAAATATTTGCGACCCATATATTTGATAAGGGGTTATTTGAAAAAATATAAGGAATTCACACAATTCAATAGCAAAAATTAATAAATACATGAATAACGCAATTAAAAATAGGCAAAGGACCCCAATGGACTTTTTTCCCCAAGGAAGATATACAAATGGCCAGCCAGCATATGAAAAGGTGCTCAACACCACTAATCATCAGAGAAATGCAAATCAAAACCACAGTGAGATATTGCCTCATAGGATAGGATGGCTCTTATAAAAAAACGACAAGAGATAACAAGTGTTGGCGAAAGCATAGAGGAAAGAGAACCCTTGTACACTGTTGGTTGGAATGTAAAGTGGTATAACCTTTACAGAAAACAGTATGGAGGTTCCTCAAAAAATTAGAAGCAGAACTACCATACGATTCAGCAATCAGGTTAGAACCTTGAAGAGAGATCTGCGCCCCATGTTTATTACAACACTATTCACAATACCCAAGATATGGAAACAGCCTAAGTGTCCAGCAACAGATGAATGGATAAATAAAATACATATAAACAATGGACTATTAGCCATTCAAAAGAAGAAACTCCTGTCCTGGATAAACCTGGAGGACATTACGCTAAGTGAAATAAGCCAGACACCGAAAGACAAGTTTTGTATGATCTCACTTATATGTGGGATCTAAGAGAGTCAAACTCATAAAAACAGATAGTAGAATGGTGGTTGCCAAGGGCTGGAGGTGGGGAAAATGGGAAGCTATTAATCAAAGGGTGTAAACTTTCAGTTATAAGATGAACAAATTCTGGAGATTTAATGTACAGCATAGGTGGTAATGGATGTAATAAATTTGATTGTGATAATTAGTACACAATATATACATATATGAAATCATCACATTGTATGCATTAAATATACACAATCCTTGTCAACTCAATATTTTTAAAAAAATGTTTAAAATGCCTAGGTCATAAGAATTCTGAGAATGAAATACAACAACATACATGAATGGACCTGCTACACAGAAGGTGCTAAATAGGTTTGTTTTGTTTTATTTTATTTCAACTCTGGCAGATGTAGACCTATTGGGAAAGAATATAGAATGCACTTGTGCACAAGGATTATCTATACGATGGTTAAATATCCTGCATACATGCCATGTCATTTCTACTCCTCAGTCAATGGATAATAAAAGCAGAACCAGCCTTCTGGTGGTCACAAAACATTTTGACATGAGAAAGGCTGATCATGAGCAATCTGGCAATGTACATCCCAGAGCGTGCATGCCCTTTGACCCACAGCTACCATGATGTCATGTCTAGCAATTAGTCCTAAGGAGATGATCAGAGATGTGTAAAGAGATTTCATTCTAACAGCATCCTCTGTAGTGGTATATGTCAGGGGCTGGTAAGCCATGTCCAGAGGAGCAGGCTGCATCTAGTCCACCACCTGTTTTTGTAAAGTTTATCAGAACACAGTCATGCCCATTCATTTACAAATTGTGTATGGCTTCTTTCCCTGCAACAGCAGAGTTGAGTGTTGCAACAGAAACCTATGGCCTGCAGAGTTTAAAATATCTACCCTTTGGCCTTTTATAAAAAAAGTTTACTGATTCCTGGTGAGTATATTAAAAAGTTAGGAAAACCTAAATCTTCCAGAGTGGAGAATTAGAAAGTAAGACGTGTTGTATATAAGACAGACAGTTTGTGTGTGCGTTTATTTATAAATATATTATTCTGAAATAATGTTGTCGACATATGTTGCAGGTCTTAAAAATTGGTCAATATATAGTGTTAATCAAAAAATGGCAAATTGTAAAATGTAGACAGAATGTGATTGTGTATTTTGTGCATACACCAACAGAAAAGGGTGCTAGGAAACCTGTGGACCAACATACTAAGTGTGGCTCTTTTGATGGTGGTATCATGGATTTTTAAAAATCTTCTTGGTTTTCTGTAGATTCTGACTTTCCTGTCATGAGTATGAATAAGTATGTATTTCTTGAGAAATGTGAAAATAACTTTATCTTCCCAGATTTCTCATAATTGAAAATGTTGGAATAAATGGTCCTGGGACAGATCTTTCCATTGAGAAGGGCAGAAGGGAAACCCTGGGGATTCAGCTGGGTTTCTGTTGCATTTCTGGTAACACACAGTTGTGAAAAGCCAGTGTTGGCCATTCCCCAGGACAGTCTGGGGTAGAGGAGGTCAGGATTTAACTACTTGAGGGTCCGGGGAACAGATGTGGCCACAGTCCTTCCTGACTCACTGTTTTCCCTTCCACAGTCCCCGTCTTCTCTTCACTGATGCACATAGATGCCTGACCAGAGGAGAGATTTAGTTTTCGTCCAAGGATTATCTGTTATGTTGCAGTTCTGAAATTCCCATAACGTTTAGGCTAGAACACAAGTGATTTCATTATCTCCAATGTGTATGGCTTGATAGAAATAGATTCCATTATGTAGCACCTTAAATCCAGATAAAACATAAGGAATTTCTATTCCATGTTTGTATGATCAATGTTAATAATCTAAGAAAATCTAAAAAGAAGCTACTTCCTATATTACAGTATGAAATAAATATGCTGAATGATTTGTTTTGGGGGGTGGAATGGAAAGGTATAAGACTGAGGAGGGTGCCTGTGGGAACAGTGATAGGAATCCTTTCTTAAGGGTTGGGTTTTACATACGTCTTTTAAAATAGATGATATCATTAATAAATTATCTGTGGGCATCATGAAAAAAGTGTATAACGTACAACTTTATGAGCTTGACAGTTGGTGAAAACTTTTCTGTTTAAAATTTTATTTGGCCCTCCCCAAAAGAAATGTTTATTTATGAGTATTAGGATAGTTCCAGCAGTAATGCCTCAAAAGAACCAGGAGGTATAGTGTTGTCTAAAATGTGGACTCAGGAGCCAGACTGCCTGGCTGTGCAACTAGCCTTGCCACTTCCTAGATATGTGGCAAGTTAATTAACTTCTCAGTGTTCTTATCTGTAGAATGGGGATAATCCTAATATACATCTCAGGGTTATATTACAAATTAAAAAAGTTAATTTTGTAAAGGACTTAGAATGATATCTGGCAAATAAAAGTGTTCATAAAAGTAAACCCTATAAAAGTGTTTACTCATTAAATACAATAATCTGAAACCATTAGTAATTTAAACATTTGTGGCTGACTTGGTAATATTTATGAAAATAAATACTGTATTTATAATCTTTGACCTTATTTGACTCCTAGGAATTTATTGTCCAGCAAACATTTTCACAGGCAGACAAAAATATTACTATAAAATCACGTTTATTACACCAATCTGTGCAAAAGGAAAAAATAGACAATTAAAATGGCCATCAAAAGGAGTATTGATTAAGTGAATGATAGTAAATCCATTCAATAGTAATCATATTATCCAAAAAGAATGAGGCATAGTCATGTGATGTGGGAAGATCCACGGCTAATGTTAAACGGTAAATGATACAAACTGTTATGCCCAATAAAATACTTTCTGTGAGAGAATATATGTTAATTTATGCGAGTGGCGCCAATGTGGAGGGTTTATGCTAATTTCATTATACCTCACAGACAGACCTGGGCTCTCCCACTCATTTTCTATGTGGCCTGGGGTAAGTCATTTATCTGCTGGAAGCCTCAGCTTCTTCATCTGTCAGGCAGTGATACCCTGACTACTCTGCAGGGTAACTCTGAGATTTCAACGTGATCATCTCAGAATATGCCTGGCAAACAGTAGGAGCTCAGAACTTGATGTTTTTTTCCTACAGCAACTGCTGTAGGGGATAGCAGCTAATGCAAGAGGTTGGTAAATCCTTATATATATCAAATATTGTAGAAACATAACTACATGCTACTATTTTTTCAAACCCTCCCCTCACCCTTTTTTTTCCCCTGAGACAGAGTCTCACTCTGCTGCCCAGGCTGGAGTGCAGTGGCGCCATCTCGGCTTGGCTCACTGCAACCTCTGACTCCCGGGTTCAAGCGATTCTTGTGCCTCAGTCTCCCAAGTAGCTGGGATTACAGGCATGTGCCACCATGCCCAGCTAATTTTTTTGGTATTTTTAATAGAGATGGGGTTTCTCCATGTTGGCCAGGCAGGTCTCCAGCTCCTGGCCTCAAGTGATCTGCCTGTCTCGGCCCCCCAAAATGCCGGGTCAAACCTCTTATATCCAGTAAAACAGCCTCACTGGGTCAATGGATATCATGTGGCTGCCTAACATTTTTACTTTATAAAAGGTCTTCCTGAGGCCATTTGAAAGTATGGATCAAAACACTTTATGAACAGGGCCACAGGTTTGCATGAGGCTTGTCAGTGGACCTCCAGGATGAAGACCAAAGTGACTGTGCAATTTCTAGTGGAATAATTTACACTTAAGATCTTATTTATTTATCAAAAGACTGCTGTGAGGTAGGAATTCTTAACCCCCATTTGCAGAAACAGACTTTGCCTGACACCACAGAGCTAGGAAAAAGTGGGCATAAGATCCTCATCAAGTCTGACTTCCAAAAGAAGATTCAAAAAGAAACCTCCTTGCTACCCGCCAAATCTCTGTAGAGCCAGCCATGTTCACACATGAAACAGGACAATGACAATAGCACCAGGAATAGCTACTCCTGGTCAGATGCCCTCATGAGCTCAACTCCGCGGGATGGGGACACCGGGCCCTGCTTAGGGGAAAGGAAGGGGGTTTGTAGAGGAAGCCCAGCCAGCCAAGCAACCAGAGATGGGAAAAACCTATTGGGAAGAACTTGCTTGCTCTAGCTGGGCTTTGCAAAGAACAGGAAAAGATGAGTCTGCACAGACAGAAATGGTCTAGAATGGCTGAATGTTTCATGTAGAAATTTTATTTTATGATTAATACACTCGTGCCATTTCTTGGAACCACTTGCTTGTTTAATTCTAGTCTATCAAGTGATAACTTTGTTGATATTTAGAGGCTCCTCAGTTAATTTCTGTGGGATTTTTGGTTATATTTAATAAGGAAAATAATATGAAATGTCTAAGAAAAAAAGAAACAAAGTCAACTATTCCTGAGAATGTTTAAATTTATTGAAGTACACTTGTTAATTGTTAGTATAGAACCTACATTTCATGATAGAAAACCTTGGACTTGCCAGTTGTAGCTGCTGGAATGAGGTGTTTGTCCAGTACATCCAGAACGTCGCCACAGATTAACTTTAGCTCAGTCTCAACCTGAAAAAATAAAAATAAATTTAAAAAATCAGATCGTTGAAGTCTAGAAATTCTGTAAATTATTACACATTCTATCTACCTCTGGTTTTGAGGAAGAGAGCTTAGTGTTACAGAGAATTCATTTCCCTCTCCAAACTCCCTTCCTCCCTTTTGACACAAAAGCAGAGAAAAGCTGCCTGTCGGTTATCAAAAGTATCTTTTCCTTCCTGCCTGCAATTAAGTGCTACACACACACCACCCCCCACCCCAATACCCCCTCACAGTCCAACTGCAGAATCACCAATGACTGAAACTAAACACTGATGCTACTTGGTAAACGCTGGTCAATTACATGAATCTTTCACAAAGTAGCAACTATTGTGTCCATTTACTGGGGAAAACAGAAGCTAAGACATTTGCTCAAAGGTCATCCCCTTAAAAGAACGTAATAAGCAGAGCTAGGATTTGAAACCAGGCAGGGTGCAAGGGACAGAACAAAATTCAAACCCAGGCAGTTTGCCTTCAGTACTTACATTCCTAACAAGGTTCAACAGGCAATGCCTTTAGTGGAAGAGACCAAAAACTAGTTAAGATACCAAAAATCTGTGGACCAAAGTAACAGTTGCCACTCATTTATATTCATTTATAATGCTAAAAATGTGCACCACCTCTAAAGGCACATACCCAGTTTACGTCTTTTTTTTTTTTTTTTTGAGAGGGAGTCTGGCTTTGTCACGCAGGCTGGAGTGCAGTGGCGTAATCTCAGCTCACTGCAACCTCCACCTCCCGGGTTCATGTCATTCTCCTGCCTCAGCCTCCGGAGGAGCTGGGACCACAGGTGCCTGCCACCACGCCCAGCTAATTTTTTGTATTTTTAGTAGAGATGGGGTTTCACCGTGTTAGCCAGGATGGTCTCGATCTCCTGACCTCGTGATCCGCCTGCCTCGGCCTCCCAAAGTGCTGGGATTACAGGCATGAGCCACCACGCCAGGCCTGTTTTTTGTTTTTTAGACAGAGTCTTCCCCTGTCACTCAGGCTGAAGTGCAGTGGCCCTATCTCAGCTCACTGCAGCCTCTGCCTTCCAGGTTCAAGCAGTTCTCATGCCTCAGGCCCCTGAGTAGCTGGGGTTACAGGGGTGCGCCACTGTCTCGGGTTAATTTTTGTATTTTTAGTAGAGATGGGGTTTCACCATGTTGGCTAGGCTGGTCTTGAATTCCTGGCCTCAAGAGGTCCACCTACCTCGGCCTCCCAAACTGCTGGATTATAGATGTGGGCCACGCGTGGCCCAACTCTACTATTTCAATGCAGCTCCTGTACCCTAGGTCATCACTGACTTCCCAGTTGCTGAATCCAGTTGTCTTTACTGAGTTGGTCCTTAATTTAACTTTCTTTTGCATTGAAGCTACTGACTGACCACAGCATTTTGAAACTCTGTTCCTCTTATTACTGTGATTCTACTTTCCTTATTTTTCATCTTATCTCTTAAGTCTGTGGCTTCTCAGACTTCCTCACAATTGATTGCTTATTTTAAAAATTCAAAAATTTAAACCTCCCGAGCAGTTCAAAAACAATATACCTTTGAAATTTTTTAAACTTTTCAGAGTTGCAAGAATAGTTCAGTGATCACCAGGTGTTACCATTTTGCCATATTTTCTTTGTCTCTGTGTCCCTCCCTTTCTACCTGCCCCCACATATATGTGTATCTATGAATATTGACATTTTTTAACATTAATAAATTTTCTTTCTGTACAATTTGAGAGTTAACTGCAGATTTCATAGCACTTCACCCCTAATTTCTTCTATACATCTCCTAAGAATAAGGGCATTTTTTTTTTTTTTTGAGAAGGAGTCTCACTCTGTCACCCAGGCTGGGGTGCAGTGGTGCAATCTTGGCTGACTGCAACCTCCACCTCCTGGGTTCAAGCGATTCTCGTGCCTCAGCCCCCCAAGTAGCTGGGATTACAGGTGCCTGCTACCATGCCTGCCTAAGTTTTGTAATTATAGTAGAGATGGGGTTTTGCCATGTTGGCCAGTCTGGTCTCAAACTCCTTACCTAAGGTGATCCGCCCTCCTTGGCCTCCCAAAGTGTTGGGATTACAGACGTGAGACTCCATTCTCAGCCTCTTTTTCCTTTTGTAATTAACAAGTGATCTATGGCATGATAGAAACAGTGTGAATATTCTGTCCCATAATAATCTTTACTTAATGGTTTCATCTGGATGGCTTCTTGCCCAAATCAAATATTACTATAGTGATTAGAAAATGGAGACTTTTCTACTTTTTCTGTATTTTTCCTATATTGTCATTCTTCTGTAAAGAATTTTTTAAACTCTTTTTTTTTTTTTTTTTTTTTGAGACGAAGTCTCGCTTTGTCACCAGGCCGGAGTGCAGTGGTATGGTCTCAGCTCACTGCAACTTCCACCTCCGAGGTTCAGGCGATCCTCCTGTCTCAGCCTCCAGATTAGCTGGGACTACAGTCATTCGCCACTGTGTCCAGCTAATTTTTTGTATTTTTATTAGAGATGGGGTCTCACCATGTTGGCCAGGATGGTCTTGATCTCTTGACCCCATGATCCAGCCACCTCAGCCTCCCAAAGTGCTAGGATTACAGGCGTGAGCCACCGCGGCTGGCCCTATACTCCCTTTTTAAATTTTTTTTTTTTTTTTTTTTGAGATGGAGGTTCACTCTGTTGCCCAGGCTGGAGTGCAATGATGTGGTCTTGGCTCACTGCAACCTCCGCCTCCCAGGTTCAAGCAATTCTTCTGCCTCAACCTCCTGAGTAGCTGGGATTACAGGTACATGCCACCACACTCGGCTGATTTTTGTATTTTTAGTAGGGATGGGGTTTCACTATGTTGGCCAGGCTGGTCTTCAACTCCTGACCTCATGATCTGCCCGCCTCAGCCTCCTAAAATGCTGGGATTACAGGTGTGAGCCACTGCACCTGGCCCTTTTTTTTTTTTTTTTTTTTTTTTGAGACAGGGACTTCCTCTGTTGCCCAGACTTGAGTGCAGTGGTATGGTCATGGCTCACCACAGCTTGGACACCAGGCTGCCTCAGCTCACTGCAACCTCTGCTTCCCGGGTTCCAGTGATTCTCGTGCCTCAGCCTCTGGAGTAACTGGGAGTACAGGTGCTCACCACCATACCTGGCTAATTCTTGTATTTTTAGTAAAGATGAGGTTTCACCATGTTGGCCAGGCTGGTCTCAAACTCCTGGCCGACATGGTGATCCACCTGCCTTGGCTTCCCAAAGTGCTTCATATTGTTAGCCCTAATTCTAGTCAAATTCCATAGCGTTTTTCTTCTTTATTTTTATTTTTTTATTTTTGAGATGGAGTCTTGATCTGTCCCCCAGGCTGGAGTGCAGTGGTGTGATCTCGGATCACTGCAGCCTCCACCTCCTGGGTTCAAGCAAATCTCTGCCTCTGCCTCCTGAGTAGCTGGGATTACAGACACCTGCCACCATGCCCAGCAAATTTTTGTATTTTTAGTAGACACAGGATTTCATCATCTTGGCCAGGCTGGTCTTGAACTCCTGACCTTGTGATCCACCCACCTCGGCCTCCCAAAGTTCTGGGATTACAGGCGTGAGCCACCGTGCCCGGCCTGTATTAGATATTTTTAAGTCAGTTTCCTAAGACAATTAAATATTTCAGGTAGTTGGGACTTTTCTTTTTTTGGTTTGTTTTATTTTGCTTAATTTAACCATTTTAAATATGATTCTCTGGGAATTTTTTCTTCAAAATATAGAATATGTGTGCATTAGTTTGCTAGGCTTGCTGCAACAAAGTACCACAAACTGGGTGGCTTAGACAACAGAAATTTATTATCTCATAGATCTGGAGACTAGAAGTTCTAGATCACGTTGTTAGAGTTGGTTTCTTCGACAACTGTGAGAAACCTTATGTTCCATGCCTCTCCCCTGGCTTCTGGTGGTTTGCTGGTCATCTTTGGCATACTTTGGCTTGTAGGTGCATCACCTGGATCTCTGCCTTCATGTTCACATGGTGTTCTACCTGTGTGCGTATCTGTGGCCAAATTTCCCCTTTTTATAAGGATACCAGGCATATTGGATTAGGGTTCCTCTCTACTCCAGTAGGACCTCATCTTCACTAATTACATCTGCAATAACCCTTTCCAAATAAGGTCACATTCTGAGGAACTAGAGGTTAGAGTTTCAACATACGAAATTTTCTGGGGGGTGAGTAAGGGACACGATTCAATCCATAACAATATGTTTATGAGTAAATGAGTTAGTGTGTTATTGTCTTTCTGCCACCTCAGAATCTGAGAAAACACAGTTTCTTTTTCCATTCCTTGGGCTGTAGGTGGAGAAGGAGGAGGATGATGATGGTGATTATTTTTTGGTCATGCCCCATAATGTGACCCACTTTAAAAAACAACAAACAATTGTAAGGAGGAGAACTGTCATACACCTACTGCCCAGCTTAAAAATAATTAGATCATCTTCTTTAAACATAACTGTCATCCCATCATCACACCTAAGAAGTTGACAGTTTCCCCAGTTTTTTTTTTTTCTCTTTTTTTTTTGAGATAGGGTCTTTCTCTGTTGCCCAGGCTGGAGTGCAGTGGCATGATAGTGGCTCATGGCAGCCTCAGCTTCCCAGGCTCAAGGGATCCTCCCATATAGCTGGGACCACAGGGGTGCATCACCACATCCAATTTTTTGAATTTTTCTAGAGATGAGGTCTCCCTGTGTTGCCCCACCTAATTTTTTTGTTGTTGTTGTTCCATTCTTTTTTTTCCTCCTGTTAATCAAGGTCTGTATGTAGTTTGGTTACTATGTCTCTTAGGTCTCTTTTCCTTTATAGATTCCCCTCGTGATTTACTGAAGAAACGGGGTCATTTGTCCTGTAGAATTCTCAAATTTTGATTTTGCTGATATTATCCCCAGAGTGTCATTGACCATGTTCATCTGTTCCCCAAATTTCCAAAAACTGGTAGTTAAATTTAGGTGGTTGATCTGATTCAGATTACACTCTCAGTATCGCATATGCTTTGATCAGGAGGCATAATGTGTACTTGTGTGTGCGTATGTGTGTTTTTTTAGTGATGTTAGTGGTCACTGCCTGTGTCAGCATTTCACTACCAGGGTAATTTGGCAATGTCTGGAGACACACTGTCACAGCTTGGGAGAGGGAATGCTATAGGTACCTTCAGGGGTAAGAGTCAGCACAGCACAGCCCCCTAACGCAAAGTATTAATAGGCCTAAAATGTCAGTAGCCCTGAGGTTGAGAAACTCTGGCCTACTTTTGTAGTTTCATCAGGTGTTTGTGAAATGGTTTTATTCTAACTGTTATTTCTTCTTTCTTTGTTAGCTGGAATTCTTTCATAAAGAGAAACTCTTTGATCAGTTAGTTACCCAAGGTACAGTTCATACAGAAAAGGCAGGATGTATGTTTGATTCTTTCCTAGTTTTCAAAATAATGAATTAGTTTCCTAGCATCTTCCAAAATTGACCAATGAACTTTGTGTGTGTGTTTTTTTCTTTTTTAGTATATTATGAACTTACACGTTTTAACATATTTGTGTTTCCTTTCATCGCAGTTATTTTTATTTTATTTTTATTTATTCATTTATTGTTTTCAGGCAGGGTCTTAACTCTGTCACCCAAGCTGTAGTGCAGTGGTATAATCGCTGCCCACTGCAGGCTTGACATCCCGACCTCCAGCAATCCTCCCACCTCACCCTCTTGAGTAGCTGGGACCACAGGTACACCACCATGCCCAGCTAATTTTTGTGTTTCTGGTAGAGACGGGGTTTTGCCGTGTTCACCAGGCTGGTCTTCAAATCCTGAGCTCAAAAGCAATCCACCTGCCTCTGCCTCCCAAAGTGTTGGGATGATAGGCGTGAGCCACCGCACCTAGCAGTTATTTTTATTGGTGCTCGTTTTTTCCCTTCGTTGAATGCTGGGTGCAGTGAATGCTGGGTGCATCTTCATGTTGGGTTCTGAGTCCTTTTGACATGAGCACATTGTCTGGTGTTGTACGAGAGAGCAAAATAAGGAAACTGGTGTTCTATGCTTATCTTGTACATTTTCCCCACACTTGGAATCAGCCATTCCTCCAGGGAGTGCAGGTTCACAGTCTGGGCTCTAAGAGAATTATAAGGTCAATGTGGTCATCATCTTTTAGTATTAAGTCAGATATTCTAAATTATTATTTACTTCTTACATTTGGCCCAAGAGTTTAACCAGATATTTTGGGAAAGAGAGAAGGAATTAAATAAATAAATCTCATGGTTAGAACTGAAGTGATAACTATACTTTCACAAGGAAATATAACTTATAACCCATGCGGAATAGAAAATTATTTTTGCTCCTTTAGATTTCTGAAGGAATGAAATGAGCTGTGAGAAGAAACTTTAACTGGAGCATCTTACCAGTATTATTCATGTTTTAACTCTGCTTCAGTAGTTTTTCAGGTTTATTACAAACCTGCAGTAGCCAACTGAATTAATTATCTCTAAACAGGGATTTAGCCAGTGGACTAGGCACACTGAAGCTTTGTGAGAGGGGAAATTGATATTCACATTTTTTCCAGCTTGTTTTGAGCTCGATATATTCTTTTCTTTTTTTTTTTTTAATTGAGACAGACTCTCGCACTGTCACCTGGGCTGGTGTGCAGTGGCACGATCTCTGCTTGCGGCAACCTCTGCCTCCCAGGTTCAAGCAATTCTCCTGCCTCAGCCTCCCGAGTAGCTAGGATTACAGGCGCCCGCCACCACGCCCGGCTGATGTTTTGTAGTTTTAGTAGAGACGGGGTTTCGCTTTATTGGCCAGGCTGGTCTTGAACTCCTGACCTCAGGATCTGCCTGCCTCAGCCTCCCAAAGTGCTGGGATTACAGGCCTGAGCCATCATGCCCAGTCAATATATTCACATTTTTAATAGGAATAACAGTATACTAAAATCTTTTTTAGTGCATGTTTAAGATTTGAAGATGTAATTTGACTCAGTACTTTCCACTTGCATTTTTTTCTTCCACTTGCATTTCTCCACTATTAGAAAAGTGCCTGCTAAGACTATTCTAATACTTTATTATAGTTAACCCCTGCGAAAAGAGCTCCCAGAGCTTACAGTGCATTTAATTGATGTCATATGGACTATTCATTATTTTCTAAATTATTTTGTTTGTATAAAGCAATCTGAAGAGGATGTAAGTCAGTTTGATTCCAAGTTTACACGTCAGACACCTGTCGACAGCCCAGATGACGCAACTCTCAGTGAAAGTGCCAATCAGGTCTTTTTGGTAAGTGAAAGAATTTCCATGTAGTCATGGGAAATTTTAAGTATGAGGATGGGCTCTTCGATAAGAAAATTCAGTTTGCTTGCTTTGCAGCTCATGTAGGTAACCTGGCCCACTTTTTTTTTTAAATAAGCCATGCTCTTATAACTTATTGATACCTATAAAATTGATTTTCATAATCCAACATTTTATTTTAGCAATTAGAGTGGGAATGTACAATTCTTTGGAGAGTATGATTCCCTTTTTTGGTTGGGCCACAGACTTAAAATGATGTTTGGCTTAGCATCTCAACCAAAAATTAAGTCATAGCAGTGGGAGAGAAAAACCTCACTAACTACATGTATTTTATTCCTGAAACAGCTATAGATTTTTGGTACCTTTTTTTTTTTTTTTTTTGAGACAGGGTCTCACCTTGTAGCCCAGGCTGGGTGTAGGGTGTAGTGGTGTGATCACAGTTCACTACAGCCTTGACCTCCCAGGCTCAAGTGATCCACCCATTTCAGCCTCGTGAGTACCTGGACTACAGGTGTGTGCCCCATCCAGCTAATTTTTTATTTTTTTGTAGAGACAGAGTCTCACTATTTTACTCCTGGACTCAAGCTATCTTCCCACCTCGGCTTCCCAAAGTGCCAAAATTATAGGCATGAGCCATCATTCCTGGCCCTATTTTTGGTACTCTTAACATAAGTAGGGGATTTTTTTTTTTTTTTGAGACTGAGTCTCACTCTGTCGTCAGGCTGGGGTGCAGTGGCGCGATCTCAGCTCACTGCAACCTCTGCCTCCTGGGTTCAAGTGATTGTCCTGCCTCAGCCTCCTGAGTAGCTGGGACTACAGGCGCCTGCCACCACGCCCAGTTAATTTTTGTATTTTTAGTAGAGACAGGGCTTCACCATGTTGGCCAGGATGGTCTTGGTTTCTTGACCTCATGATCCACCCGCCTTGGCCTCCCAAAGTGCTGGGATTACAGGCATGAGCCACTGCGCCCGGCCAAGTAGGGGATTTTTTAAACCTAATTGTGAATATTTGACATCAAATTATATTGGTTCATATGTAATAATGAATTCTCATTGTAGAAATATCCGTATAGATTTATAGCTTGTCTCCTCAGAAAAGTGAAGGTTTTAGATGTTGGCCAACAGAAATGATGGATTTATATCAGATGACCATCAATGCATACATACTATTTTGCTTAAATACCATATATGCTTGTTGATTTTATTACTGTACTTATATGTCACATGAACATCTTTCTCATTTTGTATCCTTTTTTTTCTTTTGTCGTTCCTGTATGGACTACCTCTAGGGAGAATAGAATATGGGGAAAACAATTGTTTGGGAGTGGTTTTTTCCCTCTTTTTGAGTTCACTGGATTTGTCACTAACTTAATTCTATGCTTTTCTTCCCCACACTGCTCACTATATAACACAAGTAGTGTTGTATCTTATGGGATGGGAAATAAGCTCTAAAGTTAGCATGGAGTTGGGACATCGTGGCTCACGCCTATAACCTTGAGGTCAGGAGTTCGAGACCAGCCTGGCCCACATGGTGAAACCCCATCTCTACCAAAAATACAAAAATTAGCCGGGTGTGGTGGCATGTACCTGTGGTACCAACTACTTGGGAGGCTGAGGCAGGAGAATGACTTGAACCCGAGAGGCAGAGGTTGCAGGAGCCAAGATCGTGCCACTGCACTCCAGCCTGGCCAATAGAGTGAGTGAGACTCTGTATAAAAAAAAATTAGTTAAAAAAATAAAGTTAGCATGGAATGCAAAAGTTGTGTATAGTACAGTATGGTTTCAAGTAAACAACACTGAATAGTAATAATCCTATAAATTAGTAATATAGAGCACGTAGGCAAAATATAATCTTACAGTATTAATTACATAAGAGATAAAAGATGAGTGAGTGCATGCATGTTTTTAAATTCAAGTTTGATGTGTGCATGATCAAAGTTACGGCATCTCTGTTAGTAAAATCTTAGGTTCACTCAGGGAAGTGGGCATGGATCACTTTAATTTTGGCTTTTTTTTTCTCTTTCATGTACTACTGATGTGGAATTTATACCTTTGATTTAACATAGAGACCTTTTCATCAATTGAACATTGCAGAATTTCAACTTATGTGACAGTTTCCCCCCACAAAATAGAAGCATTTTATTTAGCTACCAAGAAATCCTAAGTTGTGGTGGTAAATGTGAGATATTGACGCTTTCATTGCCAGTTAAAGTATTGTTGAGCTTTTCATAATTACTTAAATTGGCTATAACTGATGAACAGAGCAACTCATTTGTTAGGTTGTAGCCAGAATTCTGTACATAAAGTGGGTCTCTTGAAACATTAGTAAAAACAAAAATAGGCCAGGTACAGTGGCTCATGCCTGTAATCCCAGCACTTTGGGAGGCTGAAGTGGGTGGATCACAAGGTCAGGAGTTCTAGAACAGCCTGGCCAATATGGTGAAACCCCATCTCTACTAAAAATACAAATATTAGCCAAGTGCGGTGGCACACGCCTGTAATTCCATCTACTCGGGAGGCTGAGGCAGGAGAATCACTTGAAACCAGGAGGTGGCAGTTGCAGTGAGCCAAGATCGTGCCAGTGCATTCCAGCCTGGGCAACAGAGCAAGGCTCTATCTCAAAAAAAAAAAAAAATTCCGCATACATAAGAAGAGAATATGCATTAAAAAAATCAGCAGAGCCTCACATTCCAGGATTTTCTACACAAGAAACCATTCCTAAAATATGTGCTTGGAATTACTAGGGTTTCTCTTGCAAACATTTTAATAACACCTCATTCGTTTTTTTTATTATAATATTTATTTAAGCAAAATTTCTTTTTTTAATTTTATTATTTTATTATTATTACACTTTAAGTTGTAGGGTACATGTGCACAATGTGCAGGTTAGTTACATATGTATACATGTGCCATGCTGGTGTGCTGCACCCATTAACTCGTCATTTAGCATTAGGTATATCTCCTAATGCTATCCCTCCCCCCTCCCCACACCCCGCAACAGTCCCCAGAGTGTGATGTTCCCCTTCCTGTGTCCATGTGTTCTCATTGTTCAATTCCCACCTATGAGTGAGAACATGCGGTAACACCTCATTCTTTAGGGGTGTGGTTATATGTGTCATGTTATTAGATCTTTACAGCAACTCTCCTGGGTAAAGCGGTTATTACTAGGTCATTTTATAGAAGGAAAAATAACCAGTACTTTTTTTGCTTTACTTCAGTAGCTATTGCCTCCTTCAATTTGACATTTCAATCCTGGCACATAGTGGGGGCTCAACAAATATTTGTTGGAGGAATGCCATTTAAAATACAGTGATTGGATAGGAGAATATTTGAGGGCATTAACAGTTTTTAAAAGCCAAAAAAAAAATTACAACTGGACTTATGAGATTTTGATTTTTTTGTGTATTTTCTTTTAAAAAATAAGCTTCTCTAGGCTGGGCTTGGTGGCTCATGCCTGTAATCCCAGCACTTTGGGAGGCTGAGGCAGGTGGATCACCTGAGGTCAGGAGTTTGAGACCAGCCTGGCCAACATGGTGAAAACCCGTCTCTACTAAAAATACAAAAATTAGCTGGCCGTGGTGGCACACACCTGTAATCCCAGCTACTAGGGAGGCTGAGGCAGGAGAATCGCTTGAACCCGGGAGGCAGATGTTGCAGTGAGCCAAGATCACACCACTGTACTCCAGCCTGGGTGACAGAGCAAGACTCTGTCTCAAAAATAAATAAATAAAGTATATAAATAAATAAGCTTCTGTTTTGGCTTCCTCCAATGTAGTCTCTTTGAGTAGGAAGAAATTGTTATGATTCAAACTAGTACATTCTTTTTTTTTTTTTTTTTTTTTTTGAGATGGAGTCTTGCTCTTATTGCCCAGGCTGGAGTGCAGTGGCGTGATCTTGGCTCACTGCAGCCGGCTCACTTGAACCGGGTTCAAGTGATTCTCCTGCCTCAGCCTCCCAAGTAGGTGGGATTACAGGTGCCTGCCATCACGCCTGGCTAATTTTTGTAGTTTTAGTACAGATGGGGTTTCACCATCTTGGCCAGGCTGGTCTTGAACTCCTGGTCTTGATCTGCTGACCTATATCCGCCCGCCTCGGCCTCCCAAAGTGCTGGGATTACAGGTGTGAGCCATTGCACCCGGCCGACAGGTAAATTCTTATATCAAAAAACTGAGTTAGACTTGGTCCCTGGAGCTGTTTTCCATCCCTAAAAAGATGATGTCAAGCTATCATGTATAATAAATAACAACTCAATTGACCACATATTTTCCTTTAAGCCTAATGATGAAATAATATTATAATGAAATACTTAGAAGTTTTAAGGGAAAAAATCCTTTAAGTCATTAAATTAAAATTGAAACCAAAACAATAACTTCACTGTTTTAGGATAAAATTGGCATAAGAAAGGTTTGATAGTGAACGACAGTAAGATTAACCTACTACAGCATTTGCCTTTAGCTTTTACTGAGTAATACTTGGAGCTATATATTTATAGCATTTGCTATAAATGTGCAAATGAAGACATTATTTATTGTATTACTGCTGAGATTAATATTGTCTTTTTCAGATTTCTAAAACATTACAGCAAATGCGCACGAGGGCGCTCTAATCAGCTAGATATGGAGAGGGTAGGCATTTGTTGACTGTTAAGTCAAAACTAGTTCTATACTTTTACAGATGGAAAAATCAAGGTCCACCAAAGAGGTTATGATTCTACACGAGTTATTCTCTAGAGGAAACAAATTGGGTATTAGAATTTTGAAAAGATTAAACAGAAATCCCTGTCAGTGAATTTATGCTGGAGAATTTTGACTTTCATCCTAGCAACTCCTTATTGAAAATCTTTACCCATGCCATGATATAATTTATCTTCAATCTTAAATGGGTTTGGTAATAGTGTTTATAAGATGTAGGAGAGTTAATTAGAATATTTATTTTTATGAACTTTTGCTCTATAAAATTAAAAAATGTTAATTGTGCTTCATTTATACTTTTTTTTTTTTTTTCTTTGAGACGGAGTCTTACTCTGTCACCCAGGCTGGAGTGCAGTGGCGTGATCTCAGCTCACTGCAACCTCTGCCTCCCAGGTTCAAGCGATTCTCCTGCCTCAGCCTCCCAAGTAGCTGGGACCACAGGCACGTGCCACCACGCCTGGCTAATTTTGGTATTTTTAGTAGAGACGGGGTTTCACCATGTTGGCCAGGGTGGTCTCGAACTCCTGACCTCAAGTGATCTGCCCGCCTTGGCCTCCCAAAGTGCTAGGATTACAGGTGTGAGCCACCAACACCTGGCCCATTTATACTTAAGGCTGATTCTCAACTGATTTGGGTAAGATCCTTAGTCTTTCCCCATCTCTGACGTAATTCCTAGTTTGTCCTTTGGCTTTCCTGTGTATATAAAGCTACCAGGCTGCTTGCAGATTTTTCGGGGAATAAGTCCCATAAACACTCACAAAGATTTTATTAGGGAGAAGCTATGATGCGAATATAGAATGTAGATTTTTTAAATTTCAAAATCAGTATGGGCCGGGCGCGGTGGCTCACGCCTGTAATCCCAGCACCTTGGGAGGTCGAGGCGGGCGGATCACGAGGTCAGCAGAGCGAGACCATCCTGGTTAACACGGTGAAACCCCGTCTCTACTAAAAATACAAAAAATTAGTGGGCGCAGTGGCAGGCGCCTGTAGTCCCAGCTACTCGGGAGGCTGAGGCAGGAGAATGGCGTGAACGCGGGAGGCGGAGCTTGCAGTGAGCGGAGATCGCGCCACTGCACTCCAGCCTGGGCGACAGAGCGAAGACTCCATCTCAAAAAAAAAAAATCAGTATGTAGAGCTGGGCATGGTGGTGTGTGCCTATTAGCCCAGCCACTGGGGAGGCTGAGGCAGGAGAAGCCCTTGAGCCCAAGAGTTCAAGACTAGCCTGGGCAACACAGCGAGACCCTCATCTCGAAAAATAAATAAATAAATAAATAAAGTATTGCAATATTTATTATATAGGCAAATTTTTTTCAACTTAAGTGCTACCCTCATCAGGGGAAGATTTGTTTGATTAGATCCCCACACAGGCTGGCCGCTTCCTCATTTCTACTTTTTCTTTTCTTTTTGAGATGGAGTTTTGCTCTTGTTGCCCAGGCTGGAGTGCAATGGCGCAATCTTGGCTCACTGCAACCTCCGCCTCCCGGGTTCAAGCGATTCTCCTGCCTCAGCCTCCCGAGTAGCTGGGATTACAGGCACCTGCCACCACACCCGGCTAATGTTTGTATTTTTAGTAGAGATGGGGTTTCACCATGTTGGCCAGATTGGTCTCAAACTCTTCAGTTCAAGCGATCTACCTGCCTCGGCCTCACAAAGTGCTGGAATTACAGGTGTGAGCCACTGCGCCCGGCCTCATTTCTACGTTTTCAAAGAAGTCAATTTTCTTTAAAAAATAAACTCTTTTGGCCACGCGGCGGCTCATTCCTGTAACCCTAGCACTTTGAGACTCAGAGGCAGACGGATCGCTTGAACTCAGGAGTTCAAGACCAGCCTGGCCAACATGGTGAAACCCTGTCTCTACAAAAAATTAGCTGGATGCAGCGGCACGTGCCTGTAGTCCCAGCTACTCAGGAGGCTGAGGCAAGAGAGTCACTTGAGTCCAGGAGGCAGAAGTTGCAGTGAACTGAGTTCACGCCATTGCACTCCAGCCTGGCTGATGGGAGTGAAACCTTGTCTCAAATAAATAAATAAATAAACTCTTATTTAAAAAAAAAAAAAGCAAATCATGAAACAAAACAAAACCCAGGGCTCTGAATGAAAAAGATCTCTCCTTTAGGGGGCTAGGTGATGGAAAGGAAAATAGGTCATGAATTTCATGTTCTCATTTGTCTTCGTTAATGACTTGTATGTATATATATTTCCATTGAAGACATAGATATGCATTTGATCACCTACACTTGTTTGTATTTTGAGTCATAAATTAAGGCATTTCCTGTCCAGAAAGCACCTGACAATCTTATGATAAAAAACATGGAATTTTAAAATCACAAATGCAAATAACAAGCCAGGCACAGTGGCTCACGCCTGTAATCTTAGCTCTTTGGGAGACCAAGGTGGGTAGATTGTTTGAGCTCAAGAGTTTGAGACCAGCCTGGGTAACATGGAGAAACCCTGTCTTTACAAAAAATAAAAAATTAGTGGGGCACGGTGGCATGTGCCTGTAGTCCCAGATACTCAGGAGGCTAAGGTGGGAGGAGTGCTTGAGCCCAGGAGGTCGAGGCTGCTGTGAGCTGTGGTGGCAACACTGCACTCCAGCCTGGGTGACAGAGTGAGACCCTATCTCAAAAAAAAAAGGAGTGCAAATAACAGATGACCTTACAAACATCAAAAGTTATGTCTTTATAATAAGTTTTGTCTACATTCAATGAAATATGTTAGCAAGGAAAAAATGTAGCAGTATGCATATGGCTTTATTTTATCTTGGCCCTGCCCACTACTGTGCCCTCATTTCTTTTCCTTCCCACTGAGTCCTTCCACACTAGCCACACCACAGCAAACCTGACAAGCTTCTGCCTGAAATAGCACCATTGCACTTCTCTTCCCTTTGCCTGAAACATTCTTTTTTTTCTTTTTTCTTTCTTTTTTTTTTTTTTTTTTATGAGATGGAGCCTCACTCTCTCGCCAGACTGGAGTGCAGTGGCACGATCTCAGCTCACTGCAACTTCCACCTCCCTGGTTCAAGCGATTCTCCTGCCTCAGCCTCCCGAGTAGCTGGGATTACAGGTATGCACCACCATGCCCGGCTAATTTTGTATTTTTAGTAGAGACGGGGTTTCTCCATGTTGGTCAGGCTAGTCTCGAACTCCCGACCTCAGGTGATCCGCCCGCCTCGGCCTCTCAAAGTGCTGGGATTACAGGCGTGAGCCCCTGTGCCTGGCCACCACAATCAATTTTAGAATATTTTCATTTCTCTCAAAAAAAAATACCATACCTATGAGCAGTCACTCCCCATTTCCTCCATCCCTCAGTCCTAGGCAACCACTAATTTACTTTCTTTTAGGATAGGATTTGCCTATTTGGACATTTCATATAAATGGAACCATACAATTTGTGATCTTTTGTGACTGGCTTTTTTCAAGTAACCTAATGTTTTCAAGGTTCATTCATGTTATAGCATGTGTCAGTACTTATTTCCTTTTTTTTATGGCTCAATAATATTCTGTTGTAGGAATATAACACATTTCATTTATCTGTTTATCACTTTTTTTTTTTTTTTTTGAGATGGAGTCTCAGTCTGTCACTCAGGCTGGAGTACGGTGGTGTGATCTTGGCTCACTGCGGCCTCCGCCTCCTGGATTCAAGCCATTCACCTGCCTCAGCCTCCCAAGTAGCTGGGATTACAGGCACGTATACCATGTCCCGCTGATTTTTGTATTTTCAGTAGAGATCGGATTTCACTCTGTTGGCCAGGCTGGTCTCGAGCTCCTGAGCTCAAGCAATCCTCCCGCCTTGGCCTCCCAAAGTGTTGGGAGCCACCACACCCAGCTGTCTCTACTTTTTGACTATTATGAATAATGCTGCTATGAACATTCATGTATAAGTTTTTGTGTGGACATATGTTTTCCTTCCCCTTGGGAATATGATGAAGCCTGGCATTGCCAGGTCATATGATAACTCTATGTTTAAGCTTTGGAGGAACTGCCAGACTATTTCCAAAGCAGTTCCAACTTCATTGCAAAGCATTTTACATTCCCTCCAGCAACATATGAGTGTTTCAATTTTTCCACATTTTCTCCAACACTTGTTATTATGTGTCTGTTTATTATAGCCATTCTTGTGAGTGTGAAGTGGTATCTTAACATGGTTTGGATTTGCACTTCCCTGATGGCTAATGATGTTTCTATGGTTTGAATGTTGGAGTCCTCCAAAATTCATGTTATAACCTAAGACCTAATGTGACGATGTTAAGAAGTGAGGCCTTCAAGGTGGTGATTAGGTCATGAGGGCTCTGCCCTCGTGAATGAAATTAATCCCCTTATAAAAAGGCTTCACATAACATTTCTTCTTCTTTTTTCCTTTCTTCTCCTGCCATGTGAAGATGCCACTGCGAGAACGGGAACAATGGAACAGGCCCTCACCAAATGCCAAATGTGCTACCACCTTGATTTTGGATTTCCCAGCCTCCGGAACTGTGAGGAATAAATTTTTTTACTTATAAATTACTTAGTCTCAGGTATTTTGTTATAGCAGCACAAACAGACTAAGACAGAAATTGAGTGTATTTTCTTGTGCTTATTGGCCATTTATTTTCTTTCTTTTATTTTTATTTATTTATTTATTTTTAGGTGGGGTTTTGCTCTGTTGCCCAGGCTGGAGTGCAGTGGTGCAATCTTAGCTCATTGCAACCTCTGCCTCCCGGGTTCGAGTGATTCTTGTGCCTCATCTGCCTGAGTACCTGGGACTACAGGCATGCGCCACAACGCCTGGCTGATTTTTATATTTTTAGTAGAGATGGGTTTTCGCCATGTTGGCCAGACTGGTCTTGAACTCCTGGCCTCAAGTGATCCACCTGCCTTGGCCTCCCAAAGTGTTGGGATTATAGGCATAAGCCACCACCTGGCCCTTATTGGCCATTTGTATGTCTTCTTTGGAGAAATATCTGTTCAGATCTTTTGTCCATTTTAAAATTGGGTTATATCCTTTTTATTATCAAGTTGTAAGAGTTCTTTATGTATTCTAGATCCAAGTCCATTGTCAGATACTGTAGTCTCCCGTATGCTCTCTGCAGTTTCAGTTACCTGCGGGCAGCTGCAATCCCAAATATTACAGTATTTTGAGAGAGAGAAAACTATTCATGTAACTTATGTTAAAGTATATTCTAGCCGGGCACAGTGGCTCACACCTGTAATCCCAGCACTTTGGGAGGCCGAGGTGGGTGGATCACAAGGTCAGGAATTGGAGACCAGCCTGGCCAATATGGTGAAACCCTGCCTCTACTAAAGATACAAAAATTAGCCGGGCGTGGTGGCAGGTGCCTGTAGGCCCAGCTACTCGGGAGGCTGAGGCAGGAGAATCGCTTGAACCTGGGAGGTGGAAGTTGCAGTGAGCTGAGATGGCGCCATGGCACTCCAGCCTGGGTGACAGAGCAAGACTCCATCTCAAAAACAAAAAGTATATTCTAATTGTTCTCTTTTATTATTAGTTATTGTTGTTATTCTATTACAGTGCCTAATTTATAAATTAAACTTCATCATAGGTATGTATGTATGTATAGGAAAAAAACATAGTACATATAGAGTTTGGTACTATCTGCAGTTTCAGGTATACACTGGAGGTCTTGGAACATATTTTGTTACATATATATCTATATATTTATAAATATATATTTATATATAGCTATATATTTATGTATCTATATATCTATAAATATATGTTTATATATCTATATTAATCTATATCTATATATGAATATATAGGTAGATAAATAAATATATACATATATATATATTTTTTTTTTGAGATAAGGTCTCGGTCTATCGCCCAGGCTGGGATACATTAATGTTATCTTGGCTCACTGCAGCCTCAACCTCCTGGGCTCACGTGATTCTCCCACCTCAACCTCCCAAGTAGCTGGGACCACAGGCACATGTCACCACATCTGGGTAATTTTATTTATTTATTGTAGAGATAGGGTATCCCTATGTTGCCCCGGTTAGTCTTGAGCTCCTGGGCTCAAGTGATCCTCCCACCTCAGCTTTCCAAAGTTCTGGGATTACAGGCATGAGCCACTGCGTCTGGCTACATATTTTCCACAAATAAAGTGAGCCTACTTTGTATATAATTTGCAAGTATTTTCTCCCATTCTGTGGGTTGTCTTTCACTTTTTTTTTCTGGAGTCCTCCAAAATTCATGTTATAACCTAAGACCTAATGTGATGATGTTAAGAAGTGAGGCTTTCAAGGTGGTGATTAGGTCATGAGTGCTCTGCCCTCGTGAATGAAATTAATGTGCTTATAAAAAGGCTTCACATAGCATTTCTTCTCCTTTTTTTGCCTCAGCCTCCTGAGTAGCTGGGATTACAGACGTGTACTACCATGCATGGCTAACTTTTGTATTTTTAGTAGAGACAGGGTTTCACCATGTTGGCCAGGCTGGTCTCAAACTCCTAACCTCAGGTGATCAGCCCGCCTCGGTCTCACAAAGTGCGGGGATTGCGGGCGTGAGCCACCATGCCCGGCACATGCATCAGTTTTTAATGCTTCCTTGGTTGGACTGATTAACCAGTCAACTACTGGTTCCAGTAAGGTTGGATGAGGTGGCGTATACTCTACTTATTTGCCGCCCCCGCTTCTTCCTTTTTTTTCAGACAGGGCCTTTGACGCGCTGGCTGGAGTGCCGTGGTGTGATCTTGGCTCACTGCAGCCTCAACTTCCTGGGCTCAAGCAGTCTTCCCACCTCAGCCTCTAAGTAGCTGGAACTACAGATGTGTGCCCCTATGCCTGGCTAATTTTTGTATTTTTGTCGAGACGGGGTCTCCCCATGTTGCCCAGGCTGGTCTCCAACTCCTGGGCTCAAGAGATCCGCCCACCTTGGCCTCCCAAAGCCCTGGGATTGCAGACATGAGCCACTCTGCCTGGCAACTTGTAACAGTTCTTTGTATGTTCTTGATACAAGTCAGTTGTCAGATACAGCGGTAGTACATAATTAAACATAATTATATAGAACTATATTTTATATAAGCGCAGCATTATATGAAATAGCAAAAATTTGGAAATAACCAAATGTCCAACAATAGGTAGTTAGCTAAGTAAATTGTGAAACATCCATGTAATGAAAGCTATACAACTATAAAAAATGATCTAGATCTATTTATACTGACATCGACAGATGTCTAACATAAATTACATGAAAATAGGAAGTGACAGAGAAGAGAGTATGGTATAATCTCATTTACATTAAAGTAATCAAATTGATTCTTGGACTCTTGATTCTTGGACCTGTGAATCCTGGCTATAGGAGAAACAGTACCATATATTGGATGCTGATTCAGAGCATACATGGCCTTCTGGAGAACTTTGCCCCAGCCCTGCAAAGTATTGTCATAGTGACTCCAAAAGGCCATTCCACCATTCTATCAATCCAGCTGCTTCAGGATGATGGAGAACATGGTAAGACCAGTGAATTCCATGAGTATGAGCCCACTGCCACACTTCTTTAGCTGTAAAGTGAGTGCCTTGGTCAGAGGCAATGCTGTGTGGAATTCCATGCTGGTGGATAAGGCAATTTCATGAGTCCACAAATGGTAGTCTTGACAGAAGCATTGCATACAGGATAGGTAAACCCATATCAGGAGTAAGTGTCTATTCCAGTGAGGACAAACCTCTGCCCTTTCCATGATGGAAGAGGTCCAATATAATCAACCTGCCACCAGGTGGCTGGCTGATCACCCCGAGGAATAGTGTCATATTGAGGGCTCAATATTGGTCTCTTCTGTTGGCAAATTGGACACTCAGCAGTGGCCATAGCCAGGTCAGTCTTGGTGAGTGGAAGTCTATCTTGCTGAACCCATGTGTAGCCTCCATCCCTGCCACCATGGCCACTTTGTTCATGGGCCCATTGGGCGGTGACAGGGGTGGCTGGGGAAAGAGGCTGAGTAATGTCCACATTACGGCTCATCCTCTCCACTTGATTGTTAAACTCCCCCTCCACTGAGGTCACTCGAGCACTCACATGAGATACAAATATCTTCACAGTTTTTGACCATTCAGAGAGGTCCATGTACATACTTCTTCCCCAAATTTCTTTGTCACCAATTTTCCAATCATGCTTCTTCCAAGTCCCTGACCATCCAGCCAAGCCATTGGCTACAGCCCAGGAATCAGTGTATAATTGCACATTTGTCCATTTCTCCTTTCATGCAAAGTGCACAACCAGGTGCACTTTTCAAAATTCTGCCCACTGGGAACATTTCCCTTCACCGCTATACTTCAGGGATGTCCTAGAAAGAGGGTGTAGTGCTGCAGCTGTCCACTTTTGGGTGGTGCCTGTGTATTATGCAGAACCGTCTGTGAACCTGGCCCTAGTCTTCTGTTACTCTGTCAACTGATCATAGGGAACTCCCCATGAGGCCATCAGTGCAGGCTGGGGGAGAGAAGGCAGGTGGCAGGAGTGAAGACCCTGGGCATTTGAGCCATGTCCTCATGTAACTTACTTGGCCTTCAGGACCTGCTTGAGCCTGATCACATATATACCACTTCCACTTGATGATGGAATGCTGCTGTGCATGACCCACTTTATGGCTAGATAAGTCAGAAAACACCCAGTTCATGACAGGCAGTTCAGGTCACATGGTGACTTGATGACCCATAGTCAAACGTTCAGTTTCCACCAAAGCCCAGTAACAGGCTAAGAGCTGTCTCTCAAAAGGAGAGTAGTTATCTGAACTAGATGGCAGGGCCTTGCTCCAAAATCCTAGATGCCTCTGCTGTGATTCACCTATGGGAGCCTGCCAAAGGCTCCAAACAGCATCCCTATTTGCCACTGACACTTCAGGCACCACTGGACCTGCTGTGTCTTATGGTCCAAGTGGCAGAGCAGCTTGCACAGCAGCCTGGACCTATTGCAGAGCCTTCCCCTGTTCTGGACCCCACTCAGAACTGGCAGCCTTTCAGGTCACTAGATAAATGGGCCAGAGTAACACACCCAAATGAGGAATGTGTTGTCTCCAAAATCCAAATAGGCGCACTAGGCATTGTACCTCTTTCTTGGTTGTAGGAGGGGCCAAATGCAGCAAGTTATCCTTTGCTTTAGAAAGAATATCTCGGCAGGGCCCATACCACTGAATCCCTAGAAATTTTACTGAGGTAGAAGTTCCCTGAATTTTAGTCAGATTTATTTCCCATCCTCTGGCATGCAAATGTCTCACCAATAAGTCCAGTGTGTTTGCTACTTTTTGCTCACTGGATCCAATCATCATAATGTCATTGTAATGGACCAGTGTGATATCTTTCAGAAGCAAAAAGTGATCAAGGTCTCTCTGAATAAGATTATGACGCAAAGCTGGAGAGTTGATATACCCGTGAGGTAGGACAGTAAAGGTATATTGCTGACCTTGCCAGCTGAAGGCAAATTGCTTCTGGTGGGCCTTATGGACAGGAATGGAGAAAAAGGCATTTGCTAAGTCAATACCTGCATACCAGGTACCAGGAGACATGTTAATTTGCTCAAGCAATGAAATCACATCTGGTTTCATTGGAAACCAGCTGCAATTGGAGTCACAACTTGGTTAAGCTTATGATAATCCACTGTCATTCTCCAAGGTCCATCTGTCATCCACACAGGCCAAATGGGAGGCTTGAATGGAGAGGTGTTGGCAATCACCATCCCTGCATCCTTCAAGTCTTGATGGTGACACTAATTGCAGTCCCTCCAGGGATGTGATATTGTTTTTGATTTACTATTTTTCTAGGTAGAGGCAGCTCTAATGGCTTCCATTTGGCCTTTCCCACCATAATAGCTCTCACCCTACCAGTCAGGGAGCCAATGTAGGGGTTCTGCCAGCTGTTGAATATATCTATGCCAATTACACATTCTGTCATTGGGGAAATGACCACAGGATGAATCCAGGGACCCACTGGGCCCACTGTAAGTTGGACCTGAGCTAAAACTCCATTAATTACCTGACCTCCATAAGCCCCTAATTTAACTGGAGGAACACAGTGACATTTTGTGTCCCCTGGAATCAACGCCAAATCAGAGCCAGTGTCCAGAAGTCCCCAAAATATATGATCATTTCTCCTTCCCCAGTGCACAGTTACCCTGGTAAAAGGCTGGAGGTCTCCTTGGGGAAGGGTGGGAGAAAGATTCACTGCATAAATTGTCAGTAATGTAGTGGGGTCCTTCCTCAAGGGGACCCGGCCTCCGCTTCATTCAAGGGTTTTTGGGTCTCTAAACTGGCTCAATCCTGGAAATTGATTGAGGGGCCGTGATTCTCTGTTTTTATGATTCAAATTAGTCGTTTGTCCATTTGACCTGGAAGTTCTTTGTTTGTATAATTTAAGTAGGAATGCAGTAGGCTTCCTATCAATTTCACTTCTAGGAACACCATGATTAATTAGCCAATGCCAGAGCTCTACACGAGTCAGACTATTCTGATTGCCACTTTGCCTCTGCTGTCCATTACAGTAGTTATGCCCACCTTGCCTTTCATGGTTGAGTGCTGCCACTTAGCCCCTGCTACCTTGGGATCCAATTATTCCCATTGTATTTAAATTTTGTAGTTGAGTGACTGCAGTTCCCACCGTTAGATCTGACATACAGAGAAGAGCAATCACAGGGCTCTTCAAAGATGCTGGTGCCATGCTTGCAAATCTGTTTCGCAAGCTATTGTTCAAGGGTATATCTTCGGGACCCTCCCCACTGGGATAAGTAGGTCTAAAATGACTAATCCACTCCACCATCCCAATCTCCCTAAGCCTTCGGATCCCTTCCTCTACATTAAACCAAGAGAGATCAGGCATTTCCAGCTTGCTCACAGTGGGCCATCTTTTAATCCATATTTCAGCTATCCAAGCAAATAAACTATTAGAATCTTTTGTAACTCCCCAAGCTGCAACATTAAATGCAGAATCCCTACTTAGGGGCTCAAATCAATAAATTCAGCCTGATCCAACTCTATGTTCCTTCCACCATTATTCCATACCCTTAATATCAATTCCCATGCATGTTCTCCAGATTGCTGTTTTTATAAATTAGAGAACTCAAACAGTTCTTTTGAAGTGCCGTGCACCTCCTCATGGATCACACTCTCAACCTCACCTCCAGGGGCCCACTGGGACTTTAGTCTATTTACAGGTCTAGACTGTCATCAATGTAATGGACCAGACTTTAGTCTAGTTACAGGTCTAGACTGTCATCAATGTAGTGGACCACGAAACAGGGGTGTTGGGGTGGCTCCTGAGGAGAATCAACATTATTTTGCCTGGCAACTGCCTCAGAGGAGGCCATCACTGTTGCCTCAGGCAGCACAGGGTTTATCTCCTCAGACAAAGGTGGAAAGGCTGATGGCACCACGGGTCGGGAGTGGATGTTGCTACTACTGGGGATGGGGAAGCTGTTCCTTCTGGCAAAAAAGGTTCATCAGAGTTTACAAACTCAGTGTCCCCAGCTTCATCTGAGTGCTCCCACATTTCCCCATTCCAAGTTGCAGGGTCCTATTCTTTTCCAATCAATGCCCTCACTTTAACAGTAGACACCTAGTGAGTCTGTACATGCACCTTTTGTTGCAGGTCAGCCACTTGCATGATAAGAATTTGTGTTTGTTTTTTCACAATTTCAGCTCTTTCTCTACAGAAGATAAGGGTCTCACTCAGGGCAATCTTAGCAGATTTGAGGCTCAGTATCTGCTTCTGAAGCCAGGAGACATAATCCCTGAGCTCATCGTTTTCTTTCATCACTTTGTCTATTGAACTCAGGAGCAACCAACCAGCTTCATTATGTTCCTTGGTTCTCCACATATGGTCAAAGGTATTATGTATAGAGTCACTAAACTCCTTGCCTCTCATGAGCAGTGAATCAGGAGTGCCAAATGCATTTACTTTGCTTAACTCTCTAAACAGTTCACACCAAGGACTATCAGTGTTCTCCATACTATTAGACGTAGAGTCCTTAGCATTTTGGGGTCTAACCATATTAAGCAGCCAACTCTAGAAAACCCAAAACCAATGAAAGAACTCCACTCTTAATATTCCATTTCTCTAGAACCACTCCTGGTACCAAAATCTGGATTAGTCAGGGTCCTCTTAGAGGGACAGAACTAATAGGATATATATAGATAGATAGATAGATAGATAGATAGATAGATAGATAGATAGATATAGATATATATATACACACATATTAGGATATATATAAATATATAATATATACAAATAAATCATATATGTGTAAGTTAACATTTAATATGTATATATTATATAACACATATTATATATATAACACATATATATACATATATATAAGTGTAAGTTAACACTTAATAAATCCCATATATATATGGGATTTATTAAGTGTTAACTTACAAGATCACAAGGAAACAACCAGCAGAGGAGAAAGATGTAGGCTGGGAGGCTAGGCCCTCTCTCCTTTTCCAAGTCCCTAGCAGAAAGACAAGAGGACCCCCTAAGCAAATGAATCAGGAGTCACTGTAAATAACAAATGTCTCCTTGAGGAGCCCAGGGACATAGGGTCCTGAGATTTAGAAGCAGCTAACACTGCCTGAAGAAATTATTTCCCTGCAGCTGTGCTGGTCTCCCAGTTGGGAATGTTTCCATAGAAGGGGAGAGTCTCCCAGACCATCCTCCATCAAGTCCCATCAAGCCCATCTTCCCTGAAAAAAATTAATTTTGATTTTCTCATTCCTTCTGAATATATATATTTTACACACTTATCATGTAGAGCCATCCCTTGGTATCCACAGGGGATTGGTTCTAGGAATTCTCATGGCTTCCAAAATCTACACATGCTCTAGTCTCTGATGTAGCATAGTATTTGCCCATAACCTATGAACATCCTCCCATATACTTTAATCTCTAGATTACTTAGAATACCTAAACAATGTAAATGCTATTCATAAATGTAAATGTAGATCATTGTTATACTGCATTGTTTTTTATTTGTTTTTCTTTTTTCTTTTTTAGTTTTTGAGACAGCATATTGCTCTAGCGCCCAGGCTGGAGTGCAGTCATGTCATCTCAGCTGTTTGTAACTTCCGCCTCCTGGGCTCAAGCGATCCTCTTGCCTCAGCCTCCCAAGTAGCTGGGACTACAAGCATGTGCCACCTCACCCAGCTAATTTTGGTACTTTTGTAGAGAAGGGGTCTTGTTATGTTGCCCAAGCTGGTCTAGAATGCCTAAGCTCAAATATTCCTCCCACCTTAGCCTCCCAAAGTGCTGGGATTACAGGTGTGAGCCACTAAACCTGGCCTATTGTGTTTTTTTCTTCCCCAAATATTTTCCATCCATCATCGGTTGAATCCACAGATTTGGATCCCACATATTCAAAATGTCGACTGTATCTAAAAATGAAACTATTTAAAAGGTAGAAAAATGCAGCCACAATTTTGTCTCTCAATTCTTTTCTTCTATTTTCCTGTATGCTAGACTCAGTTGGGAACCCAAGACAGAAGGAGTTTAGAAGGGAGAACAGGTAGAGATAAGTGGGAAAGAGAGGGTTTTAAGGCCCTCAAATCTGTAAAGGGTGAATGCAGACTGCAGTACAGGACTGCCAGCTGGTCTCTGGTCTCAGCCTCCAGGAAGAACTGTGGCTATGTCACCATCCTCAGCTCATCTTGCTCCTTTGATCCCTGCCTCTGCTTGCTCGGCTCCTGGCCTCCTTGGAGGAAAATGCCTGTATCAATGGGAGCATGATGGAGGGTTCCAGGTTGAGGTGGGATGGGGGATAAAGACATGTTTGCATGAACATGTCCTAAAGGAACATGTACATAAGGAAATGGACTCCCATCTGGAGAGTGAGCTGGGGGAGGTGGGCACTGCAAGGAGTAGGAAAATAGGCCGGATGCCTAGAAGTTGCTCCATAATCCATAGTTCCTTTCGAGTGTCCTGCTTTGTCTGTTCTGGCTTTTGCCCCCACCCGGAAACCTGGAGAAACCTCAACTGGAACGTCAAGTAAGCAGATTCCAGCTCTCTGGGCCCAGGGTGAGAAAAGGAAGTTGTATGAAAAGAGGAGAAAGGAAAAAAACAGTCTCATATTGTGCAACAGGTGAAGTCCCACATTGCCCCTTCGAGGATTCCATTCTGCTGTTTGTAATTCCTGGTAAGCATTTCTTCATGAGGCTGCCCTGGCCTCCTGCAGCCTTCCCTGGTGGCCTTGCCTCTGTGGAGCTGAGCTCCTCCCTTTCCATTAGCTGAGGGGCAGGGAGGATTGGGAAAGGGACTCCATCATGAGGGAGGATACCGGGACTCTGGCCCTAACCCTGCCTGCTCACTAACAATGAACCAGAGACAGGTCATGGTTCTGCTCTGGGCTGCATCTGACAGATGAGAGGATGGACTCTTTCCCAGATAGGAATCCAGGACCCCTCAGAGCACCCTAGATGTCTCAAGAAGAGGCATGCTTCCTAAGGGTCTTGGACCCTGGATCAAGCCTCAGCCCCAGAACTCAGTTGCTGAAGCAGATCTCCTCTTGGAATGCCTCTCCTCATTATAGTTCATCTCCTTGAGGTGTGTCCCTCTCACCCTGGGTTCCTCCTGCAGGGAGATTTGGCTCACCCTCTAGAATGCTCCCTTTCCTGCCACACTGAGCTATTGGGGGTCACTATCAGTGACACATCAGTTGGTGGTTGTATTTGTTTCCTATTGCTGCTGCAAAAAATTACCACACACTTAGTGTCTTATGACCACATATTTATTCTCTAAAAGTTCTGGAGGTGAGAAGTCTGAAATTAGATTCACTGGGACACTCCCTTTGGAGGCTCTAGGGGAGGAACAATTTCCTTGCCATTTGCAGCTTCTAGAGCTGCATCCTAAAACCTCTTCACTCCTGGCCTCTTCTTCCATCTTCCAAGCTGGTAGCATAGCATCTTGCTTCTGCTGTCACATTGCTACCTTCTCCTCTATTACCAAATTTTTCTCTTCCTTCCTCTGGTAAGGACACTCACAACTACATTTAGGGCCTGACCAGATAATTCAAGGTAATCACTCCATCTCAAGATCCATAACTTGATCATATCTCCAAAGTCCCTTTTGCCATACAAATTGACATTCACAGGTTCTGGGGAATAGGATGTGGATGTCTTGGGGGCCATTATTCAGCTACCATAGTGATCTATACCTTGTCTCTGGCTTGGGGTCATCCATTCTCTCTCCCATCCCGTCCCCTCAGAATAGAATTGTGTATCTTTCTCCAAATCTGCACCCTAATCTTACAGACCATCCCAACTGCTCCTCCCTTCACTCTCTTTAGGCTCTGAGAACATTCTAGGAGACTGCTCTCCAACAGAACTTTCTGCAATGATGGACAGAAAGTCCATAATGCATGCTGTCTAACCTGGTAACTAGCCATGTTACCAAGGTCTACTGAGCACTTGAAATGTGACTAGTGTGACTCAGGAACTAAATTTTAAATTTTATTTCATTTTAATTAAATGTAATGAAAATGTAAATAGCCGCTTTGGCCAGTGGCTAACATATTAGATAGCTCGGATCTAGGCAAATGAAAGCAGAAACTATGGCCAGGCACATTCTTTGCTGCTAGCCTCTTCCCACACCTGTTTTGGATCAGCTCTGCCCCCTAACCTCCTTCTCTCAGTGCCCGCAGAATCTGAAGTAAGTTTCCACTGGGGCTCTGGAATGACAGAGGTGACTAAGGGCAGGACAAAGAAAGGAATTGTGTCTGTTGACCCCAGAGAAGTACAGGGCCCCAGTTCTGCTTTTGCACAGGACTAACAACACTCAAATGATTTTCAAGGTAGTCTCTGCCTTGTCCTTACTCAACCGGTCTCCCTTTTGAGGACCACAGAGGTGTGTCACTAGGGAATGTGTGCAGGAAAGGGCCTGAGCTTGGGAGCTGGCACTGGCCAGGCTCCTGCTCTGCTATGTACTCGTTGAGTGGCACGTGGCAAGTTACTTCCCAGGCCTTCTCCCTCAGTTTCCATAAAATGAGAGGGTTGGACCAGATGGTCTAAAGTTTCCTTTTAGCTTTAGTAGACCATGAGTCTATGTCCTGTGGATCAGGCTTTATTGTGCATGTAATTCAATTTCAGAGCCATGTAGTCTCTGACCCATGGAATGGGAGTACTGATTGAAGGATAATTAAGTAGAAGTGGCTTTAGGTTACTCCTGCAACACTTCCAAACAAAACCAGACCTCCATCCTTCTGTCATCATGACAACACTTCACAGTAACTTGGGCTTTAGAGTGCTGATCTGTCAACTAACTAATCTAATCCTCATGATGATCCTGACAATTGTTAGGTCCATTTTAAGTGAAAAGGCTGAGGCTCAGAGGGGGAAGGAGAGAATCTTCCAGGTGCCCAGTCCCATGATGGGTGCTTTACACATCACCTCGTAACAGCCCTTCGAAGGGGTTAATATTATCTACATTTCACACTTGTGAACACTGAGGTCTAATAAAGCAAGATGACTTTCCCAATGTTATGCTGATAATAATATGATGAAGTCACTTTTCTCACTCTTCTTCCGCCTTTGCTGTGCTGCTTCCCCTCTTTACAACTCCCCCCACAAGATGTTGAAATGATAACCTCCTTTTTAAAGGCATTTTTTCATGACACTCCCCAAGCAGACCTACTAGCCTCAGCAAGTCACTTCACCTCTCTGTGCCTCTCTTTCCTTAACTGTGAAACTGGGGGCAACAGTCCCTACTTCATAAGGGTGTTAAAACCCTTGTTGAAAGTACGCAGTGAGATCATGTATTAAGAGTGTTCAGCCCAGAGCTCATATTAAGGACTCAGCAATTGCGCATTCTTACTGCTTTTGGAAACTGTAGCTTGCCCCACCGCCCAATGGTACCAGGCAATTCCTTTTACCCCCAAATCAAATTAAAATCACAAAGAAACTGTTTGCATTTTATTTTAAAGTTTTATTATGAAAACACATGGAATTAACGGTGTTATCCATGTATTTGCAACAGCAGAGAAAGAGTGAGAGTGGACCATCCCCATAGGGGACACTTATCCTTTGGCTAAACTAATATAAATAATGGAAATAACACCTAATACAATAATACAGCACATAAAAGAGATTACATTAAGAGAAGAGACAGGAACTGCGGAGAGGAGTCCTGAGTATGGAGGAGATGCGGCTCATGGAGAAGCATCCAGGCTCAGGTGACCTTCCCTGAAGACTTCCTGTCTCTGAGCAGCTCAGTTCAGTTCCAGGTCATACACGTACTCCTGGACCCAGGACTCACTGGGGTCAGCGCAGACTTGCTTGCCTCTTTTGGTTTGGAATCCGTAGAACAAGGAGCAGACAGATTAGAATCCCATGGGACCTTTGAGGTCATCTGGCTTTATCCCTTGCCTGTGGTAGGCATCTTCCTCTGCCTGACCATGGTCCATGTGGGGCAGCTCTGGTGGATGGGATCCTTCCCGGAGCAGCACTGGAAGCAGACTCCCTGTAACTTCCACTCACTGGATTTAGCTGTGGGCCCCAGGGGTTGCCCAGATTAGGAACCAGTGGGCATTGCAATCAGTATGAATAGATTGCCCCATTCCCTGCCAGCCTGGTAGTGACTTTTCCACATGTTTTTCTAGCATGGTTTAAGGAATTGGTCCATATCTCACGGGACCTGTCTGCCTTCCCCTGCTTCCCTGTCCTCTGAATAACTTCCTCCCCAGGAACCCCCTTCTGTCTCGGCTGCCACTCAGCCGCCTTCAGCACTTGAAAAGTGAGTTCATGACCTGTGACCTCACTGCTGTCAGGGAAGGCTTCAGCCCTGAGAGCTGCCTCCCCAACGCTCATCACCCCCTCCCCAAAACAGGCCCCCTTTAAAAATCCAGCCCTCACCCTTGCCTCCCAGGGCAGCCAGGGGTTGATACTCACACCACAGCTGGCTGGGAGCAGAGGCTGCTGGTCTCATAGTAATCTACCACAAAGTTGCGAGGAAGCTTCCTCGCGGTGTAAGAAAAGCAGCAGGCGGTGGGAGGGTCTGAGCCCACTGAAAGGAAAGGCCAGGGTGAGATCAACACTGCCCATGGGAGCTGTTTATTTTGACTTCTAATTTTGCATCTTCATTGAGCATCCCTGTGGAGCTACCAGAACCCCAAATATGGTCCCTTGTATCCATTCCCACCTAACATGAGCAGGAGTCTTATTCTGAATAGTGGATCTTCAGAGAAGAACGAGAAAGAAATCTAGAAGATTGGAACTGGATTCAGTCTCAGAACACATCGCACTCCCTTCATATGACAGATGGGGAAACCAAGGCACAGAGAGGGACAGGGGCTTGCTTGAACAAATAATTAAAGGCAGAGCCAATTCAACAGTCTGACTTCCAGCCCATCGTTTTCCTCTGCTGGTTGCTAATTCTTAAGAAAATAGGAACTTGAATGTTACTGAATATCTACTAGACTCTACATTTAGCAGCAGACTACATGGCAATCTTCCTAGCTGCCTTTTGTCCCATCCCCAGATCCCACTGTTTGCCAGCCATGACTAGAAAAAAGGACTCTGCCTACACCTTGACTCGAAATAGCAGCTGCAAAAGTAGACTTACTTGGTGCTGAGAGTGCTAGAGAGCAGAAGGCAGCTACTAGCACGAGGAGAGACAGGACAGTCACGCAGAGCTTCATGGTATTGGTGGCAAAGAGGTTTTCTCAGAGGTGAGGCTGCAGAACTCAGAAGCTTCAGAACCTAGCTGTGTCCTGTGCTGATACTGAGTTGGGAATCTCTCTTTATAGGGACTCTGAGGCCTAGGACAAATGTGGGGGCACAGGAGAGTGAGTGGAATTTCCATGGTAGAGATGATGTCATGGCTCCTGAAGCTAGCTGAGTGAGGAGTTCCTCTCAGCTTCTCTTCCCCAGGGCGATGTCATCATAGAGGAAAGATGAGGGAGGTGCAGGCGAGAAGAAAAGGGAAGTGGTACAGCCAAAAGCAGTGACCGAGACTGGGGAGAGAGTTGCAAACCCCAGAGGAAAAGATGAAATGTTCACACCTGCTACAAGTGGCTTGTAGACAAGAACTGTGCTGCTCTTGGTGGTTGGCACCCCCAGATGCTGGAGGGTTCATGCCAGTCTTTCCAGGCTGGCCACAGTCCTGGCCCCAAGAACAAAGCGGGAACCAGGACTCCCCCATCCCCTTCCTGTGCCTTCTTCTGCTGAGCTCAGTGCCACTGACTTTTGTGCCCTATATGTTTCCTTGGGCATGAAGAGTCCAGCATTGGATGTGCGGAGGGACCCAGTAGGGTGGCTCAGGAACATTTGTAAGTTCTTATTGGACACTTACCTTGTACCAGGCACTGGGAAAGCTGTGTTACACATATTATATATAATCCTACCATAATCTTGAGCAGGGGTGTCTAATCTCATTTTACAGATAAGGCAATTGGGGATCAGAGAGTGGTCCACTGATGGCGCTCAATGCCACAGAGCTGATGAATGGCACTGCCAAGATTTGAATCAAGATTCGAATCAAGATTCATCTGACTCCAAAGTCCATTTTCTTTCCATGCTGTAGTCTCCAGAATAAACATAGAGTGTGACCACAAAGAGAAACCATTGACTGATAGACTGCTAGGAGCTATTCCACACTCAAAGACCGATTATACTCAGACTTAATTCAGGGAAGGGATAGGGCTAGTCTGTCCTAGGACAAGGAGGGAACGGAGAAGAAATAAAGATTTCAAGATATTTTCTTGGACCAGCAAAAGACCAGGACAAATTAACCAGTAAGAATCAAGTCTGGAAGACCCAGATAGAGAATGTTCTTCTAGTATAAAAACAGAATTGAGCTGGGTACAGGGCCTCACACCTGAAATCCCAGCACTTTGGGAGGTCAAGGCAGGCAGATTGCTTGAGCCCAGAAGTTTGAGACCAGCCTGGGGAACATGGTGAAACACTGTCTCTATAAAAAACACACATACAAAAAAAAAACTTGACTGGGAGTGGTGATACACACCTGTAGTCCCAGCTGCTCAGTAGGCTCAGGTGGGAAGATCACCTGAGCCCAGGAAAGTCCAGGCTGCAGTGAGTGGTGATTGTGCCACTGCACTCCAGCTTGTTTGACAGAATGAGACCCTGTCCCAAAAACAAAGCAAAGCAAAACAAAACAAAGCAAAACAAACCAAAACAAAACAAAACAGAATTATATACCTAGTAATGAGTTTATCTATGTTACAGGCAAAATGTGTAATCTAAGGATGTGGGTGTGTCCCAGCCAGTCCATAGGGAATGCCCATGCTCATGTTAAGCCCTGGCTGGTTTGACAGTTGCTGGGCACCTGTACAGAAGGTGAAGCTTACAAAGGCCCTGCATACAGGAGTGTGCAAGGTTGGACAAATGAAGGGAATGAGGATAATTGGATCAAGACCTCTATCTGCCTTTAGCTCCACTACTCTAACCCACCTGCTCACCTTTAACCCCACATTGTTACCTGCTCTTCTCTGAGAAAGAAAAAAGAAGAGTAAAAAAAGGGAGCCATGACTTCAAACTATACCACAGGGCTGCAGTAACCAAAACAGCATGGCTTTGGTACAAAAACAGACTCATAGACCAATAGAACAAAATAGAGAGCTCAGAAATAATGCTGCATACCTGCAGCCATCCGAACTTTGACAAAGTTAACAAAAACAAGCAACAGGGAAAGGACTTCCCAGTCAATAAATGGTACTGGGATAACTGGCTAGCTGTATGCAAAAGATTGAAACTGGACCCCTTCCTTACACCATCTGTAAAAATCAACTCACAATGGGTTGAAGACTTAAATGTAAAACCTAAAATATAAAACTATAAAAATATGATACCTGTAAGATAACCTAGACAATATGATTCTGGGCATAGGATCTGGCAGATATTTCATGATGAAGATGCCAAAAACAAATCACAACAAAACCAAAAACTGACAAATGGGATCTAATTAAACTAAAGAGCTTCTGCACAGCAAAAGAAATTATCAGCAGAGTAAAGAGATAACCTACAGAATGGGAGAAAATATTTACAAACTATGTATCTCACAAAGGTCTAATATCCAGAATCTATAGGGAATTTAAACACATGTACAAGCAAAAAACAAACAACTCCGTTAAAACGTGGGCATTGAACATAAACAGACACATTTCAAAAGAAGACGTACACGCGGCCAAGAAACATACAAAAAATGCTCAGCACCACTAATCATTAGAGAAATGCAAATTAAAACCACAATGAGATACCATCTCAAACCAGTCAGGATGGCTATTTTTAAAAAGTCAAAAAATAACAGATGTTGGTGAGGCTGTGGAGAAAAGGAACACTTATACACTGCTGGTGGGAATGTAAATTAGTTCAGCCATTGTGGGAAGCAGTTTGGCGATTTCTCAAAGAACTTAAAACAGAATTACCATTCAACCCAGCAATCCCATTATTGGGTATATACCCAAAGGAATATAAATCATTCTACCATAAAGACATGTGCACATGTATGTTCATCGCAACAGTATTCACAATAGCAAAGACATGGAATCAACCTAAATGCCCACTGATGGTAAACTGGATAAAAAAAATTTGGTATATATATATATATATATATAATGGAATACTTCTCAGTCATAAAAAAAAGAACAAGATCATGCCCTTTGCAGCAACATGGATGGAGCTGGAGGCCATTATCTTAAGCGAACTAACACAGGAACAGAAAACCAAATACTGCATGTTCTCACTTATAAGTGGAAGCTAAACATTGAGTACACATGGACACAAAGAAGGGAACAGCAGGCACCAGGGCCTACTTAAGGGTGAAGGGTGGGAGGAGGGTGAGGATAAAAAAAACTACCTATTGGGTACTATGCTTATTACCTGGGTGATGAAATAATCTGTACACCAAACCCCCCGCAACACACAACTTACCTATATAACAAACCTGCACACGTACCCCTGAACCTAAAATACAAGTTAAGAAAAAAAGGGACCCACAGCATCTGGGAGCCACAGGAGAGGTTGGAGCAGCATCCTGGGGTACTTCAGGGTCATTAAATAAAGTACAAGGTCATCCTGCCTCAGCACTCTCCCTCCCTCCCCACCCGCACACACAAGCTGCACTTCTCTCATCTGTTCTCTCCCCCTTTTCTTTGTACAGCTCTTGCTTCAAATGTTCTGATCTTCTCCAAGACCCTCGCCCCCAGCTGTAATGTTCCGTGTTGCCTGATAGCAGATGTGTTAGTACCTCTCCTGGCCTTTCCTAGTTGGTGCAGTTTCATCTTCATGCATCAAGGACCTCACTTTAAGGGAAGCAGTATGTGTTTCATGTTCTCTGGATTCACGCAGACTTCGTTATTTATGACATTTTTGTTCAGCCCAATGTACTAACCATCTGCTCTTTGCCAGGGCAGACAGAGCTGAACGAAGCCCCATCCCTGCCCTCGAAGAGTTCCATGTCTAGTGATGGCATTGACAGTGACAGAAATAACTATCCCAAGAGGTGGAATAAGCTAAGTGTCATGTCAGAGGAAGAAACAAAGTGTCAGGAAGCCTGAAGGATGGAGAAGGCTGTCTATTAGCTGTAGATGAGTAGTTTCAAGTTAAGTCTCAATTCCCACTAGAGCAGCTGTCTGAATGAGCAGGGTGGAGGGGTTAGGAGGAAGCCTGTTCTGGGGCTTCAGGAGAATAATGATTGATAAAATGGGTGATTAGCCATCACTGAGCCATACAATGAGTTTGTCTGTTGACTTTTGTTTCCTCGCCTTGATCTGATCTTTGGCTCATGGGGGTAAAACGTTTTGATGGATCTTCATGAAGATCCTAACAACAATACTATGTCTGCACCAGTGGAAGTCCACACTGAGAGTAAAAAGGACTTGTATCATTTTGTTCAGCAATATTAACTTACCCCCCACCCCCAACAAGATTTAGACACTGGTGCCATTTAGAACTCCTGGAGGGCAAACGTGGAGACCGGAAAGCCAAGAAGAGCCAATAAACAAATGATTCTCAAATACATGACAAAAAAGATGTTCATCTTCTCTAGAGAAACTTCCCTGATCTCTTTCCCAAGTAAACTCTGTATCCTTCACTGTGCTCCTACAGTCTCCTGAACTACTTCCTTCTTACCACCTATCACATATTTATCTATTCATGTGGTTTCCTCCCCGACTAGAAAGTGAGCTCCTTGATGCAGAAACTATGTTATGCTTATCTCCATGGAGGGGATGTGATGAGTAATATGGACTCAAGATGTGGACCCCTATATAGCCAAATGAGTAAACCAAGTATGAATGAACTGGGTGTTCTGACATTCCACCCAAAAGGTGATTCCTCAGCCCTGATAGTGTGGTACTTCCCCTTCTCCCCCACCCTCAACCCACGCATCCAGTAGTTTTATCATAATGGATACTATTCTTGGACTCAACTCTTTGTAGCTCAGGGTTGCAAGAAGTGACAGCAAGGGTCATCCATGGTTCCAGGGAGCTCCATTCAGAGGGCCACCCTCTCACCCCTGAGCAGGGAAGCCCTTCTTTCCCCCTCACTTGTGGTCATTTAGAGGTTCCCCCCCCCACATCCTTGACCACCACTATATTCATAACTCCATTCTGGGCATTTTTACATTTGTCTTGTCATGTTGTCCTCAACCTCCCAGGCTGCAGACAGGCCCAGCAGCCACAGCAGTAACATGACCTTGAAAATGCCCTGGTATTTTTCATTTTCCTCAGCATATCCGTGGCCTGTGGTTTTACCTGACCCTGATCTGTTTTGCCACGGTACAGATTAGGAAAGCAAAACCTAGAGAAGTGAAAAGACCTGATCAAGGTCACACAGGATGCATGTCAAGACCCAAGGCCTACAATTCCCAGTTCAGAGATGACCAGAGTCCCTCTACAGGTATGACCTTCTGAGATTACACATATAGGCAATCTCTGTTAATAACAGACTCTCAGAAGAGATTACCAAAGTGCTGAGGAGCAGGGTAGAGAGGCAGTCAATCTGGACATCCTGGCCTCTCCTAGAGTGTTGGGGAGACCTCTGAGTGTTGGGGCCAAGAGGTGGCCTCCAGGAGGTGGATGCCTAGAACTAGAGAACTCCTGGAGGGCAAATGTGGAGACTGGAAACCCAAGGGGAGCTGGAACATAGGGTCATTTTGCCAAGATAAGAAACCAAGACGAGGCAAATCCTGTGGTTTTGCCAGTATGGTATCCAAGTCACTTTGGGGGAAATGGGAGCAGAAGCTGAATTGTGGATTGAAGAAACAAGTACACAATTATCCAGAGTGCAGCATTCTTCAGGATGAAATCTGTAATGCTGTAGTAAACTGAGGAATGAAGAGACCAATATGGGAGAACAGGAGGATATTTATTTTAAGGTGTGCACTGGCTCAGTGAATTCATATCCAAAAAGCTGAGCATTTGGAGCATTTCAACAAAGACAGAGTGGGGTTTTACAAGCAGGCTTGCAGAAGCAAAACTAAAGCAGTTAATCATATAATGATAGGTCCCATAGTCTATAGCATAGCATAACTTGTGGCCTTGCTTAGCTGGTGGCCTTACAGCTGCACTGAAAGAAAAACAGAACTGGCTAAATACAGACATTTGTCCCTTTTTTTTTTCTTCAGACTTGTTATGGAGGTGGGGTGTCTGGAGCCCATTCCTTTGGCTTCGACTTCTCAAACAACGTTATCTTATAACTGTCCTTGAAGCGAGCTTGCTAGGCAGAGGAAAACTTCTCCTTTATTGCCTGTTATTTTCTTGGAATGAATGAGTGCATATTTATTTTTTAAATTTCTGCCTCCATAGGACAGTGAGCGGTTGGAGCAGCTCATCGGTGACTGCCACACTCTGACTACAGAGCTGGCCAGCCCCACTCTTCTTACCATGGAAATGGACCTTGGTCACCGCCACAGCCTGCTCTTAGTTGTGAAAGGCAGAGGTCAGGAACTTCAGGAGATGTTAAATTCCTGAGAGAGGGGTAAAGCCTCACCAGCATTCATGAGGTCAAGAAAACTTTCAGTATTCCTTGTGAAGCATCTTCCTTCAAATTGTTTCTGGCCTTTTTCCATGCAGGCGATAGGGAATACTCCAGCAAGAGATGAACATAATTCAGTAAAGCTGTATTGAGTACCTACTGTGTGACAGGCATTGTGTCCGAGGGCGAGGGTAAGCACTTTAGATGGTGGTAGTGAAGTGTTATGGAGGGCTTCCAAAAAATTTGAGATCTGTTTTTGTTTTTTTTTTGAAAAAAAATTTATGGCCAGGGGTGCTGGCTCATGCCTATAATCCCAGCACTTTCGGAGGCTGAGATGGGTGGATCATCTGAGTCAGGAGTTTGAGAATAGCCTGGCCAACATAGTGAAACCCCACGTCTATTAAAAATACAAAAACTTAGTTTGGTGTGGTGGCACATGCCTACAGTCCCAGCTACTCGGGAGGCTGAGGCATGAGAATCTCTCGAAACTGGAAGGTGGAGATGGCAGTGAGCCGAGATAGCTCCACTGCACTCCAGCCTGGGTGACAGAGCGAGACTCTGTCTCAAAATAAATAAATAAATAAATAAATAAATAAATAAATAAATAATATATATATATATAACTAATATATGTATTATATCTATATATTTATAACTAACATATATATCAGTTTGTTTTTCTTTTATAGAAAGTATACGTGGTCGTTTGCAAAACTGAAAAAATATAGGGAAGCATATATAAGAAAATTAAAATTGCCCTATCATTCTGTACCTAGCTTTATATTTTACTATTGGTACTTAATATTCTTTCATGACCTAGTATATCTTATTATTGCTACTTAGTCTTCTTCTGTGCCATTACAAACTTAAATATTACTCAAAAATGGCATGAATATACACATGATATTTTATTGCATAGATATACCAAAAGTTGTATTTAATCATTCACATCAGTCCATTTACATTGCTCTAACTTTTCTCTATTATAGGTTAAACTGAAATTAGCCAGGCAAAGACAGGGATAGGGGTATCCAGGCAAAGAACAAGAGACCTGCACTTGTTTCGGATATAAAATGGAGGTATTGAAATATTTCAATAATAATAAAATGGTAATAGTAATAATAGTAGATAGCACTTACTATGAACCAGTAATGTTCTCGGCCTTTCATAGGTATTAATGCATTTAATCCTCACAGTGGCCCTCTGAGTTAAGTGCTGTAACTATCCCCTTTCACACACGAAGAAACTGAAGCACAGAGAGGTACGTAACTTATGGAAAAACACACAGCTGACACACAGCAGATTTGAAACTGAAGCCAAGAAGTCTGGCTCTAGAGCATGAATAAATCAGAAAAGGGAAGTGTGCTGTATTATAAATTTATGTTAAAAGCATAACAACCAAAGTTTCTGTTATTCTGGTGTAAAATGTCTTTTCTGTTGTGCATTTTGCATGTCTTTGAACAGCAAGATCCATGGATTTCTCTCTTTTTCTTAGAAAATTTGGGGAATTACATGCTGGGTTTGCTGGCTCATGCCTATAATTGTAGCACTTTGGGAGGCTGAGGTGGGCAGATCACTTGAGGCCAGTTCGGGACCATCCTGGCCAACATGGTGAAACCCTGTCTCTACTAAAAATGCAAAAATTAGCCAGGCATGGTGGCACATGCCTGTAATCACAGCTACTCGGGAGGCTGAGGCAGGAGAATCACTTGAACCCAGGGGGAGGGGGAAGGGGAGGCAGAGGTTGCAGTGAGCTGAGATCGCCCCCACTGCACTCCAGCCTGGGCGACGGAGAGAGACTCTGTCAAAAAAAGACAAACAACAACAAGAAGAAGAAAAGAAAAGATGGGAAATTACATAATGTTTTTCCTTAATTGTTCTAAATATGAATCCCTGCAGCTGTCACGGGATGTGCCCACATTCATAGCATTTCACTCTGCCCTGTGGTTTACAAGAAGGTGAAATTGTGCTTTACCAAGTGGGCACCTCCTTCATTAAAAGCAAGGTAGAGAGCTGCACATTTAAGGAACCACAAGTAGTGCAAAAAGGCTGGGTCTTGGTTTTCAGGAAGTCTCAGCAGGCAAGTCACGAGGCCAGAGAGGTAGACAGGGGTCAGGTTACAGAGAAGCTTCCATTTCATGTCAGAAACGATGCAGAATGTTTGCAAGATTTTAAAAGGAGAGAAACAGAGACTGATTTGAGCTTTAGCAAAAGTATATTGGATGCTGTATGGTGAGATAGATTAAAAAGAGACAAAACTAGGCCGGGCGTGGTGACTCACTCCTGTAATCAATCGCAGCACTTTGGGAGGCCGAAGCAGGCAGATCACTTGAGGCCAGGAGTTCAAGACCAGCCTGGCCAACATGGTGAAACTCCGTCTCCACGAAAAATACAAAACATTAGCTGGGTGTGGTGCCACATGCCTGTAATCCCAGCTACTTGGGAGGCTGAGACACAAGAATTGCTTGACCTGGGAGACCAAGGTTGCAGTGAGCCAAGATCGAGCCATTGCACTCCAGCCTGGGCCACAGAGTGAGACCTTGTCTCAAAATAAATAAATAAATTAGAGACAAAAGTGGAAGAAAAAGCAGTTGCTAGGACCCTCTTCTAGTTGTCATGGTGAGAATCCATAAGAACCTGACCTAAGACAGAGGCAGTGGGAATGGTGAGAGGCAGATGCACGTAAAATTGAATGTAGACTAGAGTTGGTGATTGAATAACTGTAGGAGATGACAGAGAAAGAGGAGACAAGGGTGACTCTCAGCTTTCTGGACTGGAAGACTGATAGGAAGAGGCACTTTTTATTGGGTAGAGAATATGGAAGAAAGGGCAAGGGACCAGGAGAGGGATCGGATCCAGTACCAAGACATACGCCCTGACCTACTGCACACATGCAAGAAATGGCTAGAGAAAATAACAAGGACTCAGGACGGGAAACAAGGGGCTGGCTGCAGAAAGAAGGGGCTGTGTCAATGAGACATTGTCTGTCTAAGATACTAGACAGGGGACTCCAGGCTGCTGCTTCTGCCTGCATGAAAAGTGGGGCCCACACCTGCTGCAACCTGACCACGCAGACCACATATGAGAAAAGGAGGCCAAAGCTGGGCCAAACAGGATGTCATCATCAGTGAACCCATCCCTGGGGCGCCTGCTGCCAAAGGAGATAGAGGAGGGTGACACTTGGGGAAGTGGAGCCTCGGGGCCAGAATCTGGAAGGAAAGCAATGCTCCGCACTGGAGAGCACAGGCAGCAGCACACAGTGGGGAGGCAAGCTGAGCAGCGCAAGGCAAAGACGCCGCAGAGGACAAACTGCCCAGCCAGGATTCCCCGCACTGTGGACTGGGACGCTCTGCTGGACTGAGGTGGGGCCTCGCAGAGGCTGAAATGAGCCAGAACGCTGGGACACAAATCAAATCCCTCCATGCTGAAGGGTCCATGGTGTTGACTGCTGGCTACTTACTGTCACCACCACCTAAGGAATCTTGGGTGGTCAGTTTCCCAAAGATCAAAACTGTGACACCATGGCCTTTTTCTCTTTTCTTTTCTTTTCTTTCTCTCTCTCCTTCCTTCTTTGCTTCTTTCTTTCTTTCGTCTTTCTTTCTTTTTTCTTTCTTCTTTCTTTCTCTTTCTTCTTTTTCTTCTTTCTTTCTTTCCTTTATCTTTAAAGCAAATCATAAACTTTTAGATCCAAGTTACTGAAAACTTCTTTATATAAGTTTAATTTACATTTCTCTTTCAAATTGTATCTTTATTGGGACCCTCAATTCTTTTTTTTTTTTTTTTTTTTTTTTTTTGAGACGGAGTCTCGCTCTGTCGCCTAGGCTGGAGTGCAGTGGTGCGATCTCAGCTCACTGCAGCATCCTGGGTTCAGGTGATTCTCCTGCCTCAGCCTCCCGAGTAGCTGGGACTACAGGCATGTGCCACCACGCCTAGCTAATTTTTTGTATTTTTAGTAGAGACAGGGTTTCACCATGTTGACCAGGCTGGTCTCAAACTCCTGGCCTCAGGAGATCCGCCTGCCTCAGCCTCCCAAAGTGCTGGGATTACAGGCATGAGCCACCGTGCCTGGCTTCAATTCTCATTTTATTTAAAAATTCTTCCTTGGCTCTGGAGACCTGTCATGCTTCTGACTGTCTCTCCTGATTCTGTGTGTGTGTATGTGTGTGTTTGTTTTATTTTAAGTTCAGATATGCATGTGCAGGTTTGTTACATAGGTAAACTTGTGTCATGGGGGTTTGGTGTACAAATGATTTCATCACCCAGGTATTAAGTCTAGTACCCATTAGTTGTTTTTCCTGATCCTCTCCCCGTTCCCACTCACCATGGCCTTTCTTATCCTACCTTTCCCATTAGTATTTCAACTCCATAGTGAGAGTTCAGGCATAACACATATTGTTAGTCAAATCAGTGATTTATTTATTCATCAAATAGATATTAAGCTTCACTATATGTCAGGCATTGTGGTTATCACTGGAGATACACTGGTAACTAACACAGACAGTGGAATATAAAACTGACCAATTCCACCTGCATGACCCTGGGTACGTCATTTCAACTGGGAACATCAATTTACCACCTAGGAAATGTCTAAGACCCTCCCAACTCAACCCCGTCCTACATCTCCCTTACATTATTCATTCAACGTATATAAATTAAGCAAATGCTATGCGTGCAACTATATTTTACTCCAAGCCAAAACACATGGCAAAGGGCTATTTCCTGGTTTGGGGATTGATAGAGAAAGTCTTACAAATATATAAACACTGAGATAGAATTATATATTCAATAAATCATCTTTATTATAAAGAACACAATAATAAGAGATAGAGACTAGGTCAGGAGGTTCATCATGTTATAATCATCATGTACTAGGATTTGGTTTAAATCAACCAACGAGACATGGTCTGGAGTTGGTTTACAATCTGAGAAGACACTCTAAAAAATCTACCATTATAGGATTGGTATGAGGATCAAATATAATAAGTTGTGGTACAGGACGTGTAGCGTGTGGTACCTAGAGTCAGACTACCTGGATGTGAATCCCTGCTCTGCTAGTCATCAGCTTTACGGCCTTCGGAAAATTGCTTAACCTCTATTTACTTTGGTTTCTTCACCTGTTCAACTAAGAAAGTATACTGGTAACTAAATCATAGGGTTGTTTTGAAGACAGTTCAAACATGTAAATCCATATTATGGAAATCAGCACATGGTGATCACTCGATAAATATTACTTATTGTGAACTAAAATTTGTGTAGTTGCTAATCTATCATTAGTACAAAATCAAAGTTTGTTTCCAAACTCCCACATTGCCTTTATTAAACTATAAATTTCTTGAGAAAAAGAAACTAAAATAAAATCAACAGGACATGGTCTAGGTTTTTGAAGAGCAAATTACATAGGTAACTAATTATAACACACTGTACTGTAATCACAGAGATAGAGGATGTCCCTTATCAGAACACTGACTGATTCAGCAGTTTCCATTTCCTTTTCTCACTCTCCACAACTCACAGAAGCCAGCTCCCAGAAAAGGAATCACGAGTATGGAGGGGGTTCCCCTAAGAAGTGAGTGAGGGAACGCAATTCAGGGTATCAACGAGAGCTGAGAGGCAGAGGGTGGGGTGAGAAGGAGTCATTGCCTGTGATGTAGGTTTCTAATGAGACAAGTGGCAGAGATACCTTTATTTGGAATTGGTAGCAATAGGGGAAGATACGTGGATGCCAAAGCTCTGATGAAACCTACCACGGCCCCTGATCTTGCCTCTGCTTCTCCTCCCTCAAGACTGGCACTAGCCATCACTGGGGTGGAATGGAAACAGAGCTCATGTGTATTAAAAGACCTAACTCTAAAGACACTCAGGAAGGACAGAATTTCAAAGGCGTGGTCCCACTTGGCTTCTGTCCTCCGTTGTTCTCCAGCATCAAGTGTGTCAACTCTAACCCCTTTGGGGGGAATTCAAGGCCTGTCCTGGTTTGGTCCCAATTTACCTTTATCATCCATATTCACCCCCACTGCTCTGCAGCTCCACTGAAGCACCCCCTCTTTCCTCTGAGCCACAATGTCACACCCAGGACTCTGCCTCAGCTGGGCCTCCACTGCCCACCCATCTATAGATGCCTAAATCCCGGGCAGTTATCCAGACACAACTAAAGTTCCATCCCTTCCATGAAGCCTTCCCCAACCCTCTGGTGGAAGGTCACTTCTTCCTCATGGGGTTCTGAGCTTTCATTTCTTTTTCTACTAAGAGTTTTACAATTACCTGTTCATACACTCTACCTGCCCCCATGAGACCAGGGGCATCTCAGAAACAAAGATCATTAAAACCAACTAAATCTATTTCTCATTATAAAATGAGATATGCTGATTGATTGCAAAATAATAAAATAACAAAGTATGGAAAAGAAAAAAAAAAGCATATAATCTGGCTGAGAAGGTAGAGACCCTTCCACACCACTGAAATTATGTGTTGAAAAGAATAAGGAAAAAACTGCTTCAGTTTGGCATTATTTATGTAAGTATAGTATAGGATCCTTAAAATGGTTCAAAGAAATGGGAAATCAAGACTTCATTTTGGCAAAGCCCATTGAACAGAAACTGTAGCATATTTATCAGTAATTTCTTTCAGATTAAACAACTGACAACAACCCACTTTTCAACCAGTGATGTTGGAAATGTTTTAAAACAAAATTAGTTCATAAATTTGTGGGTTGACCAAGAAGGTAATAAAGTCTCACTAAATAAAATGAGGAAAATTCAGAAAAAGAAAAAAATAAGAAAATAAATCACCCATGGATCTAAGCACTATTCATTCTTTAAGGCATGTATTTCCAAGCCTTTTAATTTTTTCCATGCCTAGAGTTGGCATGGCATATATATATCTTTATACAATTCTTCAAATTTTATAGAATTTGTATAATGTTTTATCTTGCTTTTTTTTTAACCACTGATGTTATAAGCATATTTATGCCACTTCATTCACGTTAGAGACTTAATAATAAAGGATCTTGTGGATAATTTATCATTCCCTGATAGAGAAAAATTTAGCTTTGCTTATTTTAGAGTTATAAATGATGCTGGGTCAGGTATCTTTATGTTTGAAGATGGCTCCATATTTGGGTTGTTTCCACAGAACTCTTTCCCAGAAATGCTTTTTCTAGGTTAATGGCTACACATATTTCTAGGCACCTGACATACTGACACCCACCTCTAAAGTATTTTTATGATCCACAACTAGCGTTTAACACAGCGCCCCAGTCACTCCGAGACTAATAAATAGACAAATGACTGAAACGTGACCTCATGCTTTCTATTCCTCCAGCTTTCATTGAGTTCCTTTCCTCTGGGAGGACTGGGGGTTGTCTAGCCCTCCACAGCATCAGCCCATTGACCCTATCCTTGTGGTTATAGCAGCTGAGGAAGCAGAATTACAGCTCTGTGGGAAGGAATGGGGCTGGAGAGTTCATGCATAGACCAATTCTTTTTTTTTTTTTTTTTTGAGATGGAGTTTCACTTTTGTTGCCCAGGCTGGAGTGCAATGGCATGATCTCAGCTCACCACAGCCCCCACCTCCTGGGTTCAAGCGATTCTCCTGCCCTCAGCCTCCCGAGTAGCTGGGATTACAGGCATGTGCCACCACGCCTGACTACTTTTGTATTTTTAGTAGAGATGGAGTTTCTCTTTCTTGGTCAGGTTGGTCTCAAACTCCTGACCTCAGGTGATCTGCAGCCTCGGCCTCCCAAAGTGTTGGGATTACAGGTGTGAGCGACCATGCCTGGCTGCATAGACCAGTTCTTATGAGAAGGGATCAACTAAGAATAGCCTTGGGTTGACACACACCCCTCTTCACACTCACAGGAGAAACCCCATGAAGCTAGAACCAGTCATGAGTTGAGAGCTGAGAGTTAGAGAGTAGCTCAGAGATGCTATTCTTGGATATCCTGAGCCCCTGTGGTCACCAGGGACCCTGAGTTGTGCAACACTCAGCATGACAGCATCACTACACTTAAAAATTTCCCTCCTCACCCCCAGATTCCATTTCCCCATCCGCCAGGGCTGCCTATAAAGAGGAGAGATGGCTTCAGACATCAGAAGGACGCAGGCAGCAAAGAGTAGTCAGTCCCTTCTTGGCTCTGCTGACACTCGAGCCCACATTCCATCACCTGCTCCCAATCATGCAGGTCTCCACTGCTGCCCTTGCCGTCCTCCTCTGCACCATGGCTCTCTGCAACCAGGTCCTCTCTGCACCACGTGAGTCCATGTTGTTGTTGTGGGTATCACCACTCTCTGGCCATGGTTAGACCACATCAGTCTTTTTTTGTGGCCTGAGAGCCCCGAAGAGAAAAGAAGGAAGTTCTTAAAGCGCTGCCAAACACCTTGGTCTTTTTCTTCACAACTTTTATTTTTATCTCTAGAAGGGGTCTTAGCCCTCCTAGTCTCCAGGTATGAGAATCTAGGCAGGGGCAGGGGAGTTACAGTCCCTTGTACAGATAGAAAAACAGGGTTCAAAACGAATCAGTTTGCAAGAGGCAGAATCCAGGGCTGCTTACTTCCCAGTGGGGTCTGTTCTTCACTCTCCAGCTCACCCTAGGTCTCCCAGGAGCCCTGTCCCTTGGATGTCTTATGAGAGATGTCCAGGGCTTCTCTTGGGCTGGGGTATGACTTCTTGAACCGACAAAATTCCATGAAGAGAGCTAAGAGAACAGTCCATTCAGGTATCTGGATCACATAGAGAAACAGAGAACCCACTATGAAGAGTCAAGGGGAAAGAGGAATATAGACAGAAACAAAGAGACATTTCTCTGCAAAACCCCCCAAATGCCTTGCAGTCACTTGGTCTGAGCAAGCCTGCCCTCCTCAACCACTCAGGGATCAGAAGCTGCCTGGCCTTTTCTTCTGAGCTGTGACTCGGGCTTATTCTCTCCTTTCTCCGCAGTTGCTGCTGACACGCCGACCGCCTGCTGCTTCAGCTACACCTCCCGACAGATTCCACAGAATTTCATAGCTGACTACTTTGAGACGAGCAGCCAGTGCTCCAAGCCCAGTGTCATGTAAGTGCCAGTCTTCCTGCTCACCTCTAGGGAGGTAGGGAGTGTCAGGGTGGGGGCAGAAACAGGCCAGAAGGCCATCCTGGAAAGGCCCAGCCTTCAGGAGCCTATCGGGGATACAGGACGCAGGGCACTGAGGTGTGACCTGACTTGGGGCTGGAGTGAGGTGGGTGTTACAGAGTCAGGAAGGGCTGCCCCAGGCCAGAGGAAAGGGACAGGAAGAAGGAGGCAGCAGGACACTCTGAGGGCCCCCTTGCCTGGAGTCACTGAGAGAAGCTCTCTAGACGGAGATAGGCAGGGGGCCCCTGAGAGAGGAGCAGGCCTTGAGCTGCCCAGGACAGAGAGCAGGATGTCAGGGCCATGGTGGGCCCAGGATTCCCCGGCTGGATTCCCCAGTGCTTAACTCTTCCTCCCTTCTCCACAGCTTCCTAACCAAGAGAGGCCGGCAGGTCTGTGCTGACCCCAGTGAGGAGTGGGTCCAGAAATACGTCAGTGACCTGGAGCTGAGTGCCTGAGGGGTCCAGAAGCTTCGAGGCCCAGCGACCTCAGTGGGCCCAGTGGGGAGGAGCAGGAGCCTGAGCCTTGGGAACATGCGTGTGACCTCCACAGCTACCTCTTCTATGGACTGGTTATTGCCAAACAGCCACACTGTGGGACTCTTCTTAACTTAAATTTTAATTTATTTATACTATTTAGTTTTTATAATTTATTTTTGATTTCACAGTGTGTTTGTGATTGTTTGCTCTGAGAGTTCCCCCTGTCCCCTCCACCTTCCCTCACAGTGTGTCTGGTGACAACCGAGTGGCTGTCATCGGCCTGTGTAGGCAGTCATGGCACCAAAGCCACCAGACTGACAAATGTGTATCAGATGCTTTTGTTCAGGGCTGTGATCGGCCTGGGGAAATAATAAAGATGTTCTTTTAAACGGTAAACCAGTATTGAGTTTGGTTTTGTTTTTCTGGCAAATCAAAATCACTGGTTAAGAGGAATCATAGGCAAAGATTAGGAAGAGGTGAAATGGAGGGAAATTGGGAGAGATGGGGAGCGCTGCGACAGAGTTATCCACTTCACAAAATTCTGGAACATTGAAACTACGAATATGTTATAACTCAAATCGTAATATGCACGCTCTAGGAGAATTAACTACTTGAATGGCCACCATTAAGCAGAGTATTCTGTAGGGCATATTCATGATGAATCAAGCTCTTAATAGCAATTATTTACATTGTTGAGGCTTACTCCTCCTACTGAGTGCTTTTTATACATTGTTCATTTAATCTTACCAATGCAATAGTACAGCTTAGGTACTATTAATACCTCCACTTGACAGAAAAGTAACCCAGGGCTCAGAAAGGTTAGACAACTTGGCTGAGGTTACACAGCACGTAAACGGTCAATTGTGTTCCAAAACTGGACTTTTATTGAACTACAGACTATGCTGTTAACCATTGACCAAGTTATTTCCCAAAGTATGACCCGCCTATACTCAAATCTTACCCCATTCTTTAACAGATGATACTTTATCCATTGCAACCACTTCCTGTCAGGATTCTGAGTTGACATAGAGTGTTTCAGCAGTGATTATTTAAGCCAATTACATCAGGATCTTTAGGTGTAGACCTGGGAACTGATATTTTTATCAAGCTCATGAGGTGTTCCATAGCATGTTAATGACTGAGAGCCACTGTCAATAGAATTCACCACTGTTTTCTAAATGTGGTAAGTCTCTGCATATGGCAACAGGTGTATTATACATTATTTCTCTAGAATCTACACTCTACAAAATAAATAGCTAATGTTAGAGAATGAAAAGACAACCAGCTTCTGTGTGGAGCAGGATGCTGTCTATAGGTTTGAAAGGTAAGTTATTTAATAGATGGATTGCTTGCATTATATGTACAAGAAATGCATACTAAGCTAGGGTCCTTTTTGCAGAAGAAAGGGAAATTCAAAATATTTGTGTGAAAACCAAACGTGTTAATTTTTATGAGCTATGCTTATTTCATTTTGTTTAAAATAATCTAATTTCTGTGTCCAAACATGTTTAGAATTGTAGGGCTCAAACTCTTTAAAGCATAATTAAACACTACTACTTAGCAGATATTAAAATGCACATACTATGTGACCTACATCCCATTTGACCTGATCCCATTTCTAGGAATCTGCTTCATAGAAACACTGCCAAAAGATAAGAATATGTAGACATGAGGATATTCTTTCAAGTATGGTTGGTAAAGAGCAAAGAAATGCAAACAGTCATCAGTAGGGGATTAATAAGTAGAGGATTAAGATGTCCATCAATGGAATATTCTGCAGTCAGTAAACAAAAGCAGCACACATCTATAACTGTGGAAAGTGTCCTCAATATTCTAGGTAAAATGCATATCTATTTACATTCAGTATATGCATATATATTCTCTACATATGCTACAAAACTGTCTGTAAAGGATATTATTTTGTTTTTATTTTTAAAAGCCATATACACACATATATTTACATAGGCAAATATTTGGAAAGACACACATCAAATAGCTAACTGTCGTTTCTTTGAGGAAATGAGGCTTTTTTTAAATTTTTTTAGGAATGAGGGTTTTTCCTTTTTATATTCTGCACTTTTAAAACTTTGAGTTATTTTCTGATTAGCTTGCATAGCTTACCTCTCTGGTCTCATCTTACCCTGTTCTTTGATGGGTGATATTCCATCCATCACAACCACTTTCTGGTAGGGATTCTGAGTTGATGCAGAGAGAATAGAGCTCAGCCTGGCTTACAGCATTTTGATGCCATGATGGCTTTCGTATAATGAGGGTACAGCAACAAACACATCCTTTTGACAAGGCTGTTCTCTGTCTCTCTCTTACACACACACACACACACACACACACACACACACACACACGAGCAGCTTTTGTCCCCATAGATGCAGTGAAGGTGTCATCATTCCTTCTTTATTGACTTTCAGGAAAAAAATATAGGGGAATACAATATTTGCCTGCACTGAATTGTTTCACAAGGTCCAGAAACCCAAAGCTAAACAAAGTTTAATCATGCCCAATATTCCCTAAATACAAGTGTTATGAACAAACAGAGTAAGTTAAACACAGACTCCTGTTAGGGAACTGGAGAATGGGAATTGCATTTTTAAGCAGTTCAGCTGATCTGGCAGTCCCTAGCTCTCCTCCCTGGGGGAATGTCCTCCACGGACAATCTGAGATGTGCAATGTGGAGGATCTGCTTTCTGGAGGCTGCTGACTTCCTGTCTGTGTGAGTTAGCCTGAGGTTGCCTTAGGTATTGTGTAATCAGCGACTGTTTGGAACCAGTCTTGTGGTTTCTTTGGCAATGTGACTCCCTTCTAATGTCCATAGGCTACTATTTGCTTCTGATCAATTCCATGGGCCAGGTAGCCAGAAGCAGAGATGTTTTCAGTTACAAAGCTCGAATTTGCATTTTAAATGGGGTTGGGGATAGGCACTTTCTTTTTTCTTTTCTTTTTTTTTTTTTTTTTGAGATGGAGTCTTGTACTGTCTCCTGGGCTGGAGTGCAATGGTGTGATCTTGGCTCACTGCAACCTCAGCCTCCTGGGTTCAAGAGATTCTCCTGCCTCAGCTTCCCAAGTAGCTGAGATTACAGGTGCCTGCCACCAAATCTGGCTAAATTTTTGGATTTTTAGTAGAGACGGGGTTTCACTATGTTGGCCAGGCTGGTCTTGAACTCATGACCTCGTGATCCACCTGCCTCAGCCTCCCAAAGTGCTGGGATTACAGGTGTGAGCCACCGCGCCCAGCCAGGGATGTGCACTTTCTAGCACAGACCTCACTACCAGTGTCACCTCTACCACCAAGTCCCTGGTGAGAGACCTCTGCCTGCATCTTGGCCCATGTGGAGGTGATGAATATTTGACCCTTGGCCTCATTAGGTCTCTCATCTTCCTGTCTCTGCTCATGCTAACTTTATCTTAGAGTAGAAAATTCTGCCATTACAGCCCTTCAAGTCTCCAGATTACTGGGTTCTCAGTCAATAAGTTGGAAGGGCCTTTTTTAGCAAGTTCAATTTCTTCCTTTTTCAATTTCAGATGAGCCCATTTCAAAGCAGCCTAAACTCTTTCTTAAAGGACCTTACTGATGTAATACATAGCTACTAAGTTCCAATATTCAGAATCTTCTTTTTTTTTTTTCTTTTTTGAGACGAAGTCTTGCTCTGTCGCCCAGGCTGGAGTGGAGTGCAGTAGCGCGATCTCAGCCCAGTGCAAGTTCCGCCTCCCAGGTTCACGCCATTCTCCTGCCTCAGCCTCCCAAGTAGCTGGGACTACAGGTGCCCACCACTACGCCCGGCTAATTTTTTGTATTTTTAGTAGAGACGGGGTTTCACCATGTTAGCCAGGATGGTCTTGATCTCCTGACCTCGTGATCTGCCTGCCTCGGCCTCCCAAAGTGCTGGGATTACAGGCGTGAGCCACTGCGCCTGGCCTATATTCAGAATCTTTTCTATCACATTCCTTAATGCTGCAGCGTTGGTATTTGGCACAGGCTTTTAGCACCAAAATAAGACAGACCATAGTTCAACCAGCACGTGCAATACCTTGTAATGGGTATGGCAAAAGGTAGTGCCCAGACAGGACAGCATGGTGAATATCACCTGGGAACATGGGAGAAATGAACATTCTAAGCCCCACTTCCTTTCTTAATGGACTAGGGCCCAGCAACCTGTGTTTTCACAAGGCTCCAGGTAATTCTGATGCATGTAAGGTTTAAAACTCCTTCCATTTCACAAGGTCCTCCCCAAATTACCACTTTCTCATTTCAGCCAGTTCCACACTTCAGTCAGGGCCTGTGACTTTTAACAAACCCTGTGTCTCTGCACAGATGCAGATCTCGTATCTCTCAGGATGCTGGCAGTTTCCAGGCAGAAAGCAAACAAGCAAACCAAACTCAAAGAGGCTTTGAGTAAATGCACGTTGTGGCTCCAAGACTATAGGGCATCGAGGTGGCCCTAGCTCCAGGCAAGGCTGGACGCAGCAGCCCTATGGTATCTCATGAGTCCTCTTTGCTTCTCTTTCTGATCTCCCTTTCCTGTGAGAGGCCCTGGGTGGCTGCCAGTACCTGCCAGTGTTACATGAATCCTTTGTTCATTTTCTGCAAGGAAGAGTGAGTCTGTGATCCCACTGGAAAAAAACATCACTAGGCCCTTTCGGATGTGACTGACTTAGGAACCGAATTTCCTAACCTGTCGCTGTGGTTATGGGGATGGGTTTCATTGATTTGCTTAAGTTAATCAAGGCACATAACTTGAATCTTTGGGTTTACTGAATTTTACATAAACTTAAAGCCTGAGAATGGTGCAGAAGGGAGATTTTCCTGAGGAAATGTGAGTTTCGGGCATCAGGAAACATGCAGAATAGATGCTGGTTAGGAAAAACAAGTTTTCACTATAATGTGTTTGTCTTTTTCCTGTTATTTTTGTCTTCGTGATATAAAAGGCACTAATACTTTGTGTGTGGTAAACATTTCTTCTCCTATGCTCTCTAGATTAGAAACTATTAGTCGTCCACTTTCCTGAATGACTTTATTTTTAATAAGATGCTGACTCGTGTATTTCCTGTTGCACAGTGAATGACTATTGCCCAAACCTAGGGCAAAAGAGACATAAACTCTTCATGATGTCAAGGTAACCACTAGAAAATGGGGCTACATACCCACGCCAGAACATACTGAGAAAGGTAGAACTGGACCTGCCATAGGCACTGCCCACCTTCCTTCATAGAAGCCAAAGATCGGGCACTGAGGATGCAGGAGGAGATGAGACAATTCTTAGAACAATGAGTCCTCAATAGAAATTGTCCATATTAAGGAACAGAAGGGAGTCCTTTCATAGTGGATGGACAAAGGGGTAGACAAGGAGACTGCAAGCGAAGGAGACACTTCATACTTGCCGTTTTTATTCCTCTTCTTTCCTGGGAACTGCACCCACAAAAATACATTATGTGGGATTGACCACATCCCAAATGCTAGGTGGCTCCTGATTAAAATAAGCTGATTTGCATCTTGAGTTTTTTAAACTTACCATAACATAAGCATTTCTCATGTCACTGCATTGTTTGTAAAGGCTGCCTAATAGCCAATTAAGGGAAGAGCCCATAATTTTCTCAGCAATTTCCATATCATAGGCATTTAAATTGGGTCCAATTTTAAGTTGCTATAAATATGCTGGGGACCAAATACACTTATGCATTGTTCATTTTTTCCATATTTGAATTTATTTCTATGGAGAATAGATTCCTAGACATGGACCCTCTTGGCCAAAGGCTAAGAACATTTATTTCAAGGTTCCTTATGCATATTAGCACCCACATTAAACACATCTTTAGGTCCTTGGCTTAGCGCATATCTCTCTTGAATGAACAGATGTCTGAAAGCCTGGCTGTACTCTCATCGCTCAGTAGCTCAGGCTTTGCTAATACAGCTCTGTCCATCTGTGTGTGATTGAAGTTGGGCTGTGCTGCTCAGGACTCCTGGCATCATTGCATAAGTCAAGTCTACGCCGTTAGAACAGCTGTGGGATAACATAGAAGTTTCTGCTCTGCCAGGGAAAATATGACTACAGAGCTTTAGTGAGAAGGAACTAGCTAAGTGTGGTCCGGGGTGACAACAATATCTCACGTCCTCTCACTGTGGAAACCACTTCCCCATAAACAGCCCCAAGACAAGTGAGCACTTGAACTGTTCCTGCAAATACCCTGAGCCCTGTGGTTACCCAAGACCCCCGTGCATGTGCAAGTCAACAAGATACCACGGTGCTTAAAAAACATCCTGTCTCATCAGCCCCGGTTTCCATCTTCCCATGACTCAGGGCTTACCTCTTTAGAGAAGGGGACACAGCTTGGACCCCAGAAGGGGGCTGGTGACTGAGTGCGCAAGAGCTCACTTTCTTGGGCCCCCACGTCCTCCTCATTCACGATGCCCCCCTGTTCCTGGGCCTCCTCTCACGAGTCAGTCTTTGTCCTGCCTTTTGCTGTTGTTCCCTGCACTCTCTGGCTGGGGTCAAACCACATCACCAAAGTCCAAGGACAAAGGTACCCAAGTGAAACAGAGAACTTCCTAAGGGATTTTCAAAATGCCCTGGGCTATCTGTTCGGGAAGATTTTCTTCCCCAAAGAGTTTTCAGTTTTTATTCTATAAATCTTAAAGGCAGGATACGGTCTTGTCCTACTTAGGGAAGGAGAACACTGAGTAGGTTTCAACAAGCGGCAGAACCCAGCTACAATCCCGGTGGCCAGCTGAGTCATAAAATTGCCACAGGTCTGCCTCACAGGTGATTTGCAGAGATGGCCTCTTGCTGGAAAAATCTCTTCTTAGACCATATTATGTTCCACCAGTAAAGCTGGAATAAGAGGCAGAATATTTAATTAGCTGCAATTCCTACAGAGGGAGACGGAGGCCAAACCTAAGGCTCAAACAGAAATGGAAGGGAAAAGTGGGGAAACAAGAAATCCCCAACTTCCTGCTGGTTCTTCTCACCCCCACATCCCCAACTTCCTGCCAGTTCTTCTCATCCCCAAATCATCCCCTGAACAGTGCTGTCTCCATCTGCTTCCTTCTGATTTTATCACTGGGTAGAAGGAGTTGGCTCATTTGTCCCCAGTGAAAAATGACTCAGGGTCACGCTGCTCCTTCCCTCAGAATGCCCAGGTCCCCAAGCACCCAGGCATCTGCTGCTTTTCCTAGGATCCCCAGAAGCCCCCTAGCAAAATGGTAGATGGCAATTATGAGACTCACTGCTGGTGCCAGGTGAGGGCTGGTGCTCCTGCCCATCTCTAGAGAGAAGCAGGACTTGGAGGGTGGCAGCCTGCAAGGGCACCAGTCGGTTTGAGGGCCATCCTGGGGACCCCAGGCCTTTGAGGTCCTATCTGGTGGTGGGACACAGGGAAGGGCCATAGAGGTGTTTTCTGGCCTGACCTGGGGTCTGCAAGGAACCACGGAAGAGCTGCCCCTGACAGAGGGAAGACAGGAGGAAGTGTTAGCCGGAAGAGGCTGCCTGAAGAGACCCCCTGAGCCACTGATGAAAGGTCTAGGGAGCTGAGGTTGGACAAAGAGTCCTGAGCAAGTGGACAGGCCCTACACTTGCCAAGACAGAGAGAAGAAGGTAGCACGGAACCAGGAATTCTCTTGCTGATTCCTCAATTTTTATAACTGTCTCTTTTAACAGCTTCCAGAATGAAAGTGGCTGAGGCTGGCAGGTCTGTGCCAACCCCATCGAGTTCTGGTGCCAAGTGCATCACTGACCTCAGAGTCGAATCCCTGAGTGACCTGGAAGCAACAAGACACTGTTACATTTGTGGCAAATTAGGAGGCAGGGACCCAGGCCCTAGGGACGTCCCTTCAATTCCTGAACCTACCCCTACCCAAGCAACCACACTCTGGGGCTCTTCTTAACATGCATTTCAACTTATCTATTTAATTTTTGTAATGTATTTCTATGCGTTCTTGACTGCTTGTCGGAAGGGACCTCACAACACCCTCTACGCCCCTTCCTCAGCCCCTCCAGTCACACAGCGGCTGACACATATTCAGGCACATGGCTATTCTTTGCGGCTCTCGTACAAGGTGGGTGGCTACGTTCAGCTTTTTCTAGAGGACATTGTTCCAAAGCTGTCAACCAACAAATATTTATAGAACATTATTTATCATTTCTGTGTTCAGCTATGTAAAACAATGAATTCGTTTTGAGTAAACCAGTCTTAAACTGTTGGTGATCCTATTGGCTTTGTTTTGTGACAAAGCAAGGTGGTGGGATGGGAGGGGAAGAGCAGAAAACTCTGAAGAGGGGAAGTCAGCAGAAAGGAAATGACGGTAATGCCTCTCCCCAAATAATGAAACTCTATTTTTTAAAACAATGATTATTTTATAAAGTATTATGCACCCAGTGTATAATGCATATGCACTAGGTAAATTCATGCTTGATATATATATTCATGCATTTAAGCTTATTTTTCTCATGAGTCAAGCTCTCTTAAAAATTATTCATTGTGCTTCAAATTCTAACAGTGTCTCCAAGGGCTAAGTATTATTAATATTCCCATTTAACAGAAGAGGAAATGTTGGCTCAGAGAGTTAAAACAACTTGTCCATGGCCATGCAGCGAATAAATAGTGTAACTAATATGCAATCCTATGAGCATTCCAGAACCACCTGGGATGGTCATTTAAAATGCTCACAAGAGAACTGGGTTTGGATGCGGGAATCTAGATTTTTACCAAACCCCCAAGTGATACACATGCAGACTAAAGACAAGAAACTACTGAACTTGTCAATAAGACTTTTTTTTTTTTTTTTTTTGAGACTGAGTCTTGCTCTGTCGCCCAGGCTGGAGTGCAGTGGCATAATCTTGGCTCACTGCAATCTCTGCCTCCCAGGTTCAAGCAATTCTTCTGCCTCAGCCTCCCAAGTAGCTGGGAGAACAGGTGCCTGCCACCACACCCGGCTAATTTTTGTATTTTTAGTAGAGACGGGTTTTCACCATATTGGCCAGGCTGGTCTCAATCTTCTGACTTTGTGATCTGACCACCTCGGTCTCCCAGTTTTTTGTTTGTGTGTTTGTTTTGTTTTGTTTTGACTTGTTCTGAGATGGAGTCTTGCTCTGTTGCCCAGGCTGGAGTGTAGTGGTGCCATGCCGGCTCACTGTAACTTCTGCCTCCCGGGTTCCAGTGATCTTCCTGCCTCAGCCTCCCAAGTAGCTGGGATTACAGGTGCATGCCATCACACCCAGCTAATTTTTGTATTTTTAGTAGAGACGGGGCTTCACCATGTTGGCCAGGCTGGTCTTGAACTCCTGAACTTGAGAGAGCTGCCTGCCTCGACCTCTCAAAGTGCTGGGATTACAGGCATAAGCCACTGCACCCGGCCTCAATAAGAATTTAACCACTCTTTCAAAAATAAGACACACATGGTAATAGACATCTTACCTGGGTATTATTTCCCTAGAATCCATGCTCCACAAAATCAGTGGTTAACATTAGAGAAAGGAAAGACAGTCAGCCAATATATACAATAAGACTTCTATCGTGAATGCAGAATTACTTGATGGATTGCCTAGACTGAGGTTAAGAAACTATGGTCCTCAGAACAAATCTAGTATGACCCCTGTTTTGTAAACAAAGTTTTGTTGAAACACAGCCACTCCCACTCTTTTATATATTATCTATCCCAGCTTTCCAAGACAAAGGTGGAGTCACATTGTTGCAACAGAGATTATATAGCCCACAAAGAACAATATTTACTATCTGGTCTTTTATAGAAAACGTTTGCTAACTCCTGGCCTATGTTTTAGTATATACTTTTTTAAGTATAAGAAAGTTAGACTGAGTCAGGATTCCTGCTGTACAATGCAAGGGGGAGAAATTCAACACACTTGTGAGAAATGCAAAATATATTAACTTTTTGATAAGCCCTACTTACTTTGTGTGTTTAAAACAATCTATTTTTTAGTATCAAAAAGTGACATTTTGGTAATCAGCATTTTTAAAAAGCAATGACACAGTCTGTAAAAAAATTTAAAATTTACATACTCTTCAGTCTATCTTATTTCTAGGAATCTATTTCAAGAAACACTATCTAAGGAAACAAAGGAGGGCCAAGCACGGTGGCTCACCCCTGTAATCCCTGCACTTTGGGAGGCCAAGGCAGGTGGATAGCTTGAGGTCAGGAGTTCGAGACCAGCCTGGCCAACACGGGAAAATCTCATCTCTACTAAAATACAAAAATTAGCCGGGCATGGTGGCAGGCGCCTATAATCCCAGCTACCTGGGAGGCTGAGGCAAGAGAATTGCTTGAACCTGGGAGGCAGAGGTTGCAGTGAGCCGAGATCTTGCCACTGCACTCCAGCCTGGGCGACAGAGTGAGACTCTGTCTCAAAAACAAAAACAAAAACAAAAAAGAACCCCCCCCCACACACACAAAAATTGTTGGCACACCGCTGTTGTTTGCAGCTCTGTTTGTAAAAACAACCAATATAAATCAACTCTTTAAAATATGGATAGTTTAAACCATGATGGTACAGCCACATAATAAACATGAAATTACTGAAAAGAATAAAGTAGATATACATACTGAAAACAAAGCTATCTATGATATTAATGTAAAACTAGGTATATAGAATATATTCCATATGTGGAGAAAGAAGCAGAATGGCAGTTGCCAGGGGCCGGGGGAGGAGGAATGGGGAGGTGTTGTTTAATGGGTCCAGTTTCAATTTTGCAGGATGAAGAGGCTTCTGGAGATGGGTTGCACACAGCGTGAAGGTAGAAGGTACTGAGCACGACTGAACTATACGGTAAAAATGGGTGGGTGGGTGGGTGGGGAGTGAAGGAGCAAAAAGAAATGGTTGAAATGGGAAATTTATATTTGTGTATTTTAGCACAATAAAAAACACCAAGAGTCTCCCAGGACTGGTAGTGCTCATTGAATGCTCACAACAGCCACGTAGGGCAGGGACAATCAACCCTATTTACAGATGGGCAAACTGAGACTGACCCTTAGAAGAGTGCACAAGCAAGGGTGCACCCCGGGGCGTCCAGCCTCCCCCAGGCCCTCCAGAGGCCTGTGCCAGTCCTGCTTCAGCTTGCTCACCCTGGGCCCCTCCCCACACCCCAGTCCCAGCTCCCCACGACCCAGCCCCAGCCTCCCCACGCCCCAGGACCCCGGCTCTTCCGGGAAAGGCACCACATCCCCGTCCCTGCAAAGCTGGATTTACACAGAGAAAGAACTGGGGACTGGGGGAGCCACCATGGCTCAGGGCCTCCCATCTGCACTTCCAATGCCTGAGGGATACACCCCTAAGTGGACCCCTAAGCAGACCCCCAATCCTGGAGAGATGGGGGGGTCTTCGCTCCGGGGGGCACTGGTCATCCCCACCTTCAGCTTCCGGTGGCACATTTGATGCTAGGGAAACTCCAGACTGGCAGCCTGCAGGCCCTGGTGAGTGCCCAGGCCCAGCGCAGACACCCCTGTTGCTCAGGGGAGAGGCCCTGGAAAAGCCTGAACGGGACTCTCCCCAGGCAAGGTCCACATCCCAGGCAGGGCTGGGGTTTGACGCTGGTTTTCTGAGTGACACGGCGGGGGCCACAGCTGGGCTGGGGCTGGTGGGGTTGGGGAGGGGTCTCCCATCCCACCCCCACCCCACACAAACCGATTCCTTGCTGGACTGCGACCTCTTCCGGCCTCGGTTTCCCAGCCAGTCCCGGCCGGGCCGGACAGGCACCCTCGGGGGCGGGAAAAGGTGCCAGAGCGCCCGCCGGCCGGGCCTTAGCCTCGGGACTCCGGCGCTTGCCTGCTCCATGGGGCTCGGGGCTCGGGGCTCGGTCCGGGAGGAGGGGGGTCCTTTCTGCTCCAGGACAGCTGGCGCGACCGGTGGGCAAAGGTCCGCGGCCCTGGAGAACGCCACGGCGGGGTCCACGGACACCAGAGGAGGAACCGCCAAGGTTTTTCCAAAGGACAAGCGGCCCGGCCCGGCGGTCCTCCTAGTTCTTCGGCCCGCGCGCCACCCGGGAGGCCGAACCGGCCCCAGCCCGGGGCCCCCTCTCCAGCCCGCCCCAGCCCCGACCCTCCGCTGCGGGGCCCTCACGGAGCGGCCGGCCAGCGGGGAGCGACTAGGCTGCCGGCTGCAAGGCGTGTCTCCCCGGGACGCAGCTCCGCCCTTCCCAGGAACACAAGCGGCTGCCCGCGCCTGAGCTCCCAAAGGGCTGGCGGGCAGGGAGCGGGCGCCGCGCCGGCTCCCCGGAGCCCAGCCCCGGAAACGGGACACCCACAGCGGGTGCCCCCAAACTTCCCACCTCTCTGGTCCGGTCTGGGGAGGGGTCGGGGCCGGGGCCGGTGGGCAGGGCGCGGAGAGCTCATGGAGCTCTTAGGGTCTGCGGCCCCGCGGCTGGGGGTTATGCCAAGGGAGAAAGCGACGACGCGATGGGGAGGGACCGAGAGCACCCCGAAGCCGGGACCATCAAGCCGGAGCCAGTGGAGGGGCGCGAAGTCGGCGAGTTGGAAACTAACTGCAATCGTCCACTCGTAGCCTTCGGCGTCCGGCTCGTCCTCTGGCGGCTTGGCGGGCGGCTGCACAGGGCTGGACCTGTGTTGGATCCTCAGGCTCCGAAGATATGGTCCCCATCCTCGTCGTCGTGACACTCGGGACAAGTGGAGAGCCATCAGGACAGGGACCCACAGAACGCACACTCACATGTTCCTGCAGGTGCCAGCACATGCTGGGCTCCGCTCTCACGGGACACACGCAGGTGTGCAAGGACAATGCAAGTGCACACACACATGTGCAGACACGTAGTGGAAGCATCCACTCGCTCACACCTGTAGGACACACACACACAAACATATGCACACATACAGAGTTGGTTGAGGATGCTGTAACACAGTACACCCCCTAATGCACGTGCGCGTCCCCGCGTGCACACACACACACACAGGTGATCCAGGGCACCCAGGGCAGAATCTTCCCCAAGCACCCCTAACAAGAAGCACAAACATGCACCCATAGAAGTAATCGGGGGACCCTGGGCACAACTCCCTCTCTCCTTCCCCATCTACCAGGACATGGAGTCACACTCCTAGGCATGTGTGGACAGGCTGCCTACACACTGGCAGGACATGTACATGCTCAACTTTACAAGGACACTGTGGGCACACTCTGCGCACACGTATTCTCAGGTCACATGAACACAGCACTTTGTAACCTGGAGTCAGTCCCTCACTTGGTCAGTGAGTGGGCTGAAGCACCCACTGGGACAAGGTGGCTGAGAACCAGGACAGGGCCTGGTCAGGAGGGGTTGAGGGCAGGGCCTGGGAAGTGAGTGATGCAATGAGGTTGGGCATGATGGCATTGGTACCACCCCCCACCCAACCACCCACTGCAGGCCTCCCACATAATCGGGTCACTAAACAAATCCCAGAGGGCCCAGCCCCACCTGTTGCCTGGCTTTCCAGAAACAGAACTCGGTTGGGAATGGTTGCTGCTTGGACAGGTCTGTCCCCAGAAAGCCCTGGGCATGGATGGAGTCCTGTCTACCCTCTGGTTTCCACTGACACATTTATCTACCAACATTCTGTCCAAGTCTCCTCTTTGGAGCCCTCACCAGAATCACCCTTAATGAAGAGTCACAGGGAGAAGATGTCCACCCACGCATGAGGAGACAGGCCTGGAACAGAGCCTTCCTGCACAGCCTCAGAAGGGACCCACCCTGCTGACACCTTGATCTTGGACTCATGGCCTCCAGTACTGCGAGACAGTAACATTCTGTTGTTGAAGGTGCCCAGTCTGTGGTACTGTAAAACAGCCCTAGGAAACTAACACAGCCTGTTAGCCCACAGACGGTGGAGAGATGGAATGCTCTATGGAGCTCCAGGTTTACTGTCTGCAGCTCCCAAAGTGTGCTACGGGACCCTTGGGTGGGTGAGGTATGCAAGGTAATTTTGGGTGGTTCAAGGTGAATAATTTAAATTGACATAATAATATATTTATCTTGCTGGGTAAATCGGATCCCCACCTGTTAGGAACCAGGCAACACAGCAGGAGGTGAGCAGCCAGCCAGTGAGCAAAGCTTCATCTGTAGAAACAGCCACTTCCCATCCCTCACATTACTGCATGAGCCCTGCCACCTGTCAGATGAGTGGTGCCATTAGATTCTCATAGGAGCATGAACCCTACTGTGAACTGCGCATGCCAGGGATCTAGATTGCGTGCTCCTTATGAGAACCTAATGCCTGATGATCTCTGACTGTCTCCCATCACCCCCAAGTGGGACCACGTAATTACAGGAAAACAAGCTCAGGGCTCCCACTGATTCTATGTTATGGTGAGTTGTGTAATTATTTCATTATATATTACAGTGAAATAATCATAGAAATAAAGCACACAATAAATGTAATGGGCTCGAATCATCTCTGCACCATCCCTTCCCCTTCTCCCAGGTCCGTGGAAGAGTTGTCTTCAAGAAAACTGCTCTCTGGTGCCAAAAAGTTTGGGGACCGCTGGTGTAAATGTTTCTAAGAATAGTTAAGCAACTTAAGCTTCACATGCTACGAAGAATACAGCTTTAAATGCTAATAAAAATAGGTGCAAATGAAAACACTCTTTCTGTGGTCCAGGGAATCTTAACCATTCTATCAGAAAGACTTGCAGCTTGGAGCTGCAGCTGCCCTCCCACATCCTGTCCACTGTAAAGCCCTGCAACACACACATACACGCACACACACACACACACACGCGCACACATGCACATACATACACATGCATATACTTGCACACACACGCACACACATGCACACAGATGCACATACATAAATACATTCACATGTATATACCTGCACACACACACATGCACACACACATGCATATTCCTGCAAACACACACACACACACACACACGCTGTGCTTCATGCCCTCACTAGGGTGGCCTGGGAGGAAATGCGTGTTTTTAGGAGAAATGAAGACAACTCAGGCCCCTCATTCTCCTGGTGTTTGCACAAGTGCCTTCTCTGCAGACCATGCTTCAGCCTCTTTCTTGGTTCTCCCTCTTACTGAAAGAGAGAAGCAGAGGCCCGGCACATACTCGGCTGCTTAGGGCTCAAGCCAAGTTCGCAAGCTTCCTGGGGAGCCTAGTGAGATGAAGGCACTGCAGAGCCTCCCCAAAAGAGTCGTCGGCTTTTCGTGGATCCTTGAGCCCAGGAAGGCGATAGGTGAGACATCACAGTTCATCAGAAGACACGAGCAAACTCCGGCGAGAAAGGGCAACGGTCAAAGATTTTATTCTCTCGGAAAAGGGTTCTCGGGCTGTAAGCAGCAGGCAGAAGACTTTATTGCACGCGTAGTTAGGTGATGGCGACCTACGGTTTTCACTGGGGACTGGGATCGAGAGTGACCCGACCTCCTACTCATGCTCGTCTCTCCCTGTCTCTCTCTTTGCCTTTTGTGTCTCTCTGCCTGTCTCTCTCGCTCCTTTTCCTCTCAGCCTCCTCTGTCTCTCTCCTTATCTCTCATCCTCTCTCTATCTCACTCCCTTCTCCCCATCTCTCTTTCTCTCTCCTTCTTTTCCACTTCTCTCACCCTCCTCATCTCTCTGCCTGCCACTGTTCAGGCTCCTGGGGCCCCACGTGGATGGGCGGACACAGGACTCCTAGGCTACCTTTCATAGCGCAAGCAGAGGGCTGCAGGACCTTGGTCCCCACCTCCCAGCATCCTCAAAATGAGGGGTGTGGGGTGTGCCGTGCTCTCCTGAGTGGGCGCCCCACACTCCAGGAAGCAGAAACTGCAGGTCACAGCTGGCTCGAGTGGTGCCCACGGGGCTGCCAGCTTCCATCGTGTGATCTGCTGAGGCCAAAGCAGAGGACAGCAGCCCAGGCCCATCTCTGCAGCAGGGTGGGGGTAGGGGTGGGCTTGGGGGTGGGGATGGGGATGGGAGCCGCCAATGCAAACTGGCCCCTGGCTGGTTTCCTACCCTGCACCCTGCCATGCAAGTCCTCCTCTCCTACCCCTACCCCTACCCCTGTCTGCCCCACCTCCACCCCTAGGCTGCCCCACACCCAGGCTCCAGAAGTCTCCCAGGATCCAGGAACTAAGGGCAGCCATTGGGTTCCATAGCCCCTAGTCCATGAGTCAGCCACCCCTCTGCGTGCTGACAAACCTTGGCTCTCATGCCCCACCCCAAGCCAAGCACACAGCCCTGTCCCCCCACCAGCATTATCACCGCCTCCTGATTTTGGCCCTGACAGCCCTGCTTCCTGGTAACCTTGCCCCCTCCCACCCTGCTCCAGGCAAGCCCAAAGGCCAGGCCCTCCACCCACCCTTCCTGGGGGCCACTCTACTATCTCCTTGCCCAGATGTCTTAACCTGGCTTTACCAAGATAGAATAAATAACAGGGATGAGGCCCCGGACCCCGCCAGGAAGATGTGCCAAAATACCCTCCATTTAGAAGTGGGAACAGTGATGGGGCCTATGGATGACCCCAGGATTGTCACCCAAGCAGCAAGAAGGGCAAGGAGCCCGGTTTCCTGCCCTTACCCGGGGAGGACGTGGCCAGGGCTCCAAAAGGCCCTGGAGAGGGGTGGGCAGGAGAGCAGATCCACCCTCCTCTTGAGGAAGCAGCCACCATCCCCAGGAAGAGCAGATGGGGGCACACAGGCAGAGTCCCCACGTGCTGTAGAGCAGGGCCAGCAGAACTGTACTCAGCCCCAGCCCCAGGGGAGCTGCAAGATAGACTGAGACCCTCACAGGTTGGGCTCTGTGTCCCCACCGAAATCTCATCTGGAATTGTAATCCTCCTGTGTCAAGGGAGGAACCTGGTGGGAGGGGATGGGATCTGGGGACAGTTTCCCCCCTGCTGCTCCCCTGATAGTGAGGGAGTTCTCAGGAGAGCTGATGGTTTGAAAGTGTGGCACTTCCTGCTTCTCCGCTCACTCCCTCCTGCCGCCTTGTGGAGAAGGTGCCTGCTTCCCCTTCGCCTTCTGCCATGACTGTAAGTTCCCTGAACTGGGAGTCGATTAAACCTCTTTCCTTTATAAATTACCTAGGCTCAAGTATTTCTTTATAGCAGTGTGAAAACAAACTAATACCCCTTCCCTGAGGCGCCTTCTCCTTAGGCAACCCGCTGCCCCCATGCTCCTCCTCTGCCCCCTGTCCTTTCTTTTCCCCTCATGAGGCCCAAGTGATAAACGGGGCCAGCCCCAGTCCCAGCCCCAGCCCCAGCCCCAGCCCCATCCTACTGCAGGCCTGTGTGGCTGCTGGAGAGGCCGTGTTCCTTTCCTCTCCCCGAGCCTGCCTGATATGCTTTCTGGATCCTGGAGGAAACTGACCCCCTATTCTCATACTGGTGCAACATCTTCCAAGACCTCAAAGCTGTACCATTTGAGCCAGTCTTTTTTCTTATCTCCACTTGCTAGGGCTGTCATTGGGACAGTCCTAGAGGGTGGTGCCAATGGATGAATGGATGGATGGACAGTAGTCCAGGGATGATGTCCCTGTCTGTCCTGAACCGGGCCCTTCCTCCAATGAGAAGCCTTCCTGAGTGAGTATATACAGTCATCCCTTGGTATCCATGGAGGATTAGTTCTAGGGTCCCCGGGAATGCCAAAATCCATGGATGTTCAAGTCTCTGATAGAACATGGCCTAGTATTTACGTATAAGCTATGCGCATCCTCCCGTATACGTTAGACCGTTACTAGATTATGATGTGTAATACAATGCAGATGCTACATAAATGGTCGTGATACTGTATTCTTTAGGGAATGATGACAAGAACAAAGTCTGCACATGTTCAATAGAAACATAACCATCCAATTTATTTTCTGAATATTTTCCATCTGCTGTTGCCGAATCTATAGATGCAGAGCTCCTGGATACGAGAGCCAAGTGTGCTTTGAGAGTAGGGTGGGTGAGGTTGCTAATGAGTACAGGGGAGCAGGTGTTGATCAGGAGGGCCCTGCACTGGGGCATCTGGACGTCCTGCCTCAGGACTTGAGACTCCAGTTGGATGGCACAGACAGACTCAGCCCAGGTCAAAGCCGTCCCCTTGAAGTTTCATTTTATCCCAAGCTCTTTCTGGACCCTGGAATTTGGCATCCCCTAGGCCCTGCGTGGAAGGACAGATGAACCAGGTTTTAGATAACATGTCTAGAAGAGTGAGCCCCTACTGTGTGCTCGGCACTTTCCCCACAGGATCCTCTAGCTAGAATATCCAAGGGTCATGGAGAGAAATACCCAGTTAAAATATCAGAAATGAAAAAGCGATACCATTAGATACACTAAAAAGACCATTAGGTAATAGTATTAGCTTTTGTATTCTGAGATCCAACAGCAGCAGTCACTTCCCTCCACCCCTATGTGTATCCCAGGACCACCCTGGGCGGGGAGGGCTGAGGTTAGGGAGCAGCCATGGATGCTCTGATGCTGGCCCTGGGCCTCGGGGGTGACAGTGATGAGGAACTGGGTGCACACATGAGTGGGGCAGCCGGGCCTGGCCAGAGAAGCAACACACATGTGCACAGACATGTTTACCCACATACACGTGTGCACGCACGTGCACAAACACGTTGCAGGCAGGCATGTTGACGCCTCAGGCAGCGGAGGACCCTGACTCTGGGTGCTGCTGACCCGGGCAAGGCCCCACTGTGATTCGTGCCATGACCTCAGAATGTCACTGGTGCTTAGCACCTATCTGCTCTCTGGCCTGCGTCAGTGGTCTACAGCAGTTACACACAGGCAGTGGTATCTGTGAGCAGCTCTGTGGACTCAAAGGTTTTCTCCCTGAGAGGCATGACCCAGGCCAGCTGATTCATCAGAATCAGGTGAGCGTGACCTGCTCTCTTCCCTCCAGGCGGACTTGGGGACAGTGGCTACGGTGCGGGCGGTGTTGGCCTCTGTGGGGCAGCTACCGAGGAGGGTCATCCCTGAGCACTCACCAGGCGCCCGTTCTACACTGCCCGTGTAGACGATTGGCTCTTTCGTCTCCATGGTGGCTTCGTAGAGTGGGTGCTGTTCCCAAATGTCCCCATTCGACAGATGAGACGTCTGGGGTCAGAGAGGCAGTAACCGGCCTGGGAATCCGGACATGACCCTGAGTTTTGCTCTCAGCCCTGCCGTGTGCTGTGCTGGAATTCAGGCCTGAACCCTGTGACCTCCCTGCCCTAGATCCCAAATCTGCCCAGGTTTCCCATCCCGATGGGGCAGAGCCTGGTCCTGGCAGAGCCACTGGTATAGAGCCACTGGTACAGATCCACTGACGGTCCTCAGAACACCTCTGTGCCCTAAGCTGGGTCCTGATGGTCGCTGTGGGCCCCACTGAACACACATGGTCCCTTGTCCGGGGGAGCCTGCTGCCCTTGGGCAGCTGTGGAAAATGAAGGAGCCCTGGAGGGCTGGCTGAGGGGAGACTATCTTCCCTTGTGTTCAAAGGGGTCCGGGCACTAGGGTTCTCCCCAGGTATTTCTTGCTCTGCGTGGTCCTCTTGAGGCCTCGCCCTCCTTTTGCCTCGAGTATTCCCAGGAGGGACGGTCCATCCAGCTGTTCTCCAGGACCAAGGACCCACTGTTCTTCCTCAGTGACCCAGGAAAATGAAGCCTCCTCCTGTTGGGACGGCTCAGAATGGTGGACTCCACAGTCCCTCCGCGAGAGACGTGGTTTCCATGCGTACAATAGATCTTCCTCATCCCCCAAACCCAACACCCTCCTGCTCAACAGGCGTTATTCCTAAAGTGGCTTCACTGTTCAGACTGAAGAGCCACGGTAGCCAAAGTGATGAGCGGAGTAGAACCGAGCAGTCGGGAGAGATCTTGTTCCCTGTAGGAAACTGGGCATCGCTGAGGCCCTGAGCATCCCAGGAGGCCGATTGCACAGAGACCTCTGGTCGCTGACCCCAGTCTGCCTCCACATCCCTGGAATAGCCCATCATGGGCCCTTCACCCTTGGCAGGTGGAAACCATTCAACCTGCTGGGGCCGGTGTGTCCCCATTTCATGGCATTGGGGGACAACAGGATTCTCTGTCTAGGTCCCACTGTACTCAAGTCCTTGGGAAGATGCCCACCCCTGCTTGGGACTTGAGACTCCAGAGACTGGAGCAGCTGTGGGCCACTGGGTCTGGCCCCTTTTTCCCTGGGGGCGGCGGTGGAATGGGGGTTACGCAGCCAGCCAGCATCTGGGAGCCCGGCGAGAGCGGTTCAGGTGTTCTCCGAAGCCGCCGCGTACAGTGTGACCTTTAGACAATTCTGTCTCACAGGATGGACGTGGTAGAGGTCGCGGGTAGTTGGTGGGCACAAGAGCGAGAGGACATCATTATGAAATACGAAAAGGTACAAGTCGGTCTGCTTCTTGGAGGGAGGCCTCTTCCAGTGTGCCCTGGTCAAAGGGTCCTGGGCTCCCTAGGAGCACAGGGCAGGGACGGGTGGCCAATGCCCCCAGGCCCTTGCAACCCTTTACCTTGGACCCCTCACCAAGGCTCCCTCTGGGCTACAGGGACACCGAGCTGGGCTGCCAGAGGACAAGGGGCCTAAGCCTTTTCGAAGCTACAACAACAACGTCGATCATTTGGGGATTGTACAGTGAGTCCTCTGCACTCCCCTCACCCCTAAAGCACCTGTCTCAGCTCAGGAATGGGTTTGCTTTTAGAAAGGCCTTTCTGACGCAGGACATGTCTCACCAGGTCGGGTCAACCTCCTTTCCAGGGACAGAACTCCTCCCTGACTCCCCTGCAGGTCCAGCCCGAGGTTGTTAGGCCAGAGGTGTGGGGCCCATCTAGGGAGCCGGTGGGAATGGAGACTGGGCTAGGTCAGGCCCCTGGGCGCTCAGCAGTTCTGTCGGCAAGTGAGCACAAGAGGAGCGGGGCAGCCTGAGGGTCTGGCCCTGTCTACTTGGAGACAACCCCGGTGAGATGCAAGGGTTATGGCCACAGGGTGAGGGGACGCCTGGCCCAGCCTCAGGGCTGTTGTCCAGCAGGTCTCTGAGGGCCCACCTGCCCCTGTTCTCCCCCATTCCCCTAGAGCTACAGCCCTCACTGTCCCGTGAGGGGAAAAGGCATGGTGACAATGGGGGCTGTAGCCCTAGGAGAACGGGGGAGAAGATGGGCAGGGCCCCGTTCTGGGCATCTCACGGTGAGGCCAGGGAGGCAGCAGGGCTCGCGGCTAAAGACCTGGGTCTGGTGCTGGGAAGGGATCTGGGGCCGGGTAAGAGGAGCCCAGCCAGGAGCCCATCCCTCAGGGATCACAGGATGGAGAGACAGAGGATCCCTGGGGAGGTAGGGCGGGAGGGAGCTGACGAGCCGTGCCACTTCTGAAACGCAGGGTGTGTGGCTCGGGTGCAGGGAGAGGCAGGTGGATGCTGGGAGGTCAGAACCTGCAAGGGCCTTGGGGCTGTCAAGTGGGGTGGGCCCCTGGTGCAGCCAGAGTACACCGGGCAGGTCTCAGGGCAGGCTCCCTTGACCCTGGCGGGGGGATGTGGTCACTCCCTGAGGGACTCCTGTCAGGGCCCGGTCGCCCACCCTGGGCGGCCCCCATCCCATCTCAGGGCTAACCTTTCTCAGCTCCAGCAGAAAGCACCACCTCGAGTCCAGGACGGGCAGCCCCACTGGGCAGCCTGACCGCCCCCCACGCCAGGGGCCCCAGTAACCCCGGCCAGGCTGTCCCTACACTCCTTCTTCTCCCAGGTCCTGCCCCTCCTGGGAGTCAGCCCCACAGGAAGGCCCTTGTCCTCCCTTCCCTGTGCCTTCTCCTGGGCTGAGCCCTGAGCTGGAAAGGGACAGAGCCAGTCCTTTCTGGGGGTCGGCACCCAGGCTGGGGCCGCTCCAGGCCCCGTGCAGTTCCTCAGCTCTGCCTGGGTTGCCTTACAGTGAGACGGAGCTGCCTCCTCTGACTGCGCGGGAGGCGAAGGTAAGAGCCTGATGCGTGGAGGGGCTGGTCCAGGGACGTAGGGACTGGGCGGGTGGTCAGTGAGGCAGAGGAAGCAGCTGGCCTGAGCGGTGGCGGGTGAGGGCAACACGCTGTCACTGGGAGGGGCAGCAGTCCCTGCTGGACCTGACCCCAGGTTGCTGTTCACTTTGGCAGTTTGATAAAATTCCAAAAGGAGAACCACAGTCCTGGCTTGGGGGTGGCTGTGCGCTTGTGTCAGGACCCCACCTAGAGGCTGGGACCTAAGACTGGTGTGTCTGTGGCCTGAGGATGGTACATCCCGGGGTCCCAAAGCCAGCCCACTGGTGCTCATTTGCTCAAAGGCTCTCAGCCCTTGAGGTCTGCCCTTCCCTGGCTCCTTCCAGCTGGCTCCCACCAGGGCTCCAGAGCCCAAGACCCAGCATCCGCGGGCGGCTCTGGGAAGCCTGGCAGCTCCGCTAACTCCAACATGCCTCATTTGACAGCAAATTCGGCGGGAGATCAGCCGAAAGAGCAAGTGGGTGGATATGCTGGGAGACTGGGAGAAATACAAAAGCAGCAGAAAGGTAACGTGTGGAGGGAGGAAGCACTCTCTGCAGAGACAGGGGACAGGCACCAATGGCTGTGGCCTGGCACCATCAGCCTCTCAGAGGGTGGGCGGCACACTGTCCTCGCCCAGAGGACTGCAGGCCTGGTCGCCAGATTTCCTGCCTATTCGTGCAAGCGTCACCTTGCAGGGAGGGAATCTGAATCTAGGGCTGGGACTACCCGGAGCTCAAGGCTAGGGATGCCCTGGTGACCTGAAGGAAGGAAAAGGTTCAGATCAGAGTTTCGACTCTGAGTGTCCATCCACTCTTTCAGTCCTGGGAAGGGAGACCCTGTCCCAGCTTGATCTCACCTCTACTGAGGAATCATGGGGCCAAAACCGACAATTTCCAGAATCCCCGGGCTCTGGTCCTCACTGGGGTCACCCCGTGGCCTGTGACACCAGATTGTTTTCTGCCCACAGCTCATAGATCGAGCGTACAAGGGAATGCCCATGAACATCCGGGGCCCGATGTGGTCAGTCCTCCTGAACATTGAGGAAATGAAGTTGAAAAACCCCGGAAGATACCAGGTACGCTCAGCCAGAGCACAACAAACAGGACAGGCCGTGTCGGGGCCCAGGTCTCCAGCTGGAGGGAACGTCAAGACCACCCTGGGGAGCTGGGGGTGAAGGTCAGATGAACACCCTGGGCACAGATGGTGACACAGTCACCACAGACAAACTCAGCTCTGGTGACCCTCCCTGGCTTCAGTAACAAGCCAAAATGCAGCTTTCTGCAGAAGGAAACCTTCCTTCTGTCCTTCCTTCCCGAAGTGCTGACTGTGGGCTGACTGCCACTGGGGGCAGGGAGTCTTCCATCTGTTCTGAGACTGCTTCCTCCGCTTGGCCCTGCCCTACAGATCATGAAGGAGAAGGGCAAGAGGTCATCTGAGCACATCCAGCGCATCGACCGGGACATAAGCGGGACATTAAGGAAGCATATGTTCTTCAGGGATCGATACGGAACCAAGTAAGCCTACGGGAGCCACAGGGTCCCAGCAGAGATGGGGTGAATGAGAGGGATGGGGGCTTCCCCGGAGCAGAAGCCAGGGTCACCCAGGAGGGATGACACAGCTGCCAAGAGCTCTCCCGGCCCAGGGAGCAGCCGGCACCATGAACCGAGCACCTCCCTGGTTCCAAGCCCTGGGCCAGACTGGAACATGTGGGGCCAGAACCCAGGAGGATCCTGAGGAGATGGAAGGCAGCAAACAAAATCATGCACAATGGTGAAGGGTGCTCTCCCTGACCCATGGGGACCCATGGTAGGACCCACGGGAGGGTGGCAGGATAGAGGGCCCATGAGCCCCCCCAGGCAACAGTGACAGCACCAAATGCTGGGAGAATTAGGGGTCCTGGAAACTCTCATCCAGGTCCGCTGGGAACATGACATGGCACAGCCACGTTGGCAGCCAGTTGGGCAGTGGCTCACAAAGCTCGATGGACTTGAACCACACATCCCCAAAGTGTCACAGATATTGAACCCACTGATTTGGAAACTGACATCCACATGAAACCAGCATGCCAGGTTCACTGCTTGACTCCTCGTCACTCACACACGGAGCCTTCGGGGACGGCCTTCAACACGGGAATGGGGAGAGCAAGGCTGGTCCTCCCTTCAAACGGAAGACCCAGTGAGAAAAGGGAACGAGCCGGTGATGCCCGCACGAACGTGGGTGGATCCTAGATGCATTTTGCTGAGGGACAGAAGCCAGACCCAATAAGCTACCACCGTAGGATTCCCATTCCTAGGCCATTCTGGAAAAGGCCAAACCACAGGGACTGAGAAGCAGTCTGGGTGGCCAGGGGCTGACGGATCGGGGAGAGGCTGGGTGCATAGGGGCCACCCTGGAGACTTGGAGGATGAAGGAGTCGCCCCAGGAGGGGCTGGAGCGGTGGCCGGGAGACTCTGCACATTGGTTTGGAACCGTGGAGGAACTGTACACACACAGACTGAACTGGCGTGTGTGCAAACTGAAAAAAAAAAAAAAATCATTCAGAGTGAAAAGGATCAGGCAAGTCACTGTACAACTGGGCTATTTGCATGTCACAGATGTGGATTTTACTGAAACATTTCTTCAAGAGTCTCAGGCCCTGAAGAGCTCACTGCTTATCTGGTGAAACATCTGAACCTGAAATGGGATTTGCTGTTAGGCTTTGTAGACAAAGTGAAATTAACAACATCTGCACAAAACAAACCAAAGCCCCCTTTCTCTGTTTCCTAGGCAGCGGGAACTACTCCACATCCTCCTGGCATATGAGGAGTATAACCCGGTGAGTATTCCCGGCAGTGAGGTTCCCGGGCCATATTTCCATATTGACAGGAGTGGGTGTCTGGTGGGGGTGTCGTTGCTTCTTTTAAAGTTAGTATTTGTGACCCACCAGGATATAGGAGGTAGGATGTCAGCTCACCGCTGGCATAAACCTCCAAGGAAGGGGGTGGTCTCAAGGGGTCAAGCTGAGACACAAAGGAGTCAGGGCCCGGACTCCTGGTGTCACCTGGGCCTGACCACCACTTCTCAGAACAAGAAATGACGCCCTCCTCCTGGGGCTGCCCCAAAGCCCAGGAGCTTGGCAGCATCGCACACAGGATGGTGCTATCAGCAGACATTTTGGACAAGGTGCTGAAGTGCCTGATGGACTTGGCTCTTGTCATGAAATGAATGTGCATCCTGAGGAAGCCTCTTTTTCAGAGGAAGCCTCTCCTTCAGAGGAAGCCTCTCCAGTCACCTCTGCCCTCTCCAATGACATGAGTCCTCCCAGGTGACCTCAGCCCTCCCAGGTGATGTCCTTCCATGGTGACTCTGGCTCTTGCAGGAGGTGGGCTACTGCAGGGACCTGAGCCACATCGCCGCCTTGTTCCTCCTCTATTTTCCTGAGGAGGATGCATTCTGGGCACTGGTGCAGCTGCTGGCCAGTGAGAGGCACTCCCTGCAGGGTAAGTGAACAGCTGCCCCGGGGACCTCCTGCAGCCAGACCTGGGGATGGCCACCCTGGCCGGGTGATCACAGCTTTCAGCCAAGGCACCCTCCTTGTGTCGCCAGCTTGTTGGGAGACTTTAGGATGTCTCTGCTGAGGGTCCCACAGGAGTCCACGGCTGACCCCCAAAGCCCAAATCAGACGCCTCTCATCCCCATCAGCAGAGGGCATCTCATCCTCCCCGTGGCCACCCTCTGTGTCCTGGAGCCACGCCCTCCGGCTCTGATTCTGTGCAGCTGACTCTCCCCTCCCTGAGAGTCCTCCTGCCCTCCAGCTGCCCGGGCTCCTGCTGCCATCGGTGCCCACGAATGGGCCGACCAAGCCCAGGTGGCAGCATCTCCCCATCCCCTGTTCCCCTGGCCCGACCCCACTACCAGGAGATGACCGGGAAGCCCAGCGCCCACCCAGTTCCGGCCACCCTGTCGTGGCCTGAAAGTCAGGCTTGCCCTTTTTGCACCCTGGCCCAGGAGGCCTCCAGGGGAACCTCCAGCCAGGCTCCAGGGAATGTTCCCGCCCCACCTCCCCAGGGTAAAGGCCGCATGTTGGGGTCACCAGATGGGAGGGTGGGAGTAGCCTTGGGGTTTGGGGGCCTCTCCAGCTGCCCAGCTCTTGCAGCTGATGGCTCCACATCTTGGGGGAAGGCTCTGATTTCATGATGGGCTGGGGGCTTCTCAGGATTTCACAGCCCAAATGGCGGGACCGTCCAGGGGCTCCAAGACCAACAGGAGCATGTGGTAGCCACGTCACAATCCAAGACCATGGGGCATCAGGTGAGTTTATGGTCCCCTCAGCTCTTCCCAGAGGCCCTGCCTCCCGTGGGGCTGTAGGAGCAGGGGGGCTGGGGCCCCTCGTGGGGCTGGTGACTGGCTGAGTCCCAGCCAGGGCCTGACCTGGGACGTCGGGTTCTCCATGGGCTGGGAGTTGGTTTCCTTTCCTGCCCTGGAGGAGACAGAGGCACAGGGATGGGGGCCCAGCTCCCGCAGAGCAGGGCAAAGGGCAGTGTGTCCACCGGGAGTGTGGGAAGGTGACAGTGTTGTGGGGAGCTCTGGACACCGCCCAGTGTTCTGCACTAGGGGAAGGGTCTTCAGAGGCCCTGGAAGAGGGAGGTTTTTAGGGCAGCCCAGTGGCCTGAGCACCTCTGTTGCTTCCATCAGGACAAGAAAGATCTATGTGGGCAGTGTTCCCCGTTAGGCTGCCTCATCCGGATATTGATTGACGGGGTAAGGAGGCATAGGGAGACCCTGGCTCAGGGACCTTCCTTGCCCTGCAGTGCCCTGCTTCCCCAGCCCGGGGGTCTGGCTCACTCCCAGCCCACAGGAGGCTCAGGCGGGTCCCCAAAGGACACACAAGCAAAACCCTCTGCCCAAGAGGGGTCATCCCAGGGCAATGGCTGGGGCTCAGGCCCAGCCTCATGGGCAGACTGGGCCAGGACCCGACTTGAGAGGGCTCAGGGAAGCCTCAAGCCCTGGGCAAGCCCCTCTCTCCAGGAGCCACATCCCCACTCAAATGAGTGCCCCCCATGAGGAGCTTCAAGACCTTGTCTGACCCAGCGTCCTGGAGGGCTCAGGCGACCCTCATGGGGAAGGTCACTGACTCTGGAGACTGAAGCCCCAGTGTGCGCAGCTCGAGCCACCAGCCCCAGCCTGGAAGGACCAGGTTCTTTCACACCTGCTGTCCCCACAGATCTCTCTCGGGCTCACCCTGCGCCTGTGGGACGTGTATCTGGTAGAAGGCGAACAGGCGTTGATGCCGATAACAAGAATCGCCTTTAAGGTTCAGCAGAGTAAGTCTACGTGTGCCCAGCGGGGCCTGGGGAGCCCTGGGGTCAGACCCCGACTGGCCCGAGGGCAGCTTCCTCACACTGTCCTCATGATCCGCTGTTCTGGCCCAGAGGGAGGTCCGGCCAGGTGGGCTGGGCAGGACACTGTGACACCGAGCCCATCCCTCACATGATCCGGACAGGGAAGTGCTCACCACACTCTCGACTTTCATCTGGGTCCCCAGCCACAGTCTCCTGTGTATATCTGGACACCTGGGGTGGCCACAAAAGGATCCGGCACCGACCAGTAGGAGACTGAAGTGGCCACGGGGTATGAGCTGTGACCATTCCCAGGTAACTCCCCTGGCCTGATATCCACCCTGTCCCTAGAGCGCCTCACGAAGACGTCCAGGTGTGGCCCGTGGGCACGTTTTTGCAACCGGTTCGTTGATACCTGGGCCAGGGATGAGGACACTGTGCTCAAGCATCTTAGGGCCTCTATGAAGAAACTAACAAGAAAGCAGGGGGACCTGCCACCCCCAGGTGGGCTCCAGTGCCATGTCCCCTCCCATGTCACCCTCTGGGGTAGTCAGTAGTAGGGGAGTGCCCAGGACCCGCAACCCTACTACCTGGGCCTTCCTCTTCACCTTTTCTTCCTCCTCTTCCTCCTGGACTCTAAGAAAGTACAGGAGGCCCACCGGTCCTCAGGGCAGGCGCTCAGTGCGTGTATACTGGACATGCTGTGCACGCAGGAGGGGGATGTGGGCAAGACCCTCCAACAAGCCCCCTCCCACTTTCCACGGTGTCTCCCTCTCCCCCTCGCAGGGCCCTCCAAGTTACTAGACGAGCCCAGACCCATTTGTGGGAGACCCCGCCCCTCCCTGCAAGCACCCACAGCCTCAGAGAGCAGCAGAGGCCCCTCACTCCTGCACGCTCCTCCAAGGTTGCCAGGACAAGAAGCCTGGAGCCAGGGAGACAAGGGAATCCGTGTCCCTGACCCACAGAGCATTCAGGGAGAGGGCCCAGAGCCAGAGCCAAGAGTTCAGCCAGAAGTGGGAACGGTCAGTCCTGGCATGGACTGGGCAGCCCAGGAGGGCAGAGGGTGACCCACGTCCGGGCCCAATCACCCACTGCGGAGACGGGTCCCCACGTGAGGTGACAAGGGGCTGGGTGACATCCAAGGCCCCTCCCACCTGAGTTCTGACTGGGGGCCGTATCCCAGGCCCAACAGCCCTGGGACGAAGGTGTGTGGCAGGAAGCCCCCAGCCAGTCTGAACCCTGGGGGCAGTCCCAGGAGCCACCCGCCATGCCACGACAGCTTCCCCACGCCAGGCAGCATGCACCCCTCCCTCTGGGATCAGCAGACTACAGGCGTGTCCTCGGTGTCAGGCCACGGGGGCCACACAGGGACCCCGAGGACTCCGAGATGCAGGCAGGTGGGGCCCAGCCCGGAAAGGCCTGCGTGGGCTCACTGGAGATGCTGACCGCGTCTGTTTTCCTTTCAGCCAAACCCGAGCAAGGGTCGTCGGCATCCAGGCCTGTGCCGGCTTCACGTGGCGGGAAGACCCTCTGCAAGGGGGACAGGCAGGCCCCTCCAGGCCCACCAGCCCGGTTCCCGCGGCCCATTTGGTCAGCTTCCCCGCCACGGGCACCTCGTTCTTCCACACCCTGTCCTGGTGGGGCTGTCCGGGAAGACACCTACCCTGTGGGCACTCAGGGTGTGCCCAGCCCGGCCCTGGCTCAGGGAGGACCTCAGGGTTCCTGGAGATTCCTGCAGTGGAACTCCATGCCCCGCCTCCCAACGGACCTGGACGTAGAGGGCCCTTGGTTCCGCCATTATGATTTCAGACAGAGCTGCTGGGTCCGTGCCATATCCCAGGAGGACCAGCTGGCCCCCTGCTGGCAGGCTGAACACCCTGCGGAGCGGGTGAGATCGGCTTTCGCTGCACCCAGCACTGATTCCGACCAGGGCACCCCCTTCAGAGCTAGGGACGAACAGCAGTATGCTCCCACCTCAGGGCCTTGCCTCTGCGGCCTCCACTTGGAAAGTTCTCAGTTCCCTCCAGGCTTCTAGAAGCATCTGGGCCAGGGCTCATGGCTGGATAATTTCCCTAGGCTTAACAACCCAAGCAAGCTTCGCGTCCTCGTTTTATTTTTGGTTAAACTTATGAAAATGTATTAAGAAAGAGTGCAGCTCGAGAGAGATTCAGAGATGGAACACACCAGACCCCAGATCACAAAGCCAACCATGCCCAGCCCCTCCCAGCACCCCCAGCCCCACGACCATCGTTCTGAATTCTGACGACACCGTGAGCCTGCCTTTGTACTTTAAACTCATGGAAGGATAACTACCTTCACGTTTTGAAATAAATGTTTCCTGTTGAAATGCTTTTAGATTTTAGACAGAAATATTGAAAAGGCACTATAGTGTCCTCCTATACCTTCCATCCAGCTGCCCCTAATAATGATGTTTTGCAGTCCCATGGCACATAAGAAATTTAGGCCGGGTGTGGTGGCTCACACCTGTAATCCCAGCAATTTGAGAGGTCGAGGTGGGAGGTTGAGGTTCACTTGAGTCTAGAAGTCTGAGACCAGCCTGGGAAACCTAGGTGGACCCGGTCTCTAGAGAAAAGTCAAAGAAATTAGCCAGGCATGGTGGCGTGTGCCTATAGTCCCACCTAGTCAGGAGGCTGAGGCAGGAGGATTGCTGGAGCCCACGAGTTCCAGGAAGCAGTGAGCCATGATTGCACCACTGCACTCCCGCCTGGGTGACAGAGTGAGACTTCACCTCTTAAAAAAATTTGAGAAATTTAATGTGGGTACAATTCTATTAACTAAATAATAATGTGAACTATTATCTAAGGTTATGAAGGCTAGAATTATCCCATTTTTGCCTAACTTCTCGTACCTGTCCCAAGATCCCACCTTGGACTCACCCTCTGCCTTCAGCTCATGTCTCTTCAGCTTCCTCCACATGGTCCAGCAAACACACACCTGGGCTGAATGGTAGAGCTGATTGCTCATACACAAAGGTAGACCGGTGGGCAGGGATTTTCAGACTTATAGAGTAAATGAGTTTTCCTTGGTGTTCTGGAGAGCACCGTTTGAGAAACACTTTGACAGTGAATCTAGGCCTCAAGATCCATCAGCTGCTCTAGCTTGAATTTTGCTCAAGCTCAGTGAACACCTGCTCTGCCGGGTGCACGTGAAAGGGACAAGGATGAGAAAGCTGTAGATAAAGAAGACAGGATGCAGGGGGTCTGTCTAAGCTCTATCCCCTGCCTTCAGCACTGAGGGATGAAATCCAACTCTTAGGGAACGGTGGCCACGTGCTGGGCCAGCCCCAGGCTCTCAGGATCTGACAGTGGGTGACGCAGAGCCAGGCCTTGCCCCTGGGGAGCTCTCCAGCATACACCTCCCTCTCCCCTCCCAGCGTCCCGCAAAGCAGGCGTCAACGCCATTGTTAATGCACGGAGGAGGAACCTGACTGTTAGACCTGGGTTTTCCAGGGTTGCACGGCTTCTGGGAGACGGATGTGACCCTGAGGACAGGGCACAGGCCAGTGTAATGCCAGGATGGAATGAGCTGTGATCTGTGCTGTATAGAGGCCTAGGCCAAGGTGGGACTGACGGATGACCAGGTCAGCCGGGTCACTGAAAACACTCTTGGGTCCTCACCTGCCGGTTCCCAGGAGTCCGGAACTGCCAGGAGAGTGGTGGCAGGTCCCCCATCCTCAGCTGGGTGGGCCTGGATAGAACAGCAAGGCGAGGGCACATTTCCCTGGCCATTCCCTCCAGGCACAGCTGTGACCTGTTCATTCCAAATTGGTGGAAGTATTTCCACACACACAGAACTGCAAATAGCAGTGGACATGGTGAGAGGCGTTTGCACATGGGATAGGCAGGATTTTGGAGGAAGAGCCTCCAGGGCTTGCCGATGGGTTAGCTGCAGGGCTTGAGAGGGAACGGAGAATCCAGGATGATGTGTTCAAATCGGTCCATTCACCTCTTCCGTTCCACGCCTGTGCTGGGCACTGGGAGAGACAGATGCACACAGGAGCCCCGGACGAGGGGAGGTGTGGGGGGAAGCCCAGAGTGTCTGGGCAGGGTAGGAAACCCAGAGCGTCTACTGGGAGCTGAAGGCTTAGGTCCACCTGGGTGCCGTCCAGGTTCTCTGCGTGTAGAAGTATAGGCTGAGCTTCCTGGAGGAGGAGCAGCTGCTGTTGCTGGTGACCAGCACATTCAGGAACGGAGACTACTCTGTCAACAGACAGGGGGATGACCTGAGGTCTGGATGGTCTAGGGGGTGGTAGGGCCCAGGAGGACCCAGGAAAGGGTCTCGGGGATGCAGAACATCCTATGGAGGGCATTTGGGAGTCAGTGCTCAGGCCACTCCGGGTCACGCAGGTCATTTGCCGGCCCCTGTCATAATTATTGCCATATGAGAGTGCCACCCGTCCTATGACATATTTTATATATTTCTGTGAATGGCCTACTTGTTTGTATTTATGAATTTATGTTTAAAGGATGGGCAGGGGTGCTCGAGAGGTCCCCAGGAGTTTCCCTCTGGGGAGAGAGGGGCCCACCCCTTCCCAGCAGCCCTCTGAGCCCCCCGATCGCTTGGCCACAGCCTCTGCCTGGAGAAAGCATCCCCCTCGGAGATATATGGACATCAGAAGAAACCTTTCTCTGTCACCAGGACAAATCCTGTTCTTACTTGAACCAAGGCCAGGTTTCCTAATGAATGCAGGGAGGACAGCACAGATCAATGAAACCAGCAGATAATCCACAAGACTGTTTCCCAGAGCTGGGAAATTTCCTTCCCTGCCAACACTTTTCCTGAAAGTTCTTAAGAATGAGGCAAACAGTTTAAGTCTCTCTCGCACTGTTCTTTTAGTGAAAGAGTTCAATGAGGAAAGAGAGGAAGTGGAGCATATGCTTAGTTTCCAAGCTGGAAAAGTGGCCCATGGTTAACCAAGACTAGATGTAAAAGCACAGGTGTCCACGGGTCCAGGTGAGCCGGTCCTACGATGGCATGGCTGCTAATGCCAGCAGATGCTCCTGTCCTCTCCTTTCAAAGACTGACTTCTTCTGGTCTTTCATTCGTTAAAATAAAATTGACAGGGCATCATCCGAGAAGCTCTACACTTTCCCTTACTTGGATTTCAGACTCTAGATTCGGCTGAGATTTGAGCTTCATGGTGAACACATTCTTGGTGTGCTTGCTGCTGAGGGGTGTGGAGGACAGAGAGATGGTGAAATGGCAAAGTGACTCTTGAGCATGGGTGGGGGAAGCCCCCACATGTCTGAGTCAGTGCCACCTGGACACTACCCTTGGAGCATCCTGCTGAGGTGGCCATTCCGGTTTTCTTTCCTTTCCTTTTATTCCACTGTTTCTGAATCACAAATAAAGATCCAAGGCAAACAGCACATTCAGATCCCCAAGCTCTCCACCTCCAATGTGACCAGGGACGTGCACCACTTCAGGCTCATGCAGGACCCACAGCCTTTGGACCTCAGCTAAGGGACCTGCTTCTCTTCAGCACACGGGGCTTGTTTGTGTTGGGGTCTGAGCCCTGAGCGCATGGTCAAGGAGACCCCCAGGTCTTTCTGAACAGAGACAGCTGGCCTGGCGGCCTCCCTCTCACTGCATGCAAGAGTCTGTTAGGGCGGCTGTCTTGCTTCTGTGTGTTGGGAAATTCAATTTAGGTACCTAAAAATGAAAAGTCCCAGGACATCTCCATGGCTTGGGATCCACAGGAGAGCATCATTGATGCTGGGGATAACTTAAACATATAGAAACCCGCAGGGCTACCTTAGACAGGGCACAGGGCACAGGGCACAGCACCCGGGGATGCAGAGTGGAAAGTTCACCACTACAGCCTGGAATTGCCTCTGTGATGCCTTCTTTATGACACTTGGCTGCCTTTGTGGCTGGAAGGCTGAGGCCCAGATCCCAACATGGCCACAGGCTAGCAGCTTGCTTCACCTTCCTGAACTGCAATTTCTCCATCTGAGCCTTTCTCCTAAGAGGAGTGTGCAGGGTCACTTAGCCCATATGGGCCAGAAACCCCACACGGTGCCAGGCACACAGTAGGGCCTCGGCAGATGCTGCCCCCTTCTGTCTCCACCACCCTCCTGGGGCTCCCTCCTGAAACAGCCTCCCTCAGCGCCTTGAGTCTTGCACCCTAACAGCCTCTTGCACGCAGTGAGAGGGAGGCCCTCAGGCCAGCTGTCTCTGTTCAGAAAGACCTGGGGGTCTCCTTGACCATGGGCTCAGGGCTCAGACCCCAACACAAACAAGCCCCGTGTGCTGAAGAGAAGCAAGTCCTTTAGCTGAGGTCCAAAGGCTGTGAGTCCTGCATGAGCCTGAAGTGGTGCAGGTGCCTGGTCACACTGGAGGTGTAGAGCTTGGGGATCTGAATGTGCTGTTTGCCTCGGACATGAAACATCTCACAGACTGCCTGGAAGAAGGTGGAGCAGACTGGGGTTAATGGTCAGCAGCAGCAGCATCCCCACCACTGGGGCTATCCCTTTTTAGGCCCTTACCATGGGCCAAACACTGAGCCGTGGGCTTCGTGTAACTTCTAAGCACGCTTACCTGATAGGGTGACAGCAAAGACTCGAAGAGGTGCCTGGGCTTGGCACATAGTAGCTATTGCTACTATTATGAATGTTGTTTTGTCTTTGTTTTTGTTTTGAGACAGGGCCTCACTCTGTTGCCCAGGTTGGAGTACAGCAATGCCATCATAGCTCACTGAAGCCTCAACCTCCCTGGGTTTGAGCAATCCTCCCACCTCAGCCTCCCAAGTAGCTGAGACTACAGGTGTGCGCCACCAAGCCCAGCCAATTGTTTGTATTTTCAGTAGAGACTGGTTTTGCCAAGTCGCCCAGGCTGGTTTCGAACTCTGGGGTTCAAGCAATCTGCCCACCTCAGCCTCCCAAAGTGCTGGCATTACAGGCGTGTGCCACTGCGCCCAGCCATTATGAATGTCAATATTGACATGATCTTGTATCCTTATGCCCACACTGGGAGAGGTCTGATTGTCCCCATGTTCCTGGTGTGGAACCACATGGAAGAGGCCTATGTTATCCCAACAGTGCAGAAGCACAGCCTGAGTCTCTTCTTCGGCTGAGCCAAGGGCGTGCTGGAGAGGCCTGACAGAAGAAGGAGCGGCCCTTGTGACCAGTGTCCTTTTGGTTCACAAGGAACGTCTCCTCTTGTTGAAGTGACTTGGCTGAGCTTGCTACTTCTGCTTTGAGAGTCAAATATCAGGATCAAGACTTTAATTATCCCCAATTTACAGATGATGAAACCATATTGGGCAGGAAAGAAAGTCACCCCAGGAGAGCAAGTTGGACCTGAGCACTGGCTGAGGACAAAGGGGAATGATAATTTGGGATGTAACTTGTTAAGGGGTCTCACAAGTGTTCTTGTGATCCAGGTGTCGAGAGGATACAGCAGAAAGGTTGCCAGGGAGATGAGGGTAGGTTACACCGCAAGAGTGGGAGAAATTAAAGAGAACACGCAACAAAGCCTTGGGACACTGGGAGGGGGATGGACCACCCTGTTTTGTGCTATGGGAGAAGACAGCAAGAAAAGGAATCTGTGTTAAATCCCGAGAGCCTGCAGGAGAAGCAAATGCCCTTCATTTCCTTCATCAGCGGCGAGACTGGCATCCCTGCAGCTTTGGGAAACCATGCTAGTGTAGATGCCAGCTCACGCCAGCGGGCCTGACTGGGAGACCTTGGGCTGGGGTTCTGGTCTGGGGCTCCTAGGCCTGATGGGAGGAGAGTTCAGCCCCAGGTTTCCTGTACTTCAGCTCATATCCACACAATGGTAATTATTGAAATGAGAGACTCAAAAGAAGATGGAACGTGAACTTTTTTGTTGTCCCATGTGGACACCTGTGTTCGGTTTCCAGTTCTACCTCTTGCTGTCTGTGTGTTCTTAAGTAACTCACTTAAACCTTTCTGAGTCTCATTTTCTTCATTTATAAAATAAAAGACATAACATTTATGTCAGATATTGTCCTGAGGATTAAATGGGAGAATGAACAAGCCTCTTCTGCATTCCCCTGGCATCCAGTGGGTGGAGGCCAGAGAAGCTGCTAAACATCCTGCCAGGTGCAGGACAGCCCCCATCACAAAGAATTGACCGGATCCTGATGTCAGTAAGGCAGAATTGAGGATCCTTGGTGTGGGGGAAAAAGAATAAACTCAGAAGCTTGGCAGATCTCAGTTCAAACCCTGGTTGTATCACCTCTAGCTGAGTGACCTTAGGCAGGTCTGTGAACTCTTTGAGACTCGGCCTCCTCATCGGTAGAATGAGGTAGATAAAAATGCCAAGCTCACCCAGAAATAACCCCGTGCATATATGGTCAACAGATCTTTGACAAGGCCATCAAGGATATGCAATGTAGATTCTTTTATTCCTTTACTTTCTTAATAGACTTGCTTTCACTGTACTGTAAAAAAAAAAAAAAAAGCACAATGTAGAAAGAAAACTGTCTTCAATGAATAGTGTTGGGGAAAGTGCGTGAAAAAGAATGAAATTGCACACTTGTTTTACATCATATACAGAAAATTAGCTCAAAACGGATTAAAGATTTAAATGTAATATCTGAAACCATGTAAATCCTGGAAGTACACATAGGGAAAAATCTCCTCGACATTGGTCATAATTGGCAATTTTTTTTTGATGTAACACCAAAGCACAGGCAACAAAAGTGAAAATAAATAAATGGGACTACATCAATCTTAAAAGGTTTTACGCAGCAAAGGAAACCATGACAAAATGAAAAGGCAACCTACGGGATGGAAGAAAATATTTGCGACCCATATATTTGATAAGGGGTTATTTGAAAAAATATAAGGAATTCACACAACTCAATAGCAAAAATTAATAAATACATGAATAACCCAATTAAAAATAGGCAAAGGACCCCAATGGACTTTTTTCCCCAAAGAAGATATACAAATGGCCAGACAGCATATGAAAAGGTGTTCAACACCACTAATCATCAGAGAAATGCAAATCAAAACCACAGTGAGATATTGCCTCATAGGATAGGACGGCTCTTATAAAAAAACGACAAGAGATAACAAGTGTTGGCGAAAGCATAGAGGAAAGAGAACCCTTGTACACTGTTGGTTGGAATGTAAAGTGGTATAACCTTTACAGAAAACAGTATGGAGGTTCCTCAAAAAATTAGAAGCAGAACTAAGCATACCATTCAGCAATCAGGTTAGAACCTTGAAGAGAGATCTGCGCCCCATGTTTATTACAACACTATTCACAATACCCAAGATATGGAAACAGCCCAAGTGTCCAGCAACAGATGAATGGATAAATAAAATATATATAAACAATGGACTCTTAGCCATTCAAAAGAAGAAACTCCTGTCCTGGATAAACCTGGAGGACATTACGCTAAGTGAAATAAGCCAGACACAGAAAGACAAGTTTTGTATGATCTCACTTATATGTGGGATCTAAGAGAGTCAAACTCATAAAAACAGATAGTAGAATGGTGGTTGCCAAGGGCTGGAGGTGGGGAAAATGGGAAGCTATTAATCAAAGGGTGTAAACTTTCAGTTATAAGATGAACAAATTCTGGAGATTTAATGTACAGCATAGGTGGTAATGGATGTAATAAATTTGATTGTGATAATTAGTACACAATATATACATATATGAAATCATCACATTGTATGCATTAAATATATACAATCCTTGTCAACTATTTTTAAAAAAAATTTTAAAATGCCTAGGTCATAAGAATTCTGAGAATGAAATACAACATACACGAATGGACCTGCTACACAGAAGGTGCTAAATAGGTTTGTTTTGTTTTCTTTTATTTCAACTCTGGCAGATGTAGACTTATTGGGAAAGAATATAGAATGCACTTGTGCACAAGGATTATCTATACGATAGTTAAATATCCTGCATACATGCCATGTCATTTCTATTCCTCAGTCAATGGATAATAAAAGCAGAACCAACCTTCTGGTGGTCACAAAACATTTTGACATGAGAAAGGCTGATCATGAGCAATCTGGCAATGTACATCCCAGAGCGTGCATGCCCTTTGACCCACAGCTACCATCATGTCATGTCCAGCAATTAGTCCTAAGGAGATGATCAGAGATGTGTAAAGAGATTTCATTCTAACAGCATCCTCTGTAGTGGTATATGTCAGGGGCTGGCAAACCATGTCCAGAGGAGCAGGCTGCATCTAGTCCACCACCTGTTTTTGTAAAGTTTATCAGAACACAGTCATGCCCATTCATTTACAAATTGTGTATGGCTTCTTTCCCTGCAACAGCAGAGTTAAGTGTTGCACCAGAAATCTATGGCCTGCAGAGTTTAAAATATCTACCCTTTGGCCTTTTATAAAAAAAGTTTACTGACTCCTGGTGAGTATATTAAGAAAAAGTTAGAAAAACCTAAATCTTCCAGAGTGGAGAATTAGAAAGTAAGACATGTTGTATATAAGACAGACAGTTTGTGTGTGCGTTTATTTGTAAATATATTATTTTGAAATAATGTTGTCGACATACGTTGCAGGTCTTAAAAATTGTTCAATATATAGTGTTAATCAAAAAATGGCAAACTGTAAAATGTAGACAGAATGTGATTGTGTATTTTGTGCATACACCAACAGAAAAGGGTGCTAGGAAACCTGTGGACCAACATACTAAGTGTGGCTCTTTTGATGGTGGTATCATGGATTTTTAAAAATCTTCTTGGTTTTCTGTAGATTCTGACTTTCCTGTAATGAGTATGAATAAATATGTATTTCTTGAGAAATGTGAAAATAACTTTATCTTCCCAGATTTCTCATAATTGAAAATGTTGGAATAAATGGTCCTGGGACAGATCTTTCCATTGAGAAGGGCAGAAGGGAAACCCTGGGGATTCAGCTGGGTTTCTGTTGCATTTCTAGTAACACACAGTTGTGAAAGGCCAGTGTTGGCCATTCCCCAGGACAGTCTGGGGTAGAGGAGGTCAGGATTTAACTACCTGAGGGTCCGGGGAACAGATGTGGCCACAGTCCTTCCTGACTCACTGTTTTCCCTTCCACAGTCCCCGTCTTCTCTTCACTGATGCACACAGAAGCCTGACCAGAGGAGAGATTTAGTTTTCATCTGAGGATTATCTGTTATGTTGCAGTTCTGAAATTCCCATAATGTTTAAGCTAGAACACAATTGATTTCATTATCTCCAAAGTGTATGGCTTGATAGAAATAGATTCCATTATGTAGCACCTTAAATCCAGATAAAACGTAAAGAATTTCTATTCCATGTTTGTATGATCAATGTTAATAATATAAGAAAATCTAAAAAGTAGCTATATCCTATATTACAGTATGAAATAAATATGCTGAATGATTTGTTTTGGGGGGTGGAAAGGTGTAAGACTGAGGAGGGTGCCTGTGGGGAACACTAATAGGAGTCCTTTCTTAAGGGTTGAGTTTTATATATGTCTTTTAAAATAGATGATATCATTAATAAATTATCTGTGGGCATCATGAAAAAAGTGTATAACGTACAACTTTATGAGCTTGACAGTTGGTGAAACACTTTTCTGTTTAAAATTTTATTTGACCCTCCCCAAAAGAAATGTTTATTTATGAGTATTAGGATAGTTCCAGTAGTAATGCCTCAAAAGAACCAGGAGGAATAGTGTTGTCTAAAATGTGGACTCAGGAGCCAGACTGCCTGGCTGTGCAACTAGCCTTGTCATTTCCTAGATATGTGGTAAGTTAATTAACTTCTCAGTGTTCTTATCTGTAGAATGGGGATAATCATAATATACATCTCAGGGTTATATTAAAAATTGAAAAAGTTAATTTTGTAAAGCACTTAGAATAATATCTGGCAAATAAAATTGTTTATAAAAGTAAACCCTATAAAAGTGTTTACTCATTAAATACAATAATCTGAAACCATTAGTGATTTAAACATTTGTGGCGGACTTGGCAATATTTATGAAAATAAATACTGTATTTATAATCTTTGACCTTATTTTACTCCTAGGAATTTATTGTCCAGCAAACATTTTCACAGGCAGACAAAAATATTCCTATAAATTCATGTTTATTACATCAATCTGTGCAAAACGAATAAACAGACAATTAAAATAGCCATCAAAAGGAGTATTGATTAAATGAATGATAGTAAATCCATTCATTAGTAATCACATTATCGAAAAAGAATGAGACATATTTATGTGACGTGGGAAGATCCATAACTAATGTTAAATGGTAAAACATATAAAATGTTATGCCCAATAAAATACTTTCTGTGAGAGAATATGTTAATTTATGCAAGTGGCGCCAATGTGGAGGGTTTATGCTAATTTCATTATACCTCACAGACAGACCTGGGCTCTCCCACTCATTATCTATGTGGCCTGGGGTAAGTCATTTAACTGCTGGAAGCCTCAGCTTCTTCATCTGTCAGGCAGTGATACCCTGACTACTCTGCAGGGTAACTCTGAGATTTCAACGTGATCATCTCAGAATATGCCTGGCAAACAGTAGGAGCTCAGAACTTGATTTTTTTTCCTACAGCAACTGCTGTAGGGGATAGCAGCTAATGCATGAGGTTGGTAAATCCTTATATATATCAAATATTGTAGAAACATAACTACATGCTACTATTTTTTCAAACCCTCCCCCCACCCTTTTTTTTCCCCTGAGACAGAGTCTCACTCTGTTGCCCAGGCTGGAGTGCAGTGGCGCCATCTCGGCTTGGCTCACTGCAACCTCTGACTCCCGGGTTCAAGCGATTCTTGTGCCTCAGTCTCCCAAGTAGCTGGGATTACAGGCATGTGCCACCATGCCCAGGTAATTTTTTTGGTGTTTTTAATAGAGATGGGGTTTCACCATGTTGGCCAGGCGGGTCTCCAGCTCCTGGCCTCAAGTGATCCGCCTGTCTCAGCCCCCCAAAGTGCTGGGTCAAACCCCTCATATCCAGTAAAACAGCCTCACTGGGTCAATGGATATCATGTGGCTGCCTAACATTTTTACTTTATAAAAGGTCTTCCTGAGGCCATTTGAAAGTATGAATAAAAACACCTTAAGATGAACAGGGCCACAGGTTTGCATGAGGCTTGTCAGTGGACCTCCAGGATGAAGACCAAAGTGACTGTGCAATTTCTAGTGGAATAATTTTCACTTAAGATCTTATTTATTTATCAAAAGACCACTGTGAGGTAGGAATTCTTAACCCCAATTTGCAGAAACTGAGACTTTGCCTGGCACCACAGAGCTAGGAAAAGGTGGGCATACGATCCTCACCAAGTCTGACTTCCAAAGGAAGATTTGAAAAGAAACGTCCTTGCTACCTGCCAAATCTCTGTAGAGCCAGCAGCCATGTTCACACATGAAACAGGACAATGACAATAGCACCAGGAATAGCTACTCCTGGTCAGATGCCCTCATGACCTCAACTCCGCAGGATGGGGACACCGGGCCCTGCTTAGGGGAAAGGAAGGGGGTTTGTAGAGGAAGCCCAGCCAGCCAAGCAACCAGAGATGGGAAAAACCCATTGGGAAGAATTTGCTTGCTCTAGCTGGGCTTTGCAAAGAACAGGAAAAGATGAGTCTGCACGGACAGAAATGGTCCCGAGTGGGGAGCTTGGCCATGAGCATGACTCAGGGCGTGGTCAGCAGCTGCCATACCAGGACACACGATATGCAAAGATGCTGGGTGGGTGGTTCTTAAAGGTTTTGTGCCTTGAGAAAACTAAAGGATGCAGACGTGGGCAGAAGGTGGCTCTTTAAAAGTGCTTCAGGCAAGGAGGCATTTATGGCATGGTGGAAAGTGGTCTGGATTTGAGTTGAAGAGACCAGCCTTGCCGTTTATTTTGTAACAGATCACTTCACCTTCTGGGCCGTAATTTCCATGTCTGTGCAATGAGAATAACATTATAACTAAGATGTAACAGGAAATGAAAGCACAAGTGTAAGAAGTCCCCATACTTTCACCTCATCCACTCTAACCAGGGCTGACACGTATGATTTTCCAGGTTGTGCACTGAACAACTATGTCTGGTGGCCAGGATGAGTGGGACCATCATCCATCTCCAGTGTCATTTCTGAAGTGCTCCACCCTGGCACTGCCTGCACCTAGAGGGAGGGACACTTTTCCTAAATAGGATAAAGGTGCTGTCTGTTTACCCATGGGACTCTGTCTACTGGAAGGGGGCCTTTCTCTAATTCTCACACAAGCATCATTTGAACTAGTGGTGGTCTTCATGCAGCCTGCCATGACTTTCTGCATTCGAATGCAGGCTGTTTATACACACATTTCTCACCCTCTATGGAGCTGAGGCTATGGTTTTCCTGTCTGGAACCAACTACTCTTTAGTACAAACTGGGGACAATTGTAGGCATGAAAACCTAATGGGACTCTGTTTATTCTGGGAATAGGGTAGAGATGAATCCTGCCTGGGATGTGGGAAAGGAAGAAAGCCTTTGACTCATCCCTTTAAGAGAAGGGGCTTTTGGCAATCTGGGGTCTTTATCTTTTCTGAGTTCCTGGCTGACACTGATGTTTTAAAGGCTAACACAATGTGGAAGTTCCAACTCCCAGGCTGACCATTAACTCCATCCCATGCCACAAGCACCCCAGGAAGCCAGGGTTGGAACCCAGAGCCAGGGAGATGGGTGGCAGCCCAGGCTCACAGGAGCCAGTTTCTTAAGCCTGGAGCATGTCAGGCAGAATCAGGCATAACCTGTCCAGAGTGTGCTGGAGATGGGCTGTCCTGGAGCTGGAGAATCATGCACAGAAAGGAGGACCCAAGAAATGCCCTCAGGCTAGGAGGAGAAACCCACATGACTATTGTGGAAAGTGTGGGTTTTGGTGTAGAATTTTTACTCTTTGATGATTTGAGCACTTTTCATCACCACGGTGGGCCGAGGACCTGCCCCAGCCCCCAGATGTTGCTCCAGACAATGAGTTTTGCAGCCCGCAGTGACTGTTTTCCCTCTTCAGCTGCTCTACTTGGGAGGCTGGCTCTGTTAGGAAGGTGCGGGCAACACTGCTCCCCCGCCCCAGGATTGAACCAGGACAAAGACATATCCAGGAAAGCCGCTGTGGCCAGCCTGAGCATAAGAGAGACTGCGACTCCCTGCCCAGTGGAAATACACTATACTGCAAGATGCCAAAATGAGCCACTCGAATCCTCTTTTTCGGGAAGTCAAAAGTACGGTGAGGCATGAGAAGAAGGATCTCCAGCTCCAATTTGGTCTCCCTCTTGTGGCTGAACACACTGTTACCAGATGCTTATGAAACCATTTGCATATGGTACAAGCCCATGTGGGAGAAATGAGAGCTCTGTCAACTTCTACCCATCTTCTGTCCTCTCCTGACAATGCATCTCCATCACTAATGGTGGCCTCTGGGTTTTACTTTCTTCTGTGCACAAAGAAAACAACTGGTGGCACCTGTACATAGAGAATTCCAGAGGCAGGAAACTCTCCCTACTTTTGGACAGTGCACAGCAAAGAGAATGTAGTTGGAAGTTCAGCCAACCTGGATTGCAAGCCACCTGTAGCAACATGGCCTTAGACGAGTCACATGACTGCTGGGAGCAACAATCTAGAAGAGTGGTGAAGATACCTAGGTCATCAGAAGGTTAAATAGAATAATGTGTGTGACTGGGCAGAGCACACAGAATGCACCAAATATGTGTTTTTTAGATTCTTTCCCAAATCTAGGAGATGCAACTTAGCAATGAAATGCCTTAAAACCTAAAACAAAAAGTTATAAAAATACATTCATGGTCATGGAAAAATATACATTAGGTAAAAAAATAAAGGGAGATTATTAATGTATGTAAAATGTAATGTAGTAGCTAGTTTGCATACACACTTACAAAATAAAAGTTCTGTAAGGATATGCACCAGCCGATTTACTATGGCTAACTCTTCTAGGTTCTAGCAGCCCTGACAGGTTTCTGTTGCATTTCCCAGCGACCATGACCCCTAATCCCCTAAGCCCCTAAGCCTCCCTCTTTTCTGCTCACACAGAACTGATGAGAGGAGAGACTCAGCTCAAAAGTGTTGAGTGAATGAAATCGTTTCTTAAAATATTGGGTTTATAGTTTCCTTTTAAAAAAATGAAACAAATGATTTAATTTTTAAGATTTTTTTCTGGAAAAATAAAAAATCTTATTTTAAAACATATAATGTTAATGTTAATATTTTCCCCCTTAAAATCTCATTTGATACTCCCATCAAATAAGATTTATTCTTTAGGATTTGAGTAATTCTGGGAATAAAGCCTTAATAAATCAGGAAGGACAACGTAGTCATCAAGTGCCTGGGTGCTGCAGACCCTGGTTTCCAAACCAGCTATTTTCTGTCTAACTTCTGCCAAGTTACTTTGTCTCTCTGAGCCACAGTCTTCTTATGTATAAAACAGAATCATTAAAGTTCTCATCTCAGGATGTCATGAGGAGTCAAGCTCTGGGAGCAGTACCTAGCACAGCACAAGCATGACATAAGTATTTGCTAAGTGAATGAATAAAAATTTGATGATCTTTTATTATGCTGCCTGATTTGGTAATATGTGTTAGTAAATGTTTGTGACTAATTTTATCATCTCACTCTTAGGAATTTTAAAAAATCACTTCTAGAGGTGTACAAAAATACTTGCATATGATCCAGTTCATTTCAGCATTATATGCAAGGACAAAAAATTGCAAACCATTAAAATGTTCACTAAAGGAATGTTGGTTAAATAGATTATAGTAAATTCATTTAATGGAGTATGACATAGTCCTTTAAAAGGATAAAGTAGGTAGATTTGTAGGTTGATAGAAGTATCTATTCACAATTATTGTTAAATGAAAAAATATGTTATAAAAGGTTAGGTATAATATACTTTATATAGCATTAACCTAGTATCTGTGAATATTTTCAAATACAGTCCACGGTGGATATTTCTCTCATGCTACGCAGACAGATCAGGGTCAGGATCTTGGCTCTGCCCCTTATTATCTGTAGAACTCTGGGAAATTCATTGAGCCCCTCGGAGCCTGTTTCCACGTGTATAAAATGGTGATAATAACAATTATTCTGCAGAGTTGTTTTAGGTTTTCTTTTCTTGTCTTTTCTTGTTTTGCTTTGCTTTGTTTTGAGATGGAGTGTAGCTCTGTTGCCCAGGCTGGAGTGCAGTGGTGTGATCTCAGCTCACTGCAACCTCTGCCTCCTGAGTTGAAGCGATTATCATTCCTCAGCCTCCCGGGTAGCTGGGATTACAGGCATATGCCACCACACCCAGCTAATTTTTGTATTTTTGGTAGAGATAGAGTTTCACCATGTTGGCCAGCCTGGGCTTGAACTCCTGGGCTCAACTGGTCCACCCACCTTAGCCTCCCAAAATGCTGGGATTACAGGCATGAGCCACCATGCCTGGCCCTGTTTCAGGTTTAAATGCCATAACCTCCATGAAAATCCCTAGCAAGCAGCAGGTACTCAGGGTGGTGTTTGTTCCCACAGTGACTGTATGTATCTGGGGGACAACACGGGTAATGCATGAGATCCACAAGTCCATATGTAACCTACACATTGTCTGTAAAATTAATGTGATGTTTTATTCTTTTCAAATATAAGTAGAGACTGCTGTAAATAACACAAACTCCTATTTAGTGGCATTACTGAATCCATTAGGCATGTATGCAGATACTTTATTACTACAAATTTAGCTATCCTATGAGTAATTTAACATTTCTGATGTTTTAAAAGGGCCCTCATGAGGCAATTTGAAAATATGTATCTAAAGCCTTAATATTAGGCAGGGCCCTGGGCTTTGAATAAAGACTCGTTTTGAGGTCCACAGAGAGGAGACACAAGGCCACAAGATGGTCCCATGGCTAGCAAGTGGCAGAGTCCAGATCCAAAGGATGTCTGTCTGACTCCAGACCTCAGGATCTTAACCCCCACACGATGTTAATGTTCCTTACTGACCAAGGGAGGTTCAGAGAAGGTACATACCTAGTGCCAACTTCACACTACCATTTATCGAGCACTTGCTATGTACTCAGTAAATAAGCACTAAGAGCTAGGTGATTGTACAACCTTATTCAAGTCTCAGAACAACCCTACAAGTAGAAACTATTGTCTCCATTTTAGAATGAAAGAGGCTCTGGGAGTTTGATTCACTTGCACAAAGCCACAGAACTAGGAAAAGGAGGGTGCAGGGTTTGAATCGAGTCTATCTGACTTCAGCCCCCCTCACAATGCTATACTGCTGCCAGTCTCGGTGGGGCTTGGACTATGATGACGGCCCCAGAAATGGCTGTCGCTGTCGGATGCCCCCATGATCTCATGTCTCACCCAGCTCCTGCTTAGAAGGCGAGAGAGTGGTTGTGGAGGAAGTCCAGCCAGCCAGCCAAAGATGGGAAACCCCACTGGGACAGAATTTGTTTTCTCCAGTTCGGACTTGGCAGAGAGCAGGAACGCATGGGTCTGAGGTGGAAGAAACGGTCCTGTGGATGAGTCAGCAGCTGCCACAGCAGAAAGCATTTGTGGCCGCTCTGTGCAAAGACGCTGGGTATTTCTTTTGCTGTTATCTTATAGTTTGAGTGGTTTGGAGGAAAAGGCAGAAGCATGTGGACAGCAGCTCCTCATGATTACTTCATTCGGGGAGGCAGCATGCTGTGCTGAAAAGTGTTCTGGCTTTGGTGGCAAAGAGATCAGCTTTGCCATTTACCAACTGCTTGATGTGGGACACATTTCATCTCTCAAAGACCCAGTTTCCATGCATTTGAAATAAGGATACAATATTTACTTCAGAAAGCTGTTATGAAGAGTAAATGCAGATGTGAAATTTACAGATATTTCCACCTCATCTGCTCCAGCCAGTACTGCAGTGGGAAGGTCATGCACTGCACAGTGATTGCCAGTAGATGGCGCAATGGGCCTGCCGCCATCCCAGGCTTTGTTTCTGAACCCAGCGGGAGAGGGAGATGACAGAAATCTTTATTGCAAACTGGGGGACACCATTAGCTACAGTGGCCTCCTGGGATCACCATTTGCAATATAAGCCCAGTGACTTAAAGGAGAGAGTGGAGAGGAATCATGGTAAGGTAAGCAAAAGAAAAAGACATTTTGTTTATTTCTCAGTTTCCTCATCTGTAAAATGTGGGTGCTATAAATCCACACATCATAAAAAGCTCTCAAGATTAAAAAAAAATGTATTTGAAAAGATCTGAAACAAAGCGGGTGCTAAATATGTGTTTCATTCATCCTTTTCCCACTCTGGGGGATTCCAACTTATTACAAAAGATTGCTGAAACATTCCTCCAAACAAGTAAATATTTCACAAACGTAACTGAGGTTTTTTTTTTTTTTTTAATGTATGTGACTTAAAATTGTAAACTCAGATGAAATTACACCTACTGTCAAATAGTGAAAAATTAAACTATAGCCAGTATTTTGAGGTTGATCAAAACTTTTTGGCATAAAAAAATGTACCCTCGTAACAGCAATTTGGCAATGTATTTTTGGAGTTTAAAAAGCGTGCATGCTGGCCAGGCACAGTGGCATGTGTCTGCAATCCCAGCTACTTAGGAGGCTGAGGTGGGAGGATAGCTTCAGCCCAGGAATTTGAGACCAGCCTAGGCAACAGGGATTCCTAATTTTTTAGGGATCTCTAAAAAATTAAATAAAATTAAAATGTAAAAAATGCATGCATTTTCACCTAGAAACACTTCAAAGAATATTTCCTGATGAAACAATCAACTGTGCATGGAAAGATTTCATTCTAAGGAATCTTTTGAAGTCTAAATATCTATTGGTCAAGAATTAGTAAATAAAATATGGTATATCTACATGGTGAGAATGATGTGAAACCTTGGGGGGAAAATGAAATTGTAGAAATACATCCACTGACAGGGAAAGCTGTTTACTGTATATTGGTGAGTGAAAAAAAAAAGAAGAGGTCCAAAATTATGTAGAGTGTGATGCCTTGATTATTTTGCACACACACCCCATGGATCAAAGTATGAAAGGACGTGACAAAACATGTAACTATATTTATCTGCTGGTAATGAGATTATGAGCAAGTTTTACCATCTCTTTGTTCTATATATCTGACTTCACTATAATGAATATCTATTCCTTGGGAAATATGAAATGATTTTTCTTTTCAGGATTCTCATACTTGAAAATGTGGGGGTAATGGGTCTTAGGATCAGCCCTTCCCTCAGGAAGGGTGAGAGCAGAAGGAGCCCTCAGGCCTTTGGGGACATTTCTGTCACATTTGTGGGTGACCGCACTACTGTGAAAATCCAGGTAGCACCAAATCTTTAATCAGTCTCGGTCAGGCCAGGTGGGGAGAGTCAGGACTCACCTGCTTGGGGATGAGGTTTTGGGGAGGGGGAACAAAGATGTGCCAGCAGCCCTTCCTGATGCAACATTTTCCTTCCTTGTAGTCCCCGTCTTTTCTGCATTGGTGCACACAGATGCCTGACCAGAGGAGAGACCCAATTAACAGCTTTCAAGTATTACATATAGAAAATAACATTTTCAAATGCCCTTTAAGATATCGTCAAAACCATCAATTACCTAGAGATAAATCTAACAAATCTTGTGCAGAAAATTACACGATATTACAAACAAAAATTTGTAGGTACCTTAATAAATGGAGGGATGTGCCGTGTTTGTGGATTAGAAGATTCATTATTATAAAGCTGTCAGTTTTCCCCAAATTCAACAATAAATTTAATACAATCTCAGTCAAAATCTTAGAAGGATTTTTCATGAAAATTGATAAACTGATTCTAAAACTTATATGAAAATTCCAAAAGGCAAGAATAATCAAGACAGTCTTAAACAAAGTTGAGGGACTTAAGCTACCATTTATCAGGATTTATTATAATGTGGCAGTAAATGGAACAGCAGTGCAAGATACCAAATAGATCAGTGTAACAAAAACACACCATCTCATAACTTATGACAAAGGAGCCGCTGTAGTTCAAAGAGGGAAAGAATGCTTTTTCAGTAAAGGTAGCTGGCTTGATTGGCTTATTCATGTAAACAAAAAGGAACCTTGACTCCTACCCCACACCACACACAGAAATCTCTTCCAAATGGATCATGGACTTAATGTGAAAGAAGAAACAATAAAGCTTTTAGAAGATATTGTAGAAATAGTTTCATGATCTTGGGATAGGCAAAGATTTCTTCTTCTTCTTGTTTTTTTTTTTTTTTTTTTTTTTTTTTTGAGACAGAGTTTTGCCCTTGTCACCTAGGCTGGAGAAAATGAGCTGGGTTGGCCTTATTCTCCTTTTTTCATATGAATGTATGGGGTACAAGTGTAATTTAGTTACATGCATAGATTGTGTAGTGGTGAAGTCAGGGTACCTGGATAATGTACATTGTACCCATTAAGTAATTCCTCATCATCTACCTTGTCCTACCCTACCCTCCACCACTGTCCCAAGTCTCTACTGTCTATCATTCCACATGCTATGTCCATTGCATGTTTGTGTTCCCCCCAAATTCATATGTTGAAACCAAATCACCAATGTGATTGTATTAGGAGATGATGGAGGGGTTGTGGAGGTGAATAGATCATGATAATGCAGCCCTTATGAATGGAATTAGTGTCCTTATAAAATAGGCCCAAGGGAGCTAGTTCACCAGTTCTACCATGTGAGGTTGCAGCAACAAGTTGGGATTCTGCAACTCAGAGGAGGGCCTTCACCAGAACCTGGCCATGCTGACACCCTGATCTTGGACTTTCCATTCTCCAGAATGGTGAGAAATAAATTCCTGTTATTTATAAGCTATGGTATTTTGTTATAAAAGCCAGAATGAACTAAGACAGAAATAAATGAGTTAGAGAAAGGTGGCTCCATTTTCAAGCAGAAATTAGATTATAGAAAAGCTGGGGATTTCTAAGTGGGAAAATTAAATTATTTCTCACCTGTAGTCTCTCAAGCCATTAAAGGAAACTCAAAGTAATATATAGTCTCAGTGGTAAAAGTCTAATAAAAGGTATGGCTGTAGGACACTCTGTTAAGAGCTCTGTAAGATTGAAAGTCGTGCTTAGTAGATACTTTGAGCTAGACAAAATGGCTCCTAAAAATTTTAGGGTTCTTGTCCAACAGATGCCTGCAACTCTCAAAGAAGAGAAAGACCTGTTCACAAAAGAATTGTGCTAGAGACTTTTGGGTCATGGAGATCTGAACCAGTTTCACAGGAAACCTTTGAGGTTCTTAAAAGAATTGTATTGTTAAAAGCACTACTGCTCACACTATGAGGGACTAAGACAAAATCTTTAGAAAACTGTTGGCCCTCATATTTCTGCAGACAGGCAGCAGGATGAAATACCTACTGTGTTAAAGGTTCCCAAGACATTTTTAGGCTCAAAGTTTTGCTAGGAGGACTCACAGGACTCAGCATATAGTCATATTCATGGTTCTGATTTATTACAGTGAAGGATACAAAACAAAATCCACGAAGGGAAAAGGTATATGGGCAAAGTCTGGAGGAAACTAGGTGTAAGCTTCCAAAAGTCCCCTCCCTGTACAGTCACACAGTAATAACTTAATTTCTTATGCATCGAGTTGTGACAGCCCATGTGAAATATTGTTCACCAGGAAAGTTTGCCTGAGCCTAGGAGTTGAAGATTTTTACTGGAGGCCTGTCGTATAGGCACTCCTTCTACCCAGCATGTGCCAAAATTCCAGACTCCCAGAAGTAAAACATGTATTCAGCATAAAGCATACTGTTTGCACAAAAAGTTTAGGCACAGTGAGGCACTCTTGTCATTTAGGGAAAATTTTGTATCAGTGTAGAGAACTGTTTAACATTCAAGCTCCCAGATGTCAGCCAAGGGCCAACTTTGCAAGCAGGCCTTTCTAAGGACTATATTCTCAGGCCGGCCATGTTATCTCTTCTGCACAGCTAATCAGATGCAAGTGCAAACTTGATGGTAACAGAAATTTCAGTGATTCCCCGGGATTGGTTACTATGAGGTGAATGTTTGTGTCCTTCCCAAATCCATAAGATGAAATCCTAACCCCCAGGATAGTGGTGTTGCAAGCTGGGCCCTTTGGGAGGTGATTAGGAATTAGGGGCAGAGACCTCATGAATGGGATTAGTGCCTTTATAAAAGAAACCCTAGGGAGGTTGTTTGATCCTTTCACCACATGAAGACACAGCAAGAAACTGCCATCTATGAATGAGGAATCAGGCCCTCACCAGATACTGAATCTGCTGCCACCTTGATCTTGGACTTCCCAGCCTCCAGAACTGTGAGAAATAAATTTCTGTTGTTTATAAATGACCCAGTTTATGGTATTTTATTACAGCAGCCTAAATAGATTAAGACAGCAGCATTACTTTTAAATTACTATTTAAATTACTATTAAATACTATTAAATTACTTTTAAATTACTCTTTTGGTCATAGTGGTGGGATAGTTCCAAGGGGGTTCCTCTTGACGTATTCTATCATAATAGCCCTCACCCCATCCATCAGGGAGCAAATGTGAAGTTTTTCCCAGTGTTTAAGATAACAATTACAACTAAGCACTCAAGACCTGAGAAAGTGACCACAGGAAGAGTTTGTGGAACCACTGGGCTCACTGTGAAATGGGCAGAAGCCAAAACTCCATTCAACACCTGACTTCGAAAAGCCTGCACTCTGATCAATGCAGGGATATTTTAGTTCCCAAATATCAGTGTCAGATCAGAGCACTGTCCAGTCATTGCCTCAGAGCCTGGGTAGTTCCCTCTCTCCAATGCTATGTCACCAGTGAATGATTGCAAGTCCCATTAGATAAGCATAGAAGGAAACTTTACAGTACTCACTTGTGGCAATGTCCCATGGTCCTCTCTTAGTGGGAGCTGACTTCCTCCTAACTCAAAGGGTTCTGGTCTGTAAACTGGTTGGTTTTGGTTTTGGGAGGAGAAGCCATTCCTTTCCAGTATGGTGTTCATAACATATGTCTGTTCCCTAGGCCAAGAAGTTGTGTGCACTCTCTTGCTCTCTCGCTTTCTCTCTTTCTGTCTCTATCTCTCTCCCCTCCTTCCCCTCCTCATCTCTTTCTTCCTCTGTCTCTCCTTCTCTCGTATAGATCCACAAAGGCCTCAGTAGTTTGCCCATATCTTCCATCCTAAGAACACCATGCCTAGTTAGCCATTGCCAAAAACATACACATATTCCTTAGATTAGTGCTGATATAACTTGGCAAAATATTTTAGTATTTGAGCATGTATTCTATCTCCTCCCAGGTCAGATTTTGGACTTCACCTTTGGAGTGCAGCTGGATTATGACTCTTGTCCTCCCAGTATTCTGAGGCAATGAGAGGCAATGGACTATAGCTCTCCAAGACATTCAGTAGAAATTATTATAGAAACTTCAGGCAAGGGGGTGGCAGCTTCCTCAGGGGAGCTGGGGCTGTGACTGCTGGTAGAGAGAGTCAGCGCAGCTCTGGGAAGTTAAGGTGCTCATATTTGTCAGAATCATTGCAATCTGTAAGGCCCTACTTTCCCCTCTTCATGCCTTAGTTTAAATATGAGAGACCTGGCAAAGCTGAGATTCAACTTGCTTTGTAATTCATAGTCAACCTGTCAAATTTGGTTCTCATCTCAGATAAAATGGAAGCAGACTTCCTTAGGGCAGAATACATGTTAGCTGTTTCTCTGACCTTGTCTTCAACTAAGGATTGAAAGCCCTGAGCTTATGTTTTCTGTAAACTCTCCAGTGCAGTTAGAAGGTGGCATCCCACTCCATGTAACCACCATAATGTTCTATTTTAAGAGCTCCTTGGGTATTCTAAAGACTTCCCTTTAAAAGGCATTTCATCGAAGCAACTATAGGTGATAATTTCAGTATCTATCTTGCCAATCTGTGACCTGGACTCCTGGGATCCTACTTTCCACCAGCAATGTGGCCGTTACTGCCTTTAAACACAACCTGCAGAGATAACCAATCCCAGATTTCCATCTTTAAGGTGTGGTTTCCTGGAATCTTGTTCTCTGTCTACAGCACCTGCACTGGTCCAGAGCCAGGTCTCTGTATTGTCAGTGAATTGGTGCTGGTTGGGAGGATGCTGATTTTTAAGAATTGCAGGCCAGGCGCAGTGGCTCACGCCTGTAATCGCAGCACTTTGGGAGGCCAAGGCGGGCGGATCACGAGGTCAGAAGATCAAGACTATCCTGGCTGACATGGTGAAATCCAGTCTGTACTAAAAATACAAAAAAAAAATTAGCCGGGCTGGGTGGCGGGTGCCTGTAGTCCCAGCTACTCAGGAGGCTGAAGCAGGAGAATGGCGTGAACCCGGGAGGCAGAGCTTTCAGTGAGCCGAGATCGTGCCACTGCACTCCAGTCTGGGCAACAGAGCAAGACTATGGCTCCAAAAAAAAAAAAAGAATTGCAGCACGCACATTTAATAGTAAGAAGGACCCAGACTTTGTAAAGATACATCAAGGGCTCATTCAGGAAAAATATTCTAGAAATCAGCCACTCTAGTATTCCCCTTGAAATCTTCAGAAATCAGACTTTAGCCTAGACCCATTGTGGAACTTTTCCTTCTAGTGTTGTAGTTCCAGGGTGCAGAGAACAGCCAGGAAACCCTGTGGAAAGCCTTGTATTATCAGGAAGCTAGAGGCCCATCCTTGGACTTGGCACTGGACAAAGGAAATAACTCTACACACTTTATGACAATACCACAGTATCTTGAGTAGTGTAGCTTTATAGTAGATCTTGAAATTAGATAATGTGAATCCTCTAAGTTTGTTCTTCCTTTTTTAAGATTGTTTTAGCTAGTCTAGATCATTTTCATTTCCATATACATTTTAGAATAAGTCTCAATCTTTAAAAGAAGATTACTATAATTTTGATAGAGATAAGTTGAATCTATAGATTAATTTGGGGAAAATGAACATTTAATACTATTGAATCTTTCTGTCTGTCATTGTGGTATAAATCTCCATTTATTTAGGTTTTATTTATGTGCTTACAAACAAGTCCACTCAAGTCCTTCTCATATGGCCTCTCTGCAAAGCCACTTGAGCCCAGAGACCCATCACTGCCCCCACTTCACCTTTGCCAGTGTCCTCATAGGAATGCCGCCCTGTGCAGCAGGACATTCTCTCCAGCCCAAAGCTGAGAGTCTAAGTGACAGGATGGTGCTGTGTTCCCACTAGCATTTACTCCATTGGTCACATCATGTTCTGGACAGCAATGGGGAGACTGCTTCTCTCCTCACAGGGCTCAGAAGTCCTGTGAGATATTGGCTGGAGAAGACAGGTAGAAAGCCACTTCCTCCATTCCTCCTGCCTCTGTCTCTGACATGGGTACCCCAGACTTCCTGGAAGGTTATCCTCACCCAATTCATGTTACTAACTCATAGGAGGGACATTTTTAAACTTGAAAATTCATATTTCATAATTACTTTTGGTTCTTTACAGTATTTTTCAGCCACCTCTTATGTAAGGACTTTTTTTTCCTTTTGCACAGGTGTTGATGGGAGCATTCATATCTTGTGAGGCTGACTTTGTGGAATGTATGACCTCAACTTTGACCATGGCTGGGAGATGGGAGGTTGGGTGTGGGGTGACCTCCTAACCATCGTTCCATCAGCCATGTGGGTTTCGTAAAATGAATGTGATCCCTACTCCTCCAGGCCACCCTCTTCCTTTCCAGCCCTCACGTCTTTCATTCCAAGAGCAAAGGGGCCATTTCTGTGAGATGTCTAATTTTTGAAGGTGCTGTGATTTCTCTTGATCATCAGTATAGAAGGGGCTGTTGCATCTTGTTCAGCTATCTCTGAACAAGGTGGCGAAGCTGAGATTCATCTTGAATCTCGGTTGAGATTTAATTGATTTAATTGATGTTTACATGCCATTTTAGATCTCTGCACAACATGGAATACAAATACAACAACTATTCTGTCTGGTTTAAAAGTACCATGCACAATCTGTCTTGATAATGACCTTCCTGATGTAAGTGGATTTGGACCTCTATAGATTCTATTTGTGATTTTAAAAAATGAAAATGTATGTGAAGGGATGGGTTGCCCCTCCACACCTGTGGGTGTTTCTCGTGAGGTGGAACGAGAGACTTGGAAAAGAAAAAGACACAGAGACAAAGTATAGAGAAAGAAATAAGGGGACCCGGGGAACCAGCGTTCAGCATATGGAGGATCCCGCCAGCCTCTGAGTTCCCTTAGTATTTATTGATCATTCGTGGGTGGGTGTTTCTCCGAGAGGGGGATGTGTCATGGTCACAAGACAATAGTGGGGAGAGGGTCAGCAGACAAACATGTGAACAAAGGTCTTTGCATCATAGACAAGGTAAAGGATTAAGTGCTGTGCTTTTAGATATGCATACACACAAACATCTCAATGCTTTACAAAGCAGTATTGCTGCCCGCATGTCCCACCTCCAGCCCTAAGGCGGTTTTTCCCTGTCTCAGTAGATGGAACGTACAATCGGGTTTTATACCGAGACATTCCATTGCCCAGGGACGGGCAGGAGACAGATGCCTTCCTCTTGTCTCAACTGCAAGAGGCATGCCTTCCTCTTATACTAATCCTCCTCAGCACTGACCCTTTACGGGTGTCCGGCTGGGGGACGGTCAGGTCTTTCCCTTCCCACGAGGCCATATTTCAGACTATCACATGGGGAGAAACCTTGGACAATACCTGGCTTTCCTAGGCAGAGGTCCCTGCGGCCTTCCTCAGTGTTTGTGTCCCTGGGTACTTGAGATTAGGGAGTGGTGATGACTCTTAAGGAGCATGCTGCCTTCAAGCATCTGTTTAACAAAGCACATCTTGCACCACCCTTAATCCATTTAACCCTGAGTTGACACAGCACATGTTTCAGAGAGCACGGGGTTGGGGGTAAGGTCATAGATTAACAGCATCTCAAGGCAGAAGAATTTTTCTTAGTACAGAACAAAATGGAGTCTCCTATGTCTACTTCTTTCTACACAGACACAGTAACAATCTGATCTCTCTTGCTTTTCCCCACAGTATGAATTTAAATATAAATAAAAGTTTACAATGAAAAGTAATAATTTTCTGGCTGGGTGCAGTGGCTCACATCTGTAATCCCAGCATTTTGGGAGGCCAAGGTGGGCAGATTGCTTGAGTACAGGAGTTCAAGACCAGCCTGGGCAACATGGTGAAATCCCATCTCTACTAAAAATACAAAAAATTAGCTGGGCTTGGTAGTGCATGCCTATTGTCCCAGCTACTCAGGAGGCTGAGGTGGGAGAATCACTTGAGCCCAGGAGATGGAGGCAGCAGTGAGCCAAGATCGTGCCTTTGCACTCCAGCCTGGGCAAACAGGGTGATACGTGGTCTCAAAAAAAAAAAAAAAAAAGAAAAGAAAGAAAGAAAGAAAGAAAAGAAAAGAAATTTTCCTCCCCATTTTGACTTCCAATACCTCCCACCCCATTATCTTTCCAGGAAGAACCACTATTATAATTTCTTGGGTTCTCTTCTAGAGATATTGTATATCTATCTATCTATCTATCATCTGATCAATAGTGATATGCATTTTTGTATATGTGTGTTTGTCCTGATAATATTCTGAAAATATTTCAATCTGATGCTTGGGTTAAGGTCAAGATCATTTGGAATGTATATTTGGGCTGAGACATATTTGAATTAAAGTCAGGATACATATTTGGGCTGTTTTCTGATCTCTGACTGACTTTTTGTTTGTTTTGTTTCCAGAGTGACTTTTTATATTTTTTAATTATAAATTTTTTTGTGGGAGGAAGGGAAGGATTAAAAAATGCTACTGGAGATAGAAAACCTATTTATCCATTTGTGTTATATCATACAATGTAGTTTTCTGAAATTATATCTTTTTTTCATTTTCTGGATCTAGACTAGGGGTCAGCAAACTTTTTCTGTGAAGGGCAGGAAGTAGATATGGCTTTGCAGGCCATTCAGTCTTTGTTGTGACCCCTTAACTCTGACATTGTGACTTGAAAGCAGCCATGGACAATATGGAAACTAATGAGTGTAGTTATGTTCAAATGAAACTTTATGAGCACTAAAATTTGAATTCCATATTATCTTACATATCACTAAATATTATTAGTATATGTGTCTCTTTGTATTTTAAACATTTTAAAATGCAAAGATCAGTTTAACTCATGGGATGTGCAGAACCAGGAGGTGGCTTGGATTTGGCCTGTGGGCTGTAGTTTGCTGATCCCCGGGCTATCTGAAAACTAATAAAAATCAGTATTCAGGCTGAGTGCAGTGGCAGCCTGTTACCCAGGCTGGCGTACAGTGGTGCGATCTTGGCTCACTGCAACCTACTGCTCCTGGGTTCAAGCAATTCTCCTGCCTCAGCCTCCTGAGTAGCTGGGACTACAGGCATGCACAATCATGCCCGGCTAATTTTTGTATTTTTAGTAGAGATGTGGTTTCACCATGTTGGCCAGGCTGGTCTGGAACTCCTGACCTCAAGTGATCTGCTTGCCTCAGCCTCCCAAAGTGCTGGGATTACAGGTGTGAGCCACCGCACCCGGCCGACTTCTTCATTCCTTCTCTATGACCCAGCTCTGACCCCCACTTTTTGGTGCTCCCTCAGTCTGCCCTACAGCCTACCCTACATCTTTGATATGGTTTGGCTGTGTCCCACCCAAAGCTCATCTTGAATTGTAGCTCCCATAATTCCCACATGTTGTAAGAGGGACCCAGGGGGAGATAATTGAATCATGGAGGTGGTTTCCCCCATACTGTTAGTGAATATATCTCATGAGATCTGATGGTTTTATAAGGGGAAACCCCTTTCACTTGGCTCTCATTCTCTCTTGCCTCCCACCATGTAAGATGTGCCTTTGCTCCTCTTTCGCCTTCTGCCATAATTGTGAGGCCTCCCCAGCCATGTGGAACTGAGTCCATTAATCCTTTTTAAAATAATTCACCCAGTCTCAGGTATGTCTTTATTAGCAGCGTGAAAACACAAATACAATCTTTCTCTTCCCGTGGAGGCTAAGCAGAGGGTAAGCCCCACTCACCCTTAGACAGAGGGCAGTAATTCAGAGGCCACTAAGGATGTAGGAAGGGACTTGAGGGACTTTGTCTTCTTAGAATCCCCAGAATTGCTTCTACATGCATGGGCCTTATTATTTTTATGCTATTTATGATGCTGCTAGTCCAGAAAGGGCCCCTTAGAGACCTTACATAGTATAAAGACTCAGATTGGATAATGCCAGAACAGTTTATTCTGGATAAGAGTTTTTAGGATCAAGATCTTCTGGTTAAAAGTTAGCCTGTGGAAATTTCCAAAATTGAATAATTAAAATAAGGCTATTTCTTCCAGGCTTGTAACTCCAAGGATGAAGAACAACCAGGGCTTGGGGATGGGTGAAGAATCTTCTGAAGAAGTGACCTGGCTACTCTTATAAAGGTCTGTGCTTCCGCCTGCACGGTCATCACTGCTGTTGACATAAAATACAGAATTTATCATGAGCCATTCCCTGCTTAAACACCTACCATGGTGCCCCATTCGAATCCAAGCAGGGTGTTTAAGGTGCTTCAGACTCTGTCTTGATCCTCCTCTTGCAGATTACTCCCTGCCACTACCCTATGGGGAGTCTCTTGCCACATCCTCCATGCTCTAAATCTCTATGGCTTTGGCTCATCCAGGGTGATGTGACTGTTGCTTCCTCTGCCTGGCTTGTCCTCTTCTCTCTGTTAACTCCTGCTCTTTGTCAAGATCTAGCTCAGATTATTATTTCCTCTCTGAAGACTCTTCTTGGTAAAGTTGCTCGCTCTGCACTGCTTCCTCAGATCTTTGTGCCCTTGTTACGTGCTTTTTAATTTGTTTTATGGCTCTATCTCCCTAACTAGACTGAAAGCACTTGAGGATGGTGACCTTTTCATAGTCTTTTTGTTATTTGGGCACTTAACACATAGCAGCTGCCCCATGATTGCTGGTCCCTTTTCTTTCTCTCCTCGCCAACCACCCACCCTGTTGTCAGACTGAAATAAGCCCAAAAGTCCATGGAAGTTGGACAGCTGTATTGACAACTGAGCTATGTCCAGGATCAAGCTATCTCTTCTTAACTGCTTAGCATGCTTCTAAGCATGGTTCAGGGAAGCCAGGACAACAGAAGAGTTCAGATAAGGTGGCCAAAAGTCCTGGAATAGTCAAAACAATTCCTGCTTCCCTGTGGTTATCCTAAGGAAGACCAATGTGTCATTTTCCCCTGGGAGCATCTCAGGGGCTGGCTTTTACTTGTTTCAGGAACAACTTTGCACACATGACCACAGCCATTGCTTTGGCATCTCTTTCCCCTAGACAGGATTTGTTTCCTGGGCACATGTTGACACAAATACCATAGGTTCCTTTTGGCAGGTCCAGGTGCCTACCTATTTCAAAAGGTTGTTTTAGGAATGAAACTGGATACTGTTCAAGTTCCAACCACATTGTGACCTCATCCACTACTACCCACCTACCAGGTCCTCACATGTGAACTCTCCCTGCACTCATGATTGCCCTGCCACACGAGTGTTGGTTGGAGTATTGTTTAGAAGCAAATCAGCCTTCAATGTGTACCATGGGCAGCTATTAGGCATGAAAATCTGCCAGCTGCCCTATAATTTCTATGAACAAAGGGATCCCTACAACAAGGGAAAGCTGGATTCCCACAGAAAGAGACTAGGCAAAGGCATTTGGTCCATTTGTATTGTAAGGCCTAAAACTTCAAGAGCTGCCTTAAAGTGCTTTCAAGTTCTCACAGGGTCCAAAGGTCTAACCCTGAGTTCTCCTGCTCTTTGAATGTGCTCCCCCCTCCACCACCCAGTGGGAGAGGCTCCCCACCTGGCTAGTTCCTCTATTATCAGATCAGCTGCACCCACCCAGTTCTTAACCTATGAGTCTCAAGTCCCTGTCAGCCCACAAAAAAAGCTAATCACATCTTCCTGCAGGAGTACTTTTAATGGCAAAAACCACGATTACCCTTGCACCATCCTAATGCAAAGCCTGCCTTCCACAGCCTCTGCTGGTTCACCCTGCTCCCAAGTGGAACCTCTGTGGGTCACTGCATGGCATGCAGTATCCTCCTCCCTCAGGCTGTGAGTATAGGTGACACTAATTCTATGTGCTATTCATCTCATCTCTTCAGTGTCAGGTGTCATGGGTTCAGCCATCTCACACTATTTAAAGTGGGGGACCCGTCCTTCACTGATGGAGTGGACAGGTGATCAGAGAACCATCCCAGCAAGAGAAAGACCCTCTTGAGGCCCTCCATCTCTGCATGTCAGGTTCACAGTAAGTCTTAACGGTGCCAAACATAAGCCCTTATGCCACTCTTCTCTTCTCTTATCACCTTTGCACCCTTCTCCAACCCACACACATGCATACACTGGGCCCCTGACTTCCCTCTTCCTAGCTTCTCTTTCTGCTATTAACTGGCAGTTGCTGCCTAAACTCGCCAACCACCTTGAGAGTTGTGAGAGGATAGCCCGGCAGCCTGTAGCTGTATGCTGGGGGTGGGGAGGGCTGAAAGGAAGAGGACGTCCACCCTCCCAATGTCAAGTTGCTGAGTGAAGTCTCCTTTGATGACAATGCAGTAGGGCTAAAGTGGACTAAAATTTGCTTTCTCTCTCTCAGGCTGTGAGACAGAGCATAGAACCTGTGTCAGGTCACAGGAGAGTGATCCCCCAACACTTTGGGCCATGTTCCAACCCTGCCTGCCCCAATTCCCATTGTGTAAAATCCATCTGCAACCTATGCCAGGTGGGTGGAGAATCTTCCCTCCAGGTTAATTCAACTTCCTAGGATATAGAGGCTGTGAGATTAAATAGGAGCCCCTAGTGAATGGGGACTCAATTGTACTCACCTTTTCCTTGGGCAGGCAGTTGGGGCTGCAGACACAACACTCACACAGCAATGTACTGGGAAGATCTTCTGAAGACACAGATTCAAGACAAATATGTATCTCTCTGACCATGAAGAGGGATGTTAGAACCCCAGAACAGAGATAATATGTTTTGCAAGGACACAAATACTATGGGGCCTGTTGTGGAGGTGTAATAATTCTTTTTCAAACATTCAAACATTCAAATAATTCTTTCTTCAAACATTCTTTTTCCTCTGTGCCAGGGCTCCATTCAGGCTATAAGATATGTGGCTACCATATGTTCCCTGGTGGAGGTGAATATGGTTAGGATGGGACCGAAGAATAAGGTTGGCAAATGTGTAGCTCCTAAAATTTCAAAAAAAAAAAAAAAGTTTTTTTTTTTTTTTTTTTTGAGATGCAATCTCACTCTGTCACCCAGGCTGGAGTGCTGTGGTGCAATCTCAGCTCACTGCAACCTCTGCCTCCCGGGTTCAAGCGATTCTCCTGCCTCAGCCTCCCGGGTAGCTGGGATTACAGGCATGTACCACTATGCCCAGCTAATATTTTTGTATTGTTAGTAAAGACAGGGTTTCACTATGTTGGCCAGGCTAGTCTTGAGCTCCTGACCTCAGCTGATCCACCCACCCTGGCCTCCCGAAGTGCTGGGATTACAGGCATGAGCCACCTCGCCTGGTGTAAAAATCCAAATTTAAGATACAAATATTTTGGGAGAAGATGCAATCGGGAGCAAGAGAGTGAGAAGTAATTGTAAGAGTGCTGTCTCCTGACTCTTGCCCCACTGGCCAGAGTCCTGGGATGGGGTATAACTAGACCCTGCCTTCATGTTTGGGGGTCTTGGAGTAGAAGATTCCAGGTTTTTTTTTTTTATTTATTTAGGCAGGACCCTCAATGATAGAAAGTCTTATAGATAAGTTCCACAGTGTAACCATGGAGAGGAGGCATCCCTATATCAAAACTGGAGGTGCAGTATGCCTAAACATGAGCAGGGCAGAGGCAGCTCTCTGATTTTCCATGAGCACAGAGTATCATGGGAGGATCAACTTAATCATCTGATTCCCCTGAGAGGAAGACCGAAGTTAATTGAAAAACAGCTGATGGACTTGCAAAAGGTAGCCATGACCAGTACAAAAGAGCAGTCTTTGCTTACGATTTCACCAGAGCATGCCTAAAGCCTGGAAAATTGCCAGCAGTCTAAAAAGTGGATGTTCTGTTGACTTAGCAACTATTCCCAGCTATAAAAGGAAATAGCACTACTGCTGTACAATGTAGACAGTGTGGAAAAAACAGTATGAATGGAACTCAGATTATTCCTGGGGTCTCTCCTTGCTTTACTGTGTCAGTGTGTATAAGCTCATGAAAGATGTCTATAACTCTGTACAGGTTGGGTCATCAAGGGCTCAGATCTCCTCCAGAATAAAAATCTGAGTCATTCCACCAGAAAAAATTGCACCAATCAATCGAGGGGGTGGCTGAAGGCAAAGGGAACATGGATTGGATAAGCGGAGGCAGGAATTTGTTACAATAAGCTACAGCCTCACAACCAGTTTCAGAAATACTCTCCATCTACCCATATTTCATTTTTTATTGTTGGGTATATGTTTCTGTATTTAATCTTCTTTTCTCTTTCTTCTCCCATTTTCTCACTATTATAACTAGGTGAGTTAGTGGTGGTTGACTTTTAGTATATTTCATAGGATATGAAATATCAGTACAGGATCACAAAAGAACAAGAGATGAAGTGGGCACTATCAGGAGATCCTGAACTTGGAGCTGAATGAAAATAGCAAGTATTGGGCTGTCTTTGGGGACAAGATGAGTGGATTTTCAGTAGTACAGGGGCATATGCAGCAGTACCTGCATTATATTAGGTAGGGTTTGAATCCAAGGGAATGTACGAATATGCAGGCAGAGTTTGGGAATATTCCCAGCAGTGCTGATGCAGCCAGGAGTCCAGCAGTGGTGGTGAGTATTCAGGGTATTAATACAGCATTGGCACATGTCAGAGTCTTCTTGCTGTATGGACATGTACATAGCTATATTCTGTATTGCCCGACGCCTTTGTTTGCTGCCTATCACACCTTCCTATCAATTTTCCAAGCTACTCTTAACATTCCAATAAGTAGGGTCAGTTTCAGTTATTTGCATAAAAACCTTTTGCCTGGTTAGCTCCCAGAACTGTGAACTCCTACAAATGCTCAAAGGGTGCTATGTTCTCACAGTCCTCCCTGCCCCAGAATCAACTAATACTGGGAGTAATTGGAGAGAGTTCTCCTCTCACCACAGGACTTAGTATGGGTTGAGGAAGAGATAACATTGAGGCAGGAGTAAATACACAGAGACTGTGAGCAACCTATTCACACAGATCATTTCTGCCTTGGGGTCTGCTCAGGCCCAGTCACACTTTTAGCTTTTCCATTTGACGGGGTGTTGCTGGACATGCCCTACTTGATGGCTAAGTGGATCAGATAACACCCAGCTCACATGGGTGGTAATGTCACACATGAATGGTTGGGCATTCAGTCTTTTCAAAGTTTTAGCTAGTTCTACAAAAAAGAGTAGGTACTTTCCACAGAGAACAGGAACTTGCTCCAAAACCCTAGGGGCTTTCACTGTGATTCTTCTGTCAGGGTTTTCCGGTTCTATACAGCATTCCTGAGCAACTCCAGACATTTTGTGTATCAAAGACCTATTGGTTTATGAGGGCCAAGAGTCAGAGCTACACAAATTTCAGTTTGAGTCAACCAGAGAGACATTGGTTTTTCTTGACATAACTCAAAGCTAATATTTTGTTAAGTTTAGATCACAGGGATACTTCATCTCCCATGGGGAACCTCCATGAGATAGTAATTTCCTGAATTTTTATAAAATTTATGTTTCATCCCAAGAAATTAATGTGACCTGCCAAAACATCTAGGGTATCTGCCTCATCTGTCTCCAGGCCCTGTCAGCACAATGCCATAAATGTACTAGATCAGATGGATATTCAATGGGATGGTGAAGTGGTTAACATCACTGTAATCTAGATTCCGTCATTGAGCCACAGAAGTAACTGACCATGAAGCAAGATAGCGAAAGTATACTGATAGCCCTGCAAGGTGAAAACACTTAACTTTTTGCTTCTGATATTTAGGCTTAGAATTGCAAATATCCAGATGTATAGCTGGCAACATTCCAGATACCAGGAGATCAATTTATTGGCTCTAGTAAAGAGAACCCACCTTAAAGGGCAGCCGTCATTAAAATTACAAACCAATTAACATCACTCTTTCAGTTTTTGAGAGGGCCCAATAATAACACCATTTTATCACTGCCTGAGTTTTGAACCAAATGAGAAGCATACAAAGGAGTCAGCAGAGGAGGGACAAAATATTACCTTTATCATTGATAAAAAATCTCACTTGAAGGACATAGCTAATACCTTTAGAAAATTTAGATTACAAATATTAAGAATCAGAATTAAACAGACAATCTCATTCAGCAGTGTTAGACTAAGGCAGGATCCTGTTCATTGAGAAAGAGAAGGGAATAATGGGTGCTCTTGTGGTCAGCCAGCCACCAAGTGGCAGGGGAAGGAAAGGGGCTTATGTAATTTACAATTATGTATGTTATAGGAAGAGTACGTAGGGAGGGAAGTTATCCAACTACAGCCATATCTTGGAGAAATTGCAGATTCAGTTCCATACCACTGCAACAAAGCAAATATCACAATAAATTGAGTCACACGTTTTTTTTTTTTAGTTTCCCTTTACATATAAAAGTTATGTTCACACTACATTATAGACTATTAAGTGTGCAATAGTATTATATCTAAAAAATACTTTAGTGCTAAAACTGCTAACAATTATCTGAGCCTTCAGCAATTCTTTTTTTTTTTTTTTTTTTTTTTTTGCTGTTGGGGGGTCTTGCCTCCATGTTGATGGTTGCTGACTGATCAGGGTGGTGGTTGCTAAAGGTTGGGGTGGCTGTGGTGATTTCTTTTTTTTTTTTTCTTTCTTTCTTTCTTTTCTTTTTTTTGATGAAGTCTCACTCTGTCACCCAGGCTAGAGTGCAGTGGCTTAATCTCAGCTCACTGCAACCTCCCCCTCCCAGATTCAAGCGATTCTCCCGCCTCACCCTCCTGAGTAGCTGGGATTAGAGGCACGTGCCACCACGTCTGGCTAATTTTTGTATTTTTGGTAGAGACGAGGTTTTACCATGTTGGCCAGGCTGGTCTTGAACTCCTGGCCTCAAGTGATTGGCCCACCTTGGCCCCCACAAATACTGGGATTCCAGGCATGAGCCACCAGGCCCCACCGATGATTTCTTAAAGTGGGACAACAATAAAGTTTGCCACATTGATTGACCCTTCCTTTAATGAAAGATTTATCTGTAGCATACACTGCTGCTTGATAGCATTTTGCCTCCAGCAGAACTTCTTTCAAAACTGGAATCAATCCTCTCACAGACCCTGCTGCTGCTTTATCAACTAAGCTTGTGTAATATTCTCAGTCTTTTGTTGTCATTCCAATAATGTCGCAGCGTCTGTAACAGGAGTAGATTCCATCTCAAAAAAAAAAAAAACTTTCTTTGCTCATCCATAAGAAGCAACTTCTCATTCATTCGAGTTTTATCAGGAGATTGCAACAATTCAGTCACATCTCCAGGCTCCACTTCTAATTCTAGTTCTCTTTCTATTTTTACCACATATGCGGTGACTTCCTCCACTGAAGTCATCCACTAGGGCTGGAATAAACTTCCAAACTCCTCTTAAAGTTGATATTTTGACCTCATCCCGTGAATCACAAATGTTCTTAATGGCACCTGGAATGGTGAATCCTTTCCAGAAGGTTTTTAATTTACATTGCCCAGACCCATCAGAGGAATCACTATCTATGGCAGCTCTGGCCTTACAAAGTGGATTTCTTAAATAATAAGACTAGGAAGTCAAAATTACTCCTTGATCCATGGACTACAGAATGGATGTTGTGTTAGCAGGCATGAAAAGAGCATTCATCTCCTTGTACACCTCTATCAGAGCTTTTGGGTGACCAGGTGCATTGTCAATGAGCAGTAATATTTTGAAAGGAATCTTTCTTTCTGAGTAGTGGGTTTCAATAGCGGGCTTAAAATATTCAGTGAATCATGATGTCAACAGATGTGATGTAGTTTAGGCTTTATTTTTCCATTTTTAGAGCATGGGCAGAGTAGATTTAGGATAATTCTTAAGGCTCCTAGGATTTGTGAAATGCTAAATGAGCACTGGCTTTAACTTAAAGTCACCAGCTGCATTAGCTCTTAGCAAGAGTCAGCCTATTCTTTGAAGTTTTGAGGCCAGGCATTGAGTTCTTTCTAGCAATAAAATATTCCTAGATTGCATCTTCTTCCAACAGAAGGCTCTTTTGTCTTCACTGAAAATCTGTTCTTTAGTATAGCCACCTTCATCAATGATCTTAGCCAGATGTTCTGAATAACTTGCTGCAGCTTCTCCATCAGCACTTACTGTTTCACCTTGCACTTTTATGTTATGGACACGACTTGTACATCTCTATCTTCTTTCCTTAAACCTCATGAGCCAATCTCTGCTGGCTTCAAACTTATCTTCTGCAGCCTCCTTACTTCTCTCAGCCTTGACAGAGTTGAAGACAGGTAGGGCTTTGATTAGGTTTTGGCTTAAGGGAATGTTGTGGCTGGTTTGATCTTCTATCCAGGACACTCGAACTTCCTCCATATCAGCAGTTAAGACTGCTTTGCTTTTGTATCATTTGTATATTCACTGGAGTAACACTTTTAATTTCCTTCAGGAACTTTTCCTTTGCATTCACAACTTGACTCTCAGGTGCAAGAGGCTTAGCTTTCAGCCTGTCTCAGCTTTCAACATGCCTTCTTCAGTAAGCTTATGCATTTCTAACTTTTGATTTAAAGTAAGAGATGTGAGACTCTTCCTTTCACTTGAACACTTAGAGGTCATTGTAGGGTTATTCATTGGCCTCATTTCAATATTTTTGTGTTTAAGGGAATAAGGAGGTCTGAGGAGAAGGGGAGAGATGGGAGAACAGCTGGTGTGTGGAGCAGTCAGAACACACACAGCATTTATGGGTTAAGTACACTGTCTTACATGAGCATGGTTTGTGATACCCCAAAACAATTACAATAATAACATCAAAGATCACTAACCCCAGACCACCATAACACATAATAGTAATGAAAAATTTGAAATATTGAGAGAATTACTGGAGACACAGAGTAAACACATGCTGTTGGGAAAAAATAGTACTGATGGACTTGCTCAATGCAAGGTTGCCACAAACCTTCAATTTGTAAAAAAGTGCAGTATCTGTGAAGTGCAACAAAGTGAGGTAGCAATAAAATGAGGTGTGCCTGTGTTTATTCTCTCAGCCGTTAAAGCTAGAGTCAACTGCAGGTGTAACCGTTCCTCCTGGAGAAGGAGGTCAGCAGTTAGCAAGGCCACTCTACTTCCATCGTCATGAGGTTACTCATAGCTTCTTTGGATATTCCCTGGAACCCCGAACAGTGGCTATAAAGATTGTGAGCAATCCTGGGGAGAAATCCTGGCATGTTTGTTTTGGCATAGGAAGGGGCACTAAAGCCTGGAGCAGGAAAGCCTCAGGGTACCACAGACAGAGGCTGGGCTGTTCTGTGGTATGCCCCATCCCCCATCAAAATTGCCAGGAAGGGCACAAGTAAGGACTTCACTTATTTTAGCCTTTCCCCTAAATTACATTTGAGTAGCCACAGAAGCTGCTATCTCCAGGGGAGCATGAGCTCCTGGGGGCTTCCAAGACATCTGAGGATCATAACTGATGTCAAAGAAAGATACAAACTTCACAAGATAGTCTGGATGAATCAGATTTAATGAACCAAATAGAGCAAGACATAGGACATTGGGTTATAAGATGGAAAGCTTTTTGGTTGTGCTCTGTTCCTTCCTCACTAAGTCCGAGGAAGACTTCGGCTGTAAGGAAGACAGCAGCTGTGCCTGTCCTGCAGAGTCAGAATGATGCGATAACGTCATGGTGGGCTGGAGAGACCAGCAATACCAGCATGCTGATCTGCTGGCCAATGAGGAGCCCTCACTGTCAGCAGGAGTCCCATTTCTTCCTTCACGCTTCTGTGTTCTTCCCTCAGCTTCTTCAATTCCACTCTCACTCTAAGTTCCCCATTTTCACAGTCTGGCCCTTGGGAGAATATTCTCTCTGCTCTGAAGTCTGTAGAGTCTTGGCAGGAATGAAATTTGCGTTGTCATAACCCCCTTCTTTCCATCTCATAAGAAGATATTATAAAATCTCTGCTCAGAGCAAGCCATCTTCCCACCCTGCACATACCTTGTGTTCACCTCAGAGCTGCTCCCTCTTGGATTCCCACATGGAGGGCACATCCCCCACCTAGAGGAGTGACCCTACTCTCCACATCCAACTTCGGTCAGACCCAACCCAATCTGATGAGAAGGATGGAAAATGCAGGGTGATCCCTCTTGTAGGTCAAAGGAAGTGGGTCTGATGAATGCAGTGGGGACACAGCCTGCCTCTGTGTCAGATGATCCCCAGGCCTACGGCTCGGCCTGGAAACTTCTCTGCTCCCCTCGATCCTGAAAGGAGGACTGTGAGCACAGGTCACCTCATCCTCATGGTGATAAAAGCCACCAAAATGAAGACTGTGCCTTCTTCCAGTTAGGCTTTGATGTGCTGCACACACCTGGAACAATTTGTACCCTCAATGTCACCAGAAAGGAAGGCAGAGCAGAAACAGTAGGGCAGGAAGTATACACAAATACGAGGTCTCCAGGGAGTGCCCCCAGGTGAGCCAGTTCCTGTTCTATCTCACAGCTGGTTTCTCTCTAATTACAGTAGTGGTTTCTTGGAGATGTAATCGCCAAACATGAGACATTTAAGAACACTTTTTAGCACTTTGCTAATCCCAACAAGGCATGGATGTTCCTGGTACCTTTAGGAAAAGTGGCCAAAGAAATGAATCGTCTCTGTGTCATTTAGAAAATCAGAGTGAATGCGTAAGCTATGAAGCCAGGTGTAGTGTGCTGGGGGCCATCTGGGGCCTCCTGGAGGTTCAGTGACAAGAGGATTTGAAGAGCTTCTGGGAGAGATGTTGAAAGTGTGCTTGGAAGCCGCTGACCAACCCCCCAGCTGAGATCCCTATGCAGGTATGAAATTCGGGCTGCCGCTTAACTGCAGGGGCAGTAACAGGTGGGTAGTGAAGTCACTCCCTGAGAAGATGGGTGTTCAAAGGTTGCAAGCTGGCTGAGGGCCTAGAAGGTTGAGAGACAGAGTCTACCCTGATGCCTGGTGGTCTCTGACCTCTGCTTTGTACTCAGAGGTTCCTAGAGGAAATGCTGCTTCAGTGAGCTAAAGAGTGAACAAAATAACAAGAGAAGAACACTAAATGTTCCACACAAGCCTGAGTAGGATGCCTGCCCTCTCTCCTACCCAAATTACAGAATCTCAGTGAAAGAGATGTGGAGGTAAAACCCCAATGACAGTCAAAGGAGGTGAGGCCAGACACGGTGGCTCACGTCTGTAATCCCAGCACTTTGGGAGGCCAAGGCAGGTGAATCATGAGGTCAGGATTTCGAGACCAGCCTGGCCAACATAGAGAAACCCTGTCTCTACTAAAAATACAAAAATTAACTGGGCATGGTGGCACACGCCTGTAGTCCCAGCTACTTGGGAGGCTGAGGCAGGAGAATTGCTTGAACCCGGGAGGCAGAGGTTGTGGTGAGCCAAGATCGCACCATTGCACTCCAGCCTGGGCAACAGAGCAAGACTCTGTCTCAGAAAAAGAAAAAAAAGAAGAAGAAGAAGGAGACGAATACAAAGCCTGCTTTGTCATTGGTGGTTGGAGCTGTGACAAGCACTCATGACCATCTATGGGGGGCCTGGACAAGACAATATACCCTAGCAGCAAAGAAATACTAGGCAAGCCAAGAGAAGGGCTCAGACTGAACACCCCTGGTAGTTAGTTCACATTGGCATCTCAGAATCTTTGGAGGTGCTAAATTTGCAAGCACCCAGGAAGGATGACTCAGTCTGAAGAAGGGACCAGGGCACCTGGAGATGGAGCAGTGATAGCTACAGGAGGCAGACAAATCCCTAGGCAGACAGGGGTGGGTCCCCAGTGAAACCCTGTCTTCAAACCAGAGACGGTTTAAAGCCTGAAAGCCAAGCTACGAGTCTTAGATAAATCCATAGACCAGATTGGGAACCTCTCTTCCCATTTGGCACACTTTCCTCTAATTGATCCCCACCCTTCACCTATTTTACATATACCTACACTTCCCTAATTGATTTTTTACACTGCTGTGCCCACCTTTGAGTGGTGCCTTTGTTTTAGCCTTTCTTGCATACTCACAAACCAATCAGCACACACTACCCCATTCTGAGCCCATAAAAGCCTTGGACTCAGCCACACTGGGGGACTGCCCACCTTCAGTCAGGAAGAGACCATCCAACTTTGGAGAGGGGACTGCCCTCTTAGGTCCTCTCTTTGCTGAGAGCTGTCACTCAATAAAACTCTCCTCATCCTTTGGTTGTCAGCATAACCTCATTCTTCTTGGATGTGGGACAAGAACTTGGGACCTGCCAAATGCAAGTACAACAAAGGCTATAACACTGTGGTTCTCTGCCCTCTGCTGGTGGAAGGCAACCGCCCCATGTGACAGGAAGCAGTGCTGGAGCCAGGCCAGCCCTGGAGCCATGGATTGGAGTGGGACAATGGGACTAAAAGAGCTGTTAGCCTGCTGTAACACTCCCTCTGGGGCTTTAGGGTTGCTCGCATCCCCATTCATGCACCATTGCATTCCTCTCAGCCAGACATTGGTGCCCAAGGTGGAAGCAGGTTGTGGCAAGCCAAGCCCACCTGCAGGCTTAGTGTGGATCCTGCGGTGAGCACAGGATCCAAGCAGGAGCACAAGCCAAGCACAGCCTGCTGGGCCGAGTGGGTGAGGTAGCTCCTGTGGTGAGCCCGGGGCCAAGTGAGGCCCAGGCAGGGGTATCACCAGCCATGGAGGTCTCCAGCTGGCTACGCAGCTCTGAAAAATCCTGTGTCAGCAACGCAGTACAGGACGGAGGGCAATGTCCCCAGACAGCACAGAGGACAGCAAAGGGCAAGCCCAAATCCAACTGCAAAGTGGCTGCCTGGATTCTAGGCTGATGAGTAGCCTGGCCTTGGTGAGGGAGTGGGGCCAGGCAGAACAGCCCCAAAGAGCCTGCAGGAGGACCCTCTGGAGCACTGTCAGCCAGGGGAGGGCTCCCATGCCCCTCTCTAAAAGTGACCTAAATAGGATCATGTTAACTTAGGTAACATAATCTTTAAAAGTTAATTTTTATACAAGAAACACATCAATGAACTCGTGTGATGAACAATTCAAACAATATAGACATGCAGAATGACCTACTGGGAGGTCGTTAATATTATCAGTATTAGCAGTTTGCTGTGTGTTTTTCTAAGGCCTTTTCCTATGCTTTTACATGCACACATGTGTGTATACAAATATTTACTTTTTTTGCATAAATGAAGTTATATGTATTATTTTGCTTTATTTATTTAATGTTATATCTTGGAGAACTTTCCAGGGTAGTGTCTTTTTTTTCCTTTTTAAAAAAATAAGTGCCAGCTCAGTGTGGTGACTCATGCCTATCATCCCAGCATTTTGGGAAGATGAAGCAGGAGGACTGCCTGAGCCCAGGAGTTCAAAACCAGCCATGAGGGCAACATAGTGAGACACCATCTCTACAAAAAATTTAAAAATTAGCTGGGCATGGTGGCACGCCTGTCCCAGCTACTTGAGAGGCTGAAATGGGAAGATCATTTGAGCCTGGGAGGTCGAGGCTATGTGAGCCATGATCATGCCACTGCACTCCAGTCTGAGCAACAACAGAGCAAGACCCCATCTCAAAAAAACCCTGTTATCTAAAAATCCCATCATATGAATGGCTCATATTTTATTTATCCAAGCTCCAATTCTTGCACATTTAGGTGGCTTCTAGTCTTTTTGCTATCACAAACAATACTATACTGATGATTTCATGCATGCTTCTTTGTCTATATACATCAGTATTTCCCCAGAATGCCTATATGTGAAAATAGAAAGGATGTACCTACTGTACAGTGGGAAGATATTGCCAAGTTGTTCTCCAGAAAGACTACATCAACTTACACTTCCACCCACAGTGAAGGAGACACCGATTTCTCACACATTAGCCCAATATATTTATTACCTTGCTTTCCCAAGTTAAATTTTTAGTGGACTATTTCTTGCTTTGTATTCTTGAAAGCTACTTCCCTTTCCCCCCTGGAAAAGGGAGTAGGCTTAAGACCTACCCCAATTGCGAATATCGAGCAAATAACTCTCACAACAATTAGATAAAGAAATTAATTAGCAGAAACTGTGTAAGACAATAGCACCTGGCGTTTGCTTCTCCAGCATTTGCAGTTTCCAATATGCAGCATAGGGTATTCATGGCCTGTGATAGTTTTGCTGAGGCATGCATTTCAATCACTTAGCTGCAGTATTGCTAAGGAGGGAATGATAATGACAACAGTTGACTTTTGTTAAGTATGCACTTGTAGGTTAGGCCCCCGGCTTGCATTTTATACCTGTCATCTCCCTGAAGCCCTGCTAGCCTGTGGGGTCATTTCCATTGGAATCCCCATGTCACAAATGAAGAAACTGAAGCTCAAAGGAAGTCCACACCTTACAAATGCTTCAAGCCCACCTCAGGCCCACTGATGTGGAATCTCCAAGGCTGGGGTTTGGGTAAAGCTCCCAGATGCTGTTCCTGCATGCGGGAATGAGCAGACGCTCTACCGACTTCATAAAAGCTCTATTTCTTTGTGAAAAACAAAACAGTGTTCCCATTAAAAGATTTCCAGAGCTCTGCTGACAATCACAAATTTGGGCATTTGGCAAGGTCTTATAACATATCATTTGAAAGGGCTAGGTATCCACAGCAGCCGTCACACATGTATAAAAAATTAAGAGAAGACTGAGCAGACGTTGGGAATCCCTGGATGTCCTCAGTCCACAAACCTCATCCTTCATATCTGGAGCCATCAAAGTTTCATTGCTTTTTTTTCAGGCTGGCTTGTGGGACCTTAGGCATGCAATGGCTTCTGTGTTTAGACTCCTGAATATGCTGGAATTCTATTTTTCCTGGAATTTTATATTGCAGATAATCACTTCCTATTCCTGTCAAATCCTTCCAACGCCTAACTGCACACCAGCCCCAGATGTTGATCAGATTACATCTTTGTCCTGTTTCATGAGAAAGTGAGGATGGGCACCAAGATATAGTGTCACCCAGCATGAGACTTTGAAAGGTCAGAGACAGTGAAATTTAAAAAGTCAGATGGCAAAGATCTGCCCAAGGAAGTCCTTTAACACAGGTGGGGCTGTTTGCCTTTCTGTGTTACTTAAAGCATGTGCCAGGTAATATTTCTCTCACTCTCCTACTTTCTTTTTTTTTTTTTTAGTTGAACTAACAGCGTATTTTATTTCTCAGTAACTCCATGTGCACTAATTAAACATGAGATGAATAGAGACATTATTAATTGGAAAGCAAGACAGAATTCATATCATCCCCAAGACTGGGACACAAAAGGAGGCTGGAAAAGGATTTAGAGAAAATTTTATAGAGCTGCATTCGTACTCTTTGTGACGGTTAATACTGAGGGTCAACTTGATTGGATTGAAGGATACAAAGTATCGATCCTGGGTGTGTCTGGGAGGGTGTTGCCAAAGGAGATAAAGATTTGAGTCAGTAGGCTGGGAAAGGCAGACCCACCCTTAACCTGGGTGGGCACAATCTAATCAGCTGCCAGCATGGCTAGAATATGAGCAGGCAGAAAATGTGAAAAGAGAGACTGGCCTAGCCTCCCAGCCTACATCTTTCTCCCATGCTGGATGCTTCCTGCCCTTGAACATCAGACTCCAAGTTCTTCAGTTTCAGAACTCAGACTGTCTCTCCTTGCTTCTCAGCCTGCAGATGGCCTATTGTGGGACCTTGTGATCATTTGAGTTAATATTGAATATACTCTTCCTTATATATATAGCTATTCCATTAGTTCTGTCCCTCTAGAGAACCCTGACTAATACACTCTTCTTCAGTTGCCTTTTCTGAGTGGAAACATTAAATCCTAGTGACTGGATAAAGAGATATCACAGGGAGAACACTGAAATTGGAGATCGCCACATGCGTGCAAACAGGGCCTGCTCTCAGTGGTCACAGGGCACAGGGAGGTGGCACAGCCTGCTGTGAATCCCGGTGCTACGGCTCACCAACTGGATGCTCCATAACTTCTCTGGGCTCCATTTCCTCTCTGAAGCCCAGAGAGGCCCCTGCATCTCAAACTGCGTGGATCCTTCCACTTTTCCTGTAGAGAGCCTCATTGGAAGAAAGTCATTAGTGCAAACTTGCCAGTCATTCACAAGTGGTAAGAGCCTATTTACTGTAAATCTTCGAAACCAACTCAAGTCAAACCAAATGCCATTGTTTTCATTGGGAACTATGATTAAATAGTCATTTTCTTTTTTTTTTTTTAATTATTATTATTTTACTTTAAGTTCTGGGATACATGTGCAGAATGTCCAGGTTTGTTACACAAGTATACATGTGCCATGGTGGTTTGCTGCATCTATCAACCCATCCACTAGGTTTTAAGCCTAGCATGCATTAGATACTTGTCCTAATGCTCTCTCCCCTTGCCTCCCACCGACTAACAGGCCCTGGTGTGTGATGTTCCCCTCCCTGTGTCCATGTGTTCTCACTGTTCAACTCCCACGTACAAGTGAGAACATGAGGTGTTTGGTTTTCTGTTCCTGTGTTAGTTTGCTGAGGATGATGGTTTCCAGCTTCATCCATGTCCCTGTAAAGGACATGAACTCATTTTTTATGGCTGCGTAGTATTCCAGGGTGTTTATATGCCACATTTTCTTTATCCCTTCTATCGTTGATGGCAATTTGGGTTGGTTCCATGTCTTTGCTATTGTACATAGTGCTGCAACAAACATATGTGTGCATGTGTCTTTATAGTAGAATGATTTATAATCCTTTGGGCATGTACCCAGTAATGGAATTGCTGGGTCAAATGGTATTTCTGGTTCTAGACCCTTGAGGAATCGCCACACTGTCTTCCACAATGGTTAAACTGATTTACACTCCCACCAGCAGTGTAAAAGTGTTCCTATTTCTCCACAGCCTCGCCAGCATCTATTGTTTCTTGACTTTTTAATGATCACCATTCTAACTGGTGTGAGATGGTATCTCATTGTGGTTTTGATTTGCATTTCTCTAATGAGCACTGATGATGAGCTTTTTTCATATGTTTGTTGGCTTCATAAATGTCTTCTTTTGAGAAGTGTTTGTTCATATCCTTCACCCACTTTTTGATGGGGTTTTTTGTTTTTTTCTTGTAAATTTGTTTGAGTTCTTTGTAGATTCTGAATATTAGAACTTTGTCAGAGAGATAGATTGCAAAAATTTTCTCCCATTCTGTAGGTTGCCTTTTCACTCTAATGATAGTTTCCTTTGCTGTGCAGAAGCTCTTTAGTTTAATTAGATTCCATTTGTCAATTTTGGTTTTTGTTGCAACTGCTTTTGGTGTTTTAGTCATGAAGTCTTTGCCCATGTCGTAAATAGTCATTTTCAAAATTAACATCAACCTTTGATTTTTAAATCAGTTTTGTGAGTCATTTACCACAAGCTAAATGTGTAAACCATGGCAAAAACAATCATTGTATTCCTCTTGCCTTTCTAAACATTCCCGATTTGTAACACTGTATAAATCCATCAATAGAAATTAACTTTCTTTTATTCTATTAGTAAAGTAGGCATAGATCTCTCCACAACAAATCCATCTCACAATGCTCTCCCTCCCTCACTGTGCTCTGTGGCAAGCATTCCCATTTTTGGCCCATTTTTATCAAAAGCCTAATACACTCATGGCTTTTCTTGGCAATATGTACTTAATAGAGCATATTTTGCTTTGCCCACACATAGGAAGCAAAGTATGTATAGATCAGAAATCTTCAAATTACAAATAACTTAATATTGCACTATTATACTAAATAACTTAATAGTACACTAAAATGACAGGGTTATTATACACGTAGCCTTTTAAAAAAATCTTGCACAAACAGCTTTGTATTTAGACTTGTTTAAAACTCTTGCTAATAATGTCTGTGTTAACAGTGCTCTGTAATTCACAATTGCTAACATGTAGAACCAACCTAAGTGCCCATCGACCAATGAGTGGATAAAGAAAACGTGGTATATATACACCATGGAATACTACTCAGCCATAAAAAAGAACAAAATAATCTCTTTTGCAGCAAGTTGGGTGTAGCTGAAGGCCATTATTCTAAATGAATTAACACAGGAGCAGAAAGCCAAAAACCGTATGTTCTCACTTATAAGTGAGAGCTAAGCTTTGAGTATGCAAAGGCAAACGGGTGATATAATGCACTTTAGAGACTCAAAAGGTGAAGGATGAGAGGGGGGCTAGGGAAAAAAAACTACACATTAGGTACAAGATACACTACTCAGGTGACAGGCGCACTAAAATCTCAGATTTTGCCACTTTATAATTCATCCATGTAACAAAAACCACTGGTATCCCAAAAGCTACTGAAATAAAAGAAAAAAAAGTCAGTGCTCTTGGCCAATGGTTCCAACCTTTTTGGCACTAGGGACAGGGTTCATGGAAGACAATTTATCCACTGATTAAGGGATGGGGGATTGTGTCAGGATGATTCAAGTGCATTACATTTATTGTGCACTTTATTTCTATTATTGTTACTTTGTAATATATAATGAAATAATTATACGACTCACCATAATGTAGAATCAGTGGGAGCCCTGAGCTTGTTTTCCTGCAACTTGATGGTCCCATCTGTGAGTGATGGGAGACAGTGACAGATCATCAGGCATTAGGTTCTCATAAGGAGCGTGCAACCTGGATCCCTGGCATGCGCAGTTCACAATAGGGTTTGCACTTGTATGAGAATCTAATGCTGTGGCTGACCTGACAGGAGGCGGAGCTCAGGCGGTAATGTCAGCAATGGGGAGTGGCTGTAAATACAGATGAAGCTTCTCACTCGCCCACCACTCACCTTCTGCTGTGTGGCTCGGTTCGTAACAGGTCATGGACCAGTACCAATCTGTGGCCTGGGCCTGGGGACTGCTGTTCTAGACCATTGATTGTCAGAATCGGGAGTGCACAGTACATAGTCATTCAGTGGGTACCAGTGAGAATAGGAATAACAGGCTGGAAACAGCGCTCTACCCCATGTGTGGAGAAGAGGAGAACTCCAGAGGGAACCCAGACAGAGTTCTCTACCTGCAACCAGCCTCTCCTTCACAGTGGAAGAGGGACTCTTCCTACAGGCTGCTTTTTTTCACACAAAATTATACTCAAGAATAAACAAGCACCACTGTCACCTTACTTGAAAGAGAGCTTGTGTTCTATTTTTGGCTTGGAGCTGCTGACTCTGGTCTTTTTTTCCACTCAGGTGTCTGGAAGCTACAGCTTCATTTCCCTTTTTGGTGACCTCTTCTGTGGGCTCCTCACATAGCTCCTTTGCCTCCTTCGTTCAGTCAATGTACTGGGTCAGATGCATCGCTCTCCAAGTTGGCGTGGCCCTTCTGAAACTGGAGGCCATCCTGCTGCAGCTTGCTGTAATTCCTATGTAGCCTTTAGCTGGTCTTGCAGGATGCCTATGAGCCTCTCACCCAAGTGATGTTCTTCACAAAACCCCCTTTTAATCCTGGGACAGCTTGTCAATGCTCTCCAGCTAAAAGCTGTGGCTGGACTAGATTTGGCTGAGCTGATCTCATTGCTTTTCCTGCCCTCCCTGGAGCTTATTCCTTTTCAGCTGCACCACACCCCTCTCCACGGCCACCCTGCAGACCCTGCCTTCCAGCTCCTGATCCACCCCTGGGGGTGGGGGGGTGGGGGGCAGTTCACAATCTAGCAGTTGAAGCCCAAGACAATGACACAGGCCACCAGGGAGGCCTGCACAAGGGGTAGCAACTTCATGCAGTGATGCCTATTTCCCAATGCCATCATCTGAAAATCAGCACTGAGAATCTCTCTGACATAGATTGAGAATTAATCATTTCTGTAAAAGCAGTAACAAATATTCAGTGCTTTCATATCACATTAGAAAGAACGTGGCTCTCATTATTCCCCAGAAAGGGTTTCTTGATTTGATTCTTAGCATGGGAAGTTTCCCCGCCTCCCCACCACCTTTGACAGAATTACTAATGACACCCAATAAAAGCCTTTCTCAGCAAAGCCAGAAACCCATTCTGGAGGTGAATGGGAATTCACCACAAGCAGCATCATTGCTCAGAGAACACCCTGGCAGCACAAGTGTCCCCAGTCCCTGGCTTTCTAACCTTCACTACCACTCCCCTGTTTTGCCAGCAATCATCATCATCCATGCTCACTGCCTGCAGGGGAGGGTGAATAGAGTTTAAACAAACAAGTCAGTTGAGTTCCTCAGTACTCTTTTTTTTTTTTTTTTTTTTTAACTCATAACAGACATAATCATTCTGAAAGTGCATTTCAGGATCTGGACTTTTTGAGAGGAAAGGATCTGAGTGTGGGAGGGAGAAGGTGCTCCTAAGGTTAAACCCCCAAAGACAATGGGGATAAGGATGATACCATTAGTAATATATGCATTTTTTGAATTAATGATAATTTTTAAGAACTAGCTTCCCACATACTGAGAGAAAATCAGATAGACATTCATGGGAGAATAAAGTGAAAGATGTGAGCCAGAAAGCTAGACATCTGAGAATGACCCCAATAGGGCGTCCATCCTGCCTGGGAAGAGGGAGGACTGTAGGTGCAGGGGAGCAGGAGGGAGGTGTGCCTGGGAACACCACCAGTCTTTCCAAGTAGCCCCTGGCCTGGAAGGCTCAGAGAAGCTTAGGGTGGGACAAAGGGGACAGAGTCACAGCCCTGACCCAGGAGGACATGGCAGGACAAGTGAGCCGGCAGTGACCAGAAAGTTGAAATGCACCTCATCAGTGGCTAGCAGGGGTCAGGGTCAATCATGAGTGAGAATCCTGCATCTCCTGACTGCTCAATCACTCTCCAGCCTTCCAGAATGCAGAGGGGCCCTGGGAAGAGCTGGAGGAGAGAAGAGGAAGAAGGATGGGAGACGGAAGATTCTCAGTTGGAAAAAAAAACAGCAGCAAGAAACTTTGTTTACCTTGTTGGTCAGATTAAATTTCTGCCACCAAAAGAAATCGAGATTGAAAAGCTAAGTTTAATTATGGAGAAAATAAAGTTACATTTTTTTTTGCACAACAAAGTCATTGACTATGAAATTTATAAGCATCATATGAAACAGACAATCTTATGAAACTTACCAAGGATGTTTCCAGCAACCCCTTGTTTAGGGAACAGAGTAAAGGGGAGAAAAGGTAGCATTTTCAAATCTCAAGAAAGTGTTTTATGTCAGAATTCAATTTGTCCCAGAGCACAGCTGTCAAGAGCTTTGTAAATCTAGGCCTCTAGGAGGAGAGGGCTAAAGCACTTTCAGGATAAAGGCTAGAAGCCTAAGGCCCTGATCATTTGGGCAATCCTTGTTATTGCATTTGTTGTTCCATTCTCTGACACTTCTAAAAGGCTGTGGAATCTCCAGATGTGTTCATAAAATAGTGGTAGCAATTATTCATTGCTTCTAGGAAAGGGAAATGGATATGTTACCAACAAAGCCAGTCCCCATACAAATGGAGTCTTTCCCTGTTTAGTGCTTTGAAGCCAATATACAAAACCAAAAGTGAGTGTCAAGTAGTGCAGGCTTTATTCCATGGCCACTGTATTAGTCAGGGTTCTCTTAGAGGGACAGAACTAATAGGATAGATGATAGATAGATGATAGATAGAGAGATAGATAGATAGAGAGATAGACAGATATAAAGGGAATTTATTAAGTATCAACTTACATGATCACGAGGTCCCACAATAGGCTGTCTGCAAGCTGAGGAGCAAGAAGGGCCAGTCCAAGTCCCCAGACTGAAGAACTTGGAGTCCGATGTTCAAAGGCAGGAAGCATCCAGCATGGGAGAAAGATGTAGGCTGTGAGGCTAGGTCCATCTCTCCTTTTCACATTTTTCTGCCTGCTTTATATTCACTGGCAGCTGATTAGATTGTACCCACCAGATTAAGGGTGGATCTGCCTTCCCCAGTGCACTGACTCAAGTGTTAATTTCTTTTGGCAACACCCACAGGCACACCCAGGATTAATACTTTGTAACCCTCAATCCAATCAAGTTGACACTCAGTATTAACCATCACAAGTCCACCCCTTGTCAACCTGAACCCATACACATCTCCTGAGATCATACATAATCTTCAAATAAAGACAATAATGAGGTCATAATTACATGTAACATAATACAACTATCCATTGTACAACTGGAAAGGCACCAATACCAACCCAAATACTATTACATAAAGTGAACAATACTTAAATGCTGATATGAAGCCAATAAATATTATGTCACATAATAAAGGAAAAGGAAATAAAATTAAGATATTTTCTTCGTACAAGTCTATACATGCACAAACATGTTTTTAACAAAAGAAGGAGGAAATGCTCATGACAGTTACAGTGCTCATTTCTGCAGCTGGTCTTGTGATCATAGCTGGTATTGATGACTACCTTCTTCTACTACCCATTCTGCATTCCCTTTGCCTTCAGCAAGCACCTCAGTAGGTCGTGTTTTTGTTTTTGTTTTTTTTTCCAGTGGAGTGACCCAAACCTTCATTCCTGAAGGGTCTGAGTCATTTGTAGTCCTGCCTGGATTGGCTGTTGCCCCAACCCTGCAAACTATTGTCACTTATTTGGCATTGTAATTGTGACTCCAAAAGGCCATTCCACCATTCTATCAATCCAGCTGCTTCAGGATGATGGGGAACATGGTAAGACCAGTGAATTCCATGAGCATGAGCCCACTGCCCCACTTCCTTAACCGCAAAGTGAGTGCCTTGGTCAGAGACAATGCTGTTTGGAATGCCATGACGGTGGGTAATGCATTTTGTGAGTCCGTGGATGGTAGTCTTGGCAGAAGCATTGCATACAGGATAGGCAAACCCATATCAGGAGTAAGTGCCATTCTAGTGAGAACAAACCTCTGCCCTTTCCATGATGGAAAAGGTCCAATATAATCAACTTGCCACCAGGTGGCTGGCTGATCACCCTGAGGAATGGTGCCATATCGAGGGCTCAGTGTTGGTCTCTTCTGTTGGCAAATTGGGCACTCAGCAGTGGCCATAGCCGGGTCAGTCTTGGTGAGTGGAAGTCCATCTTGCTGAGCCCGTGTATAACCTCCATCCCTGCCACCATGGCCACTTTGTTCATGGGTCTATTGGGCGATGACAGGGGTGGCTGGGGAAAGAGGCTGAGTAGTGTCCACAGAATGGGTCATCCTATCCACTTGATTATTAAACTCCTCCTCCACTGAGGTCACCTGTTGGTGAGCACTCACAGGGGACACAAATATCTTCACAGTTTTTGACCACTCGGAGAGGTCCATCTACATACTTCTTCCTCAAATTTCTTTGTCACCAATTTTCCAATCATTCTTCTTCCAAGTCCCTGACCATCCAGCCAAGTCATTGGCTACAGCCCATGAATCAGTATATAATCGCACACCTGACCATTTCTCATTTCATGTAAAGTGCACTGCTCGAAGTTCTGCCCACTGGGAACATTTCCCTTCACTGCTCTCCTTCAGGGATGTCCTAGAAAGGGGCTGTAGTGCTGCAGCTGTCCACTTTCTGGTGGCGCCTGCATATCGTGTGGAACCATCTGTGAACCTGGCCCTAGTCTTCTTTTACTCTGTCAACTGATCATAGGCCCATCGGTGCAGGCTGGGGGAGAGAAGGCAGGGTGGCAGGAGTGGAGACCATGGGCATTTGAGCCATGTCCTCATGTAACTTACTTGGCCTTCAGGACCTGCTCAAGCCTGATCACATATATACCACTTCCATTTGATGATGGAATGCTGCTGTGCATGACCCACTTTGTGGCTAGATGGGTTGGAAAACACCCAGTTCATGACAGGTAGTTCAGGTCACATGGTGACTTGATGACCCATAGTCAAACGTTCAGTTTCCACCAAAGCCCAGTAACAGGCCAAGAGCTGTCTCTCAAAAGGAGAGTAGTTATCTGAACAAGATGGCAGGGACTTGCTCCAAAATCCTGGAGGCCTCTGCTGTGATTCACCTATGGGAACCTGCCAAAGGCTCCAAACAGCATCCTTATCTACCACTGACACCTCAAGCACCATTGGATTTGCTGTGTCATATGGTCCAAGTGGCAGAGCAGCTTGCACAGCAGCCTGGACCTATTGCAGAGCCTTCTCCTGTTCTGGATCCCACTCAGAACTGGCAGCCTTTCGGGTCACTCAATAAATGGGCCAGAGTAACACTCCCAAATGTGTTGCCTCCAAAATCCAAACAGGCCCACTAGGCTTTGTGCCTCTTTCTCGGTTGTAGGAGGGGCCAAATGCAGCAACTTATCCTTTACCTTAGAAGGAATATCTCGACAGGCCCCACACCACTGGACCCCTAGAAATTTTACTGAGGTAGAAGTTCCCTGAATTTTAGTCAGATTTATTTCCCATCCTCTGGCATGCAAATGTCTCACCAATAAGTCCAGTGTGTTTGCTACTTCTTGTTCACTGGATCTAGTCATCATAATGTCATCATTGTAATGGACCAGTGTGATATCTTGCAGAAGCAAAAAGTGTTCAAGGTCTCTCTGAATAAGATTATGACACAAAACCGGAGAGTTGATATACCCCTGAGGTAGGACAGTAAAGGTATATTGCTGGCCTTGCCAGTTGAAAGCAAATTGCTTCTGGTGGGCCTTATGGACAGGAATGGAGAAAAAGCATTTGCCAAGTCAATTGGTGCATACCAGGCACCAGGAGACATGTTAATTTCTGGACCCTTCCCACTGGGATGATTAGGTCTAAAGTGACTAATCCACTCCACCATCCCAATCTCCCTAAGCCTTTGGATCCCTTCCTCTACATTAAACCAGGAGAGATCAGGCATTTCCAGCTGGCTCACAGTGGGCCATCTTTTATTCCATATTTCAGCTAACCAAGCAAATAAACTATTAGAATCTTTTGTAACTCCCCAATCTGCAACATTAAATGCAGAATCCCTACTTAGTGGGCCCAAATCAATAAATTCAGCCTGATCCAACTCTATGTTCCTTCCACCATTACCCCATACCCTTAACATCCATTCCCATGCCTGTTCTCCAGATTGCTGTTTTTATAAATTAGAGAACTCAAACAGTTCTTTTGAAGTGCCATGCACCTCCTCATGGGTCACACTCTCAATCTCACTTCCAGGGGCCCACTGGGACTTTAGTTACAGGTCTAGACTGTCATCAGTGTAATGGACCAGAATTTAGTGTAGTTACATGTCTAGACTGTCATCAATGTAGTGGGCCAGCAAACAGGGGTGTTGGGTGTGGCTCCTGAGGGGAATCAACATTACTTTGCCTGGCAACTGCCTCAGGGGAGGCCATCACTGTTGCCTCAGGCAGCACAGGGTTTATCTGTGGACAAAGGTGGAAAGGCTGATGGCAGCATGGGTCAGGGAGCGGATGTTGCCACTACTGGGGATTGGGAAGCTGTTCCTTCTGGCAAAAAAGGTTCATCAGAGTTTACAAACTCAGTGTCCCCAGCTTCATCTGGGTGCTCCCACATTTCCCCATTCCAAGTTGCAGGGTCCTATTCTTTTCCAATCAATGCCCCCACTTTAACAATAGACACCTGGTGAGGCTGTGCATGCCCCTTTTGTTGCAGGTCAGCCACTTGCATGATAAAAGCTTGTGTCTGTTTTTCTACAATTTCAGCTCTTTCTGTACAGGAGATAAGGTTCTCACTCAGGGCAATCTTAGCAGATTTGAAGCTTAGTATCTATTTCTGAAGCCGGGAGACAATCCCTGAGTTCATCATTTTCTTTCAACACTTTGTATACTGAACTTAAGAGCAACCAACCAGCTTCATTATGTTCCTTGGTTCTCCGCATATGGTCAAAGGTATTATGTATAGAGTCACTAAACTCCTTGCCTCTCATGAGCAGTGAAATCAGGAGTGTCAAATGCATTTATTTTGCCTAACTATCTAAACCGTTCACACCAAGGACTATCAGTCTTCTCCATACTATTAGACATACAGTCCTTAGCATTTTGGGGTCTAACCATATTAAGCAGCCAATTCCAGAAACCCCAAAACCAACGAAAGAACTCAATCCTTAATATTCTGTTTCTCTAGAACCACTCCTGGTACCAAAATCTGTATTAGTCAGGGTTCTCTTAGAGGGACAGAACTCATAGGATATATATAGAGAGAGAGAGGGGAGATTTATTAAGTGTTAACTTACACGATCACAAGGAAACATCCAGCATGGGAGAAAGATGTAGGCTGGGAGGCTAGGCCCAGCTCTCCTTTTCATGTTTTTCTGGCTGCTTTATATTAGCTGGAAGCTGATTAGATTGTGTCCACCAGATTAAGAGTGGATCTGCCTCCCCCAGCCCACTGACTCAAATGTTAATCTCTTTTGGCAACACCCACACAGACACAACCAGGATTAATACTTTGTATCCCTCAATCCAATCAAGTTGACATTGATTAACATCACAGCCAGGGAACTGAGAAGCAGGAGCCTGGCTCACAAATCAACTTCTTAGCTCAGAGAGCCGGGAAATCACAGATAATAGGATATATTTAATGAAGGGGTTGGGCATTAAAAGCAGGGGGAGGAATATTCATGTATTTTCTGAGAATGGGTGGAGAGCTTCTTGGAATTGGAGTTCTTGCCTTTCTTTTGGTCCTCTTATGGTTTCTTCAGTTGTTGTCATGGAGATTGTCAATTGTCATGGTGCTGGTGGGAGTGTCATTTAGCATGGACATTAGATTATAATGAAGTTACAAGTTCATCGGAGGTCAAGCGAGCTGCCATCTTAGACCCCAGCAGTCTTAGTCTGTTGGTCCCGAGGGGGAACTTTGGACCTCAGGCATCCTGTTTTCTGAAGATAAGCAGAGTTAAAGTGGCGTAGAAATTTACCTAGGTCACATAGACATTACCCTGGGTAACAGATATTTTGGTGACAGAGCTAGGAGGGAGATTTACTTTCTGGTTGGGTATCTTTTTATGCCTTTTGAATTGTATATAATGTCTACTGTTATCTATTCAAAAATTATTAATTTAAAAACCATTAAGTGCATGATATCAAACTCCTTGGTGGGCGCTCATCTGTCAGAAGTTCTAATGGGTGGGTAGGGCCTTGAATCTGCAGACTTCATCTGGAGTCACAGATATAATAACTTCCTCTACAGACAGCTTGAAAGATTCAGGGATTCACTCTTTTCAAGAAATGAAGGGGGAGAACAAGACAAGCCCTTCCAACCTTCCAAATCAAGGAGATATAGAAAGGTAGGATGGAAGGCAAAGAGGTTTACTATGCCAAGGTAGACCTGTTTAGGCAGGTTACAGAAAAGAAGAGCTAATATAAATCAAATAGGTCTGCAAAGATTACACATACCAGTGTCCTCACACTGTGGATCTACCTCTAGACCTTTCAGAGCCTTGGTTTTCTCATCTTTAAAATGGGAATAATAATATCTACCTTAGGTTTTTTGTCGTTGTAGTTGTTGTTGTTTTTGTTTTTTGTTTTTTGTTTTCCCCAGAGACAGGGTCTCACTATGTTTCCCAGGTGGAAATGCGGTGGCTATTCACAGGCACGATCCCACTACTAATCAGCATGCGAGTTTTGACCTGCTCCATTTCTGACCTGGGCCGGATCACCCCTCTTAAGGCAACCTGGTAGTCCCCTGCTACCAGGAGATCACAATGTTAATGCCGAGCTTAGTGTGGACACCAATTGGCATAGTGCACTGTAGCCCAGAACTCCTGGGCTCAAGCAATCTTCCTGCCTCAGCCTCCCATGTAGCTGGGACTACAGGCACATGCCACCATACCTGAGATTTTGCAAGGATTAAAAAAGACTATATATGAAACTCATAGCAGTATAGCACCTGGCGCTTTAAGGAGCTTGGTAAATGCTGGCACTTTTCCCCTTCAAGTCCCTAGCTGAAGGAAGAGAGGACCCCCTAAGGAAATGAATCAGGAGTCACTGTAAATAACAAACATCTCCTTGAGGAGCCCAGGGACATAGGGTCCCGAGATTTAGAAGCTGCTAACACTGCCTGAAGAAATTATTTCCCTGCAGCTGTGCTGGTCTCCTAGTAGGGAATGTTTCCGTAGAAGGGGATAGTCTCCCAGACCATCCTCCATCAAGTCCCATCAAGCCCATCTTCCCTGAGAGACATTAATTTTGATTTTCTGATTCCTTCTGAATATATATATTTTACACACTTATCGTATAGAGCCATCTCTTGATATCCACAGGGGATTGTTTCTAGGAATTCCCATGGCTTCCAAAATCTACAGATGCACAAATATCTCTGATATAAAATAGCATATTATTTGCCCATAACCTATGCACATCCTCCCGTATACTTTCATCTCCAGATTACTTAGAATACCTAAACAATGTAAGTGCTGTTAATAAATGTAAATGTAAATCATTGTTATACTGCATTGTTTTTTATTTGTATTTTGTTATTATTATTATTTAGTTTTTGAGACAGGATTTTGCTCTAGCGCCCAGGCTGGAGTGCAGTCACGTCATCTCAGCTGTCTGTAACTTCTGCCTCCGGGGCTCAAGCAATCCTCCTGCCTCAGCCTCCCAAGTAGCTGGGACTACAGGCATGTGCCACCTCACCCCACTAATTTTGATATTTTTTGTAGGATCAGGTTCTTGTTATGTTTGCCCAGACTGGTCTCGAATTCCTGAGCTCAAATGATCCACCTTAGCCTCCCAAAGTGCTGGGATTACAGGTGTGAGCCATCACATCTGGCCTGTTGTGCTTTCTTTCCCAAATATTTTCCATCCATTGTTGACTGAATCCACAGATGTGGAACCCACATATACGAGGCATTGGCTGTATCCAAAAATGAAACTTATTAAAAGGTAGAAAAATGTGCCATGATTTTGTCTCTCAATTCTTTTCTTCCATTTTCCTGTATGCTAGACTCAGTGGGAACCCAAGAGAGAAGGAGTTTAGAAGGGAGAACAGGTAGAGATAAGTGGGAAAGAGAGGGCGCCAAGACCCTCAAGTCTGTAAAGGGTGAATGCAGACTGCAGTACAGGACTGCCACCTGGTCTCTGGTCTCAGCCTCGAGGAAGAGCTGTGGCTATGTCACCATCCTCAGCTCATCTTGATCCCTTGATCCCTGCCTCTGCTTGCTCGGCTCCTGGCCTCCTTGGAGGAAAATGCCTGTGTCAATGGGAGCATGATGGAGGGTTCCAGGTTGAGGTGGGATAGGGGGATGAGGACATGTTTGCATGAACATGTCCTAAAGGAACATGTACATAAGGAAATGGACTCCCATCTGGAGAGTGAGCTGGGGGAGGTGGGCACTGCAAGGAGTAGGAAAACAGGCCGGATGCCTAGAAGTTGCTCCATAATCCATAGTTCCTTTCGAGTGTCCTGCTTCATCTGTTCTGGCTTCTGTCCCCACCCGGAAACCTGGAGAAACCTCAAATGGAACGTCAAGTAAGCAGATTCCAGCTCTCTGGGCCCAGGGTGAGAAAAGGAAGTTGTATGAAAAGAGGAGAAAGGAAAAAAACAGTCTCATATTGTGCAACAGGTGAAGTCCCACATTGCCCCACTTCGAGGATTCCATTCTGCTGTTTGTAATTGCTGGTGAAGCATTTCTTCATGAGGCTGCCCAGGCCTCCTGCAGCCTTCCCTGGTGGTCTTGCCTCTGTGGAGCTGAGCTCCTCCCTTTCCATTAGCTGAGGGGCAGGGAGGATTGGGAAAGGGACTCCATCGTGAGGGAGAAGACCCAGATTCTGGCCCTGACCTTGCCTGCTCAACAATGAACCAGAGACAGGTCATGGCTCTGCTCTGGGCTGCATCTGACAGATGAGAGGATGGATTCTTTCCCGGACAGGAATCCAGGACCCCTCAGAGCACCCTAGATGTCTCAAGAAGAGGCATGCTTCCTAAGGGTCTTGGACCCTGGATCAAGCCTCAGCCCCAGAACTCAGTTGCTGAAGCAGATCTCCTCTTGGGATGCCTCTCCTCATTATAGTTCATCTCCTTGAGGTGTGTCCCTCTCACCCTGGGTTCCTCCTGCAGGGAGGTTTGGCTCACCCTCTAGAATGCTCCCTTTCCTGCCACACTGAGCTATTGGGGGCCGCTATCAGTGACGCGTCAGTTGGTGGTTGTATTTGTTCCTATTGCTGCTGTAAAAAATTACCACACACTTAACATCTTATAACCACATATTTATTCTCTTAAAGTTCTGGAGGTGAGAAGTCTGAAATTAGTTTCACTAAGCCACACTCCCTTTGGAGGCTCTAGGGGAGGAAAAATTTCCTTGCCATTTCCAGCTTCTAGAGCTGCATCCTAACACTTCTTGGCTCCTGGCCTCTTCCTCCATCTTCCAAGCCAGCAGCATAGCATCTTGCTTCTGTTGTCACATTGCTATCTTCTCCTCTATTACCAAATTATTCTCTTCCTCCCCCTTATAAGGACACTTACAACTGCATTTAGGGCCTGACCCAATAATTCAAGGTAATCACTCATCTCAAGATTCTTAACTTGATCATATCTCCAAAGTCCATTTTGCTATAAAAGTGACATTCACAGGTTCTGAGGAATAGGATGTGTGCACCTCGGGGGCCATTATTCAGCTACCGTAGTGATCTATACCTTGTCTCTGGCCTGGAGTCATCCATTCTCTCTCCCATCCCGTCGCCTCAGAATAGAATTGCATATCTTTCTCAAAATCCACACTCTAATCTTACAGGCCATCCCAACTCCCCTTCCCTTCACTTTCTTTAGGCTCTGAGAACATTCTAGGAGACTGCTCTCCAACAGAACTTTCTGCAATGATGGACAGAAAGCCCATAATCCGTGCTGTCTAACATGGGAGCTAGCCACATGGAGCTACTGAGCACTTGAAATGTGACTAGTGTGACTCAGGAACTGAATTTTAAATTTTATTTCATTTTAATTAAATGTAATGAAAACGTAAATAGCCACTTTGGCCAGTGGCTAACATATTAGACAGCTCAGATCTAGGCAAATGAAAGCAGAAACTATGGCCAGGCACATTCTTTGCTGCTAGCCTCTTCCTACACCTGTTTTGGATCAGCTCTGCCCCCTAACCTCCTTCTCTCAGTCCCCGCAGAATCTGAAAGAAGTTTCCACTGGGGCTCTGGAATGATGAGGGTGACTAAGGGCAGGACAAGGAAGGGAATTGTGTCTGTTGACCCCAGAGAAGTGCAGGGCCCCAATTCTGCTTTTGCATAGGACTAAGAACACTCAAATGATTTTCAAGATAGTCTCCGCCTTGTTCTTACTCAACCGGTCTCCCTTTTGAGGACCACAGAGATGCGTCACTAGGGAAGGTGTGCAGGAAAGGGCCCGAGCCTGGGAGCTGGCATTGGCCAGGCTCCTGCTCTGCTATGCACTCGCTGAGTGGCACGTGGCAAGTTACTTCCCAGGCCTTGGCCCTCAGTTTCCATAAAATGAGAGGGTTGGACCAGATGGTCTAAACTTTCCTTTTAGCTTTAGTAGACTACGAGTCTGTGTCCCATGGATCAGGCTTTATTGTGCATGTAATTCTACTTCAGAGTTGTGTTGTGTCTGACCCATGGAATAGGCAGTTCTGATTGAAGGATAATTAAGTAGAAGTGGCTTTAGGTTACTCCTGCAACACTTCCAAACAAAACCTCCATCCTGCTGTCCTCATGACAACACTTCACAGTAGATTGGGATTTAGAGTGCTGATCTGTCAACTAACTAATCTAATCCTCATGATGATCCTGACAATTGCTAGGTCCATTTTAAGTGAAAAGGCTGAAGCTCAGAGAGGGAAGGAGAGAAACTTCCAGGTGCCTGGTCCTATGATGGGTGCTTTATACATCACCTTATAACAGCCCTTCGAAGTGGTTAATATTATCCCCATTTCACACTTGTGAACACCGAGGTCTAATAAGGCAAGATGACTTTCCCAATGTTATAATAATAATAAGATGATGAAGTCACTCTTCTCACTCTTCTTCCGCCTTTGCTGTGCTGCTTCCCCTCTTTACAACTCCCCCCACAAGATGTTGAAATGATAACCTCCTTTTCTGGGGCATTCTTTCATGACACTCCCCAAGCAGGCCTACAAGCTTCAGCAAGTCACTTCACCTCTCTGTGCCTCTGTTTCCTTAACTGTGAAACTCGGTGCAACAGTCCCTAGTTCATAAGGGTGTTAAAACCCTTGTTGAAAGTACGCAGTGAGATCGTGTATTAAGAGTGTTCAGCCCAGAGCTCATATTAAGGACTCAGCAATTGCTCATTCTTACTGTTTTGGGAAACTGTAGTTTGTCCCTCCCAATGGTACCAGGCAATTCCTTTTACCCCCAAATCAAATTAAAATCACAAAGAAACTGTCTGCATTTTATTTTAAAGTTTTATTATGAAAACACACAGAATCAAATGTGTTATCCATGTATTTGCAACAGCAGAGAAACAGTGACAGTGGACCATCCCCATAGGGGACACTTATCCTTTGGCTAAACTAATATAAATAATGGAAATGACACCTAATACAATAACACGGCACATAAAAAAGATTAAATTAAGAGAAGGGACAGGAACTGCGGAGAGGAGTCCTGAGTATGGAGGAGATGTGTCTCATGGAGAAGCATCCGGGCTCAGGTGACCTTCCCTGAAGACTTCCTGTCTCTGAGCAGCTCAGTTCAGTTCCAGGTCATACACGTACTCCTGGACCCAGGATTCACTGGGATCAGCACAGACTTGCTTGCTTCTTTTGGTTTGGAATCTGTAGAACAAGGAGCGGACAGATTAGAATCTCATGAGACCTTTGAGGTCATCTGGCTTTATCCTTTGCATCTTCCTCTGCCTGACCATGGTCCATGTGGGGCAGCTCTGGTGGATGGGATCCTTCCTGGAGCAGCACTGGAAGCAGACTCCCTGTAACTTCCACCCACTGGATTTAGCTGTGGGCCCCAGGAGTTGCCCAGATTAGGAACCAAGGGGCATTGCAATCAATATGAATAGATCTCCCCATTCCCTGCCAGCCTGGCAGTGACTTTTCCACATGTCTTTCTAGCACGGTTTAAGGAATCGGTCCATATCTCATGGGACCTGTCTGCCTTCCCCTGCTTCCCTGTCCTCTGAATAACTTCCTCCCCAGCAACCCCCTTCTCTCTCGGCTCCCACTCTGCCGCCTTCAGCACTTGAAAAGTGAGTTCATGACCTGTGTCCTCACTGCTCTCAGGGAAGGCTTCAGCCCTGGGAGCTGCCTCCCCAATGCTCAATCACCCCCTCCCCAAAACAGGCCCTCTTTTAAAATCCAGCCCTCACCCTTGCCTCCCAGGGCAGCCCAGGGGTTGATACTCACACCACAGCTGGCTGGGAGCAGAGGCTGCTGGTCTCATAGTAATCTACCACAAAGTTGCGAGGAAGCTTCCTCGCAGTGTAAGAAAAGCAGCAGGCGGTGGGAGGGTCTGAGCCCACTGAAAGGAAAGGCCAGGGTGAGATCAACACTGCCCATGGGAGCTGTTTATTTTGACTTCTAATTTTGTATCTTCATTGAGCATCCCTGTGGAGCTACCAGAACCCCAAATATCCATTCCCACCTAACATGAGCAGGAGTCTTATTTTGAATAGTGGATCTTCAGAGAAGAACGAGAAAGAAATCTAGAAGATTGGAACTGGATTCAGTCTCAGAACACATCGCACTCCCTTCATATGACAGATGGGGAAACCAAGGCACAGAGAGGGACAGGGGCTTGCTTGAACAAATAATTAAAGGCAGAGCCAATTCAACAGTCTGACTTCCAGCCCATCGTTTTCCTCTGCTGGTTGCTAATTCTTAAGAAAATAGGAACTTGAATGTTATTGAATATCTACTAGACTCTACATTTAGCAGCAGACTACATGGCAATCTTCCTAGCTGCCTTTTGTCCCATCCCCAGATCCCACTGTTTGCCAGCCATGACTAGAAAAAAGGACTCTGCCTACACCTTGACTCGAAATAGCAGCTGCAAAAGTAGACTTACTTGGTGCTGAGAGCGCTGGAGAGCAGAAGGCAGCTACTAGCATGAGGAGAGACAGGACAGTCACGCAGAGCTTCATGGTATTGGTGGCAAAGAGGTTTTCTCAGAGGTGAGGCTGCAGAACTCAGAAGCTTCAGAACCCAGCTGTGTCCTGTGCTGATACTGACTTGGGAATCTCTCTTTATAGGGACTCTGAGGCCTAGGACAAATGTGGGGGCACAGGAGAGTGAGTGGAATTTCCATGGTAGAGATGACGTCATGCTCCTGAAGCTAGCTGAGTGAGGAGTTCCTCTCAGCTTCTCTTCCCCAGGGCGATGTCATCATAGAGGAAAGATGAGGGAGGTGCAGGCGAGAAGAAAAGGGAAGTGGTACAGCCAAAGGCAGTGACCGAGACTGGGGAGAGAGTTGCAAACCCCAGAGGAAAAGATGAAATGTTCACACCTGCTACAAGTGGCTTGTAGACAAGAACTGTGCTGCTCTTGGTGGTTGGCACCCTCAGATGCTGGAGGGTTCATGTCAGTCTTTCCAGGCTGGCCACAAGCCTGACCCCAAGAACAAAGTGGGAGCCAGGACTCCCCCATCCCCTTCCTGTGCCTTCTTCTGCTGAGCTGAGTGCCACTGACTTTTGTGCCTTATATGTTTCCTTGGGCATGAAGAGTCCAGCATTGGATGTGAGGAGGGACCCAGTAGGGTGGCTCAGGAACATTTGTAACTTCTTATTGGACACTTACCTTGTACCAGGCACTGGAAAAGCTGTGTTACACACATTATATATAATCCTACCATAATCTTGAGCAGGGGTGTCTAATCTCATTTTACAGACAAGGCAATTGGGGATCAGAGAGTGGTCCACTGATGCGCTCAATGCCACAGAGCTGATGAATGGCACTGCCAAGATTTGAATCAAGATTCACCTGACTCCAAAGTCCATTTTCTTTCCATGCTGTAGTCTCCTGAATAAACAAAGAATGTGACCACAAAGAGAACCCGTTGACTGATAGACTGCTAGGAGCTATTCCACACTCAAAGACTGACTATATTCGGACTTAATTCAGGAAGGGGATAGGGCTAGTCTGTCCTAGGACAAGGAGGAAACGGAGAAGAAATAAAGATTTCAGGATATTTTCTTGGACCAGCAAAAGAACAGGACAAATTAACCAGTAAGAATCAAGTTTGGAAGACCCAGATAGAGAATGTTCTTCTAGTATAAAAACAGGATTGAGCTGGGTACAGGGCCTCACACCTGTAATCCCAGCACTTTGGGAGGTCAAGGCAGGCAGATAGCTTGAGCCCAGAAGTTCGATACCAGACTGGGCAACATGGTGAAACACTGTCTCTATAAAAAAATATTTTGGCTGGGAGTGGTGATACACACCTGTAGTCCCAGCTGCTCAGTAGGCTGAGGTGGGAAGATCACCTGAGCCCAGAAAAGTCCAGGCTGCAGTGAGTGGTGATTGTGCCACTGCACTCCCGCTTGTTTGACAGAATGAGACCCTGTCCCAAAAACAAAACAAAGCAAAACAAAACGAAACAGAATTATATACCTAGTAATTAGTTTATCTATGTTACAGGCAAAATGTGTAATCTAAGGATGTGGGTGTGTCCCAGCCAGTCCATAGGGAATGCCCATGCTCATGTTAAGCCCTGGCTGGTTTGACAGTTGCTGGGCACCTGTACAGAAGGTGAAGCTTACAAAGGCCCTGCATACAGGAATGTGCAAGGTTGGACAAATGAAGGGAATGAGGATAATTGGATCAAGACCTCTATCTGCCTTTAGCTCCACTACTCTAACCCACCTGCTCACCTTTAACCCCACATTGTTACCTGCTCTTCTCTGAGAAAGAAAAAAGAAGAGTAAAAAAAGGGAGCCATGACTTCAAACTATACCACAGGGCTGCAGTAACCAAAACAGCATGGCTTTGGTACAAAAACAGACTCATAGACCAATAGAACAAAATAGAGAGCTCAGAAATAATGCTGCATACCTGCAACCATCCGAACTTTGACAAAGTTAACAAAAACAAGCAACAGGGAAAGGACTTCCCAGTCAATAAATGGTACTGGGATAACTGGCTAGCTGTATGCAAAAGATTGAAACTGGACCCCTTCCTTACACCATCTGTAAAAATCAACTCACAATGGGTTGAAGACTTAAATGTAAAACCTAAAATATAAAACTATAAAAATATGATACCTGTAAGATAACCTAGACAATATGATTCTGGGCATAGGATCTGGCAGATATTTCATGATGAAGATGCCAAAAACAAATCACAACAAAACCAAAAACTGACAAATGGGATCTAATTAAACTAAAGAGCTTCTGCACAGCAAAAGAAATTATCAGCAGAGTAAAGAGATAACCTACAGAATGGGAGAAAATATTTACAAACTATGTATCTCACAAAGGTCTAATATCCAGAATCTATAGGGAATTTAAACACATGTACAAGCAAAAAACAAACAACTCCGTTAAAACGTGGGCATTGAACATAAACAGACACATTTCAAAAGAAGACATACACGCGGCCAAGAAACATACAAAAAATGCTCAGCACCACTAATCATTAGAGAAATGCAAATTAAAACCACAATGAGATACCATCTCAAACCAGTCAGGATGGCTATTTTTAAAAAGTCAAAAAATAACAGATGTTGGTGAGGCTGTGGAGAAAAGGAACACTTATACACTGCTGGTGGGAATGTAAATTAGTTCAGCCATTGTGGGAAGCAGTTTGGCGATTTCTCAAAGAACTTAAAACAGAATTACCATTCAACCCAGCAATCCCATTATTGGGTATATACCCAAAGGAATATAAATCATTCTACCATAAAGACATGTGCACATGTATGTTCATCGCAACAGTATTCACAATAGCAAAGACATGGAATCAACCTAAATGCCCACTGATGGTAGACTGGATAAAAAAATTTGGGATATATATATATATATATCATGGAATACTTCTCAGTCATAAAAAAAAAAAAAGAACAAGATCATGCCCTTTGCAGCAACATGGATGGAGCTGGAGGCCATTATCTTAAGCGAACTAACACAGGAACAGAAAACCAAATACTGCATGTTCTCACTTATAAGTGGAAGCTAAACATTGAGTACACATGGACACAAAGAAGGGAACAGCAGGCACCAGGGCCTACTTAAGGGTGAAGGGTGGGAGGAGGGTGAGGATAAAAAAAACTACCTATTGGGTACTATGCTTATTACCTGGGTGATGAAATAATCTGTACACCAAACCCCCCGCAACACACAACTTACCTATATAACAAACCTGCACATGTACCCCTGAACCTAAAATACAAGTTAAGAAAAAAAGGGACCCACAGCATCTGGGAGCCATAGGAGAGGTTGGAGCAGCATCCTGGGGTACTTCAGGGTCATTAAATAAAGTACAAGGTCATCCTGCCTCAGCACTCTCCCTCACTCCCCACCCGCACACACAAGCTGCACTTCTCTCATCTGTTCTCTCCCCCTTTTCTTTGTACAGCTCTTTTTTCAAATGTTCTGATCTTCTCCAAGACCCTCGCCCCCAGCTGTAATGTTCCGAGTTCCCTGATAGCAGATGTGTTAGTACCTCTCCTGACCTTTCCTAGTTGGTGCAGTTTCATCTTCATGCATCGAGGACCTCACTTTAAGGGAAGCAGAATGTGTCTCATGTCCTCTGGATTAACACAGACTTCGTTATCTATGACATTTTTATTCAACCCAATGTACTAACCATCTGCTCTTTGCCAGGGCAGACAGAGCTGAATGAAGCCCCATCCCTGCCCTCGAAGAGTTCCATGTCTAGTGATGGCATTGACAGTGACAGAAATAACTATCCCATGAGGAGGAATAAGCTAAGTGTCATGTCAGAGGAAGAAACAAAGTGTCAGGAAGGCTGAAGGATGGAGAAGGCTGTCTATTAGCTGTAGATGAGTAGTTTCAAGTTAAGTCTCAATCCCCACTAAAGCAGCTGTCTGAATGAGCAGGGTGGAGGGGTTAGGAGGAAGCCTGTTCTGGGGCTTCAGGAGAATAATGATTGATAAAATGGGTGATTAGCCATCACTGAGCCATACAATGAGTTTGTCTGTTGACTTTTGTTTCCTCGCCTTGATCTGATCTTTGGCTCATGGGGGTAAAAGGTTTTGAGAGATCTTCATGAAGATCCTAACAACAATACTATGTCTGCACCAGTGGAAGTCCACACTGAGAGTAAAAAGGACTTGTATCATTTCGTTTAGCCATATTAACTTCCCCCACCCCAAGATTTAGGCACTGGTGCCATTTAGAACTCCTGGAGGGCAAATGTGGAGACTGGAAAGCCAAGGAGAGCCAATAATCAATGATAACAAATGACTCTCAGATACATGACAAAAAAGATTCCCATCTTCCCTAGAGAAACTTTCCTGACCTCTTTCCCAAGTAAACTCTGTATCCTTCACTGTGCTCCTACAGTCTCCTGAACTATTTCTTCTTACCACCTATGACATATTTATCTATTCCTGTGGTTGCCTCCCCAACTAGAAAGTGAGCTCCTTGATGCAGAAACTGTTTATGCTTATCTCCATGGAGGGAATGTGATGAGTAACATGGACTCAAGATGTGGACCCCTATATAGCCAAATGAGTAAACCAAGTATGAATGAACTGGGTGTTCTGACATTCCACCCAAAAGGTGATTCCTCAGCCCTGATAGTGTGGTACTTCCCCTTCTCCCCCACCCTCAACCCACGCATCCAGTAGTTTTATCACAATGGATACTATTCTTGGACTCAACTGTTTTTAGCTCAGGGTTGCAAGAAGTGACAGCAAGGGTCATCCTTGGTTCCAGGGAGCTCCATTCAGAGGTCCACCCCCTCACCCTGAGCAGGGAAGCCCTTCTTTCCCCCTCACTTGTGGTCATTTAGAGGTTCCCCCTCCACATCCTTGACCACCACTATATTCATAACTCCATTCTGGGCATTTTTACATTTGTCTTGTCATGTTGTCCTCAACCTCCCAGGCTGCAGACAGGCCCAGCAGCCACAGCAGTAACATGACCTTGAAAATGTCCTGGTATTTTTTCATTTTCCTCAGTATATCCATGGCCTGTGGTTTTACCTGATCCCAATCTGTTTTGCCACGGTACAGAAGAGGAAAGCAAAACCTAGAGAAGTGAAAAGACCCGATCAAGGTCACACAGGATGCATGTCAAGACCCAGGGTCTTCAACTCCCAGTTCAGTGATGACCAGAGTCCCTCTACAGGTATGAGCCTCTGAGATTACACATAGAGGCAATCTCTGATCATAACACACTCAGTCAATCTGGACATCCTGGCTTCTCCTAGAGTGTTGAGGAGACCACTGGGTGTTGGGGCCAAGAGGTAGCCTCTAGGAGGTGGGATGCATAGAACTAGAGAACCCCTGGAGGGCAAATGTGGAGACTGGAAACCCAAGGGGAGCTGGAACATAGGGTCATTTTGCCAAGATAATAAACCAAGAAGAGGCAAATCCTGTAGTTTTGCCAATATGGTGTCCAAGTCACTTTGGAGGAAATGGGAGCAGAAGCTGGATTGTGAATTGAAGAAACAAATACACAATTATCCAGAGTGCAGAATTCTTCAGGATGAAATCTGTAGGACAATGAGCTGGTTGGAGCAGCTCATCAGTGACTGTCACACTCTGACTACGGAGCTGGCCAGCCCCACGCTTCTTACCATGGAAATGGACCTTCGTCGCCTGCCACAACCTGCTCTTGCTTGTGAAAGGCAGAGGTCAGGAACTTCAGGCAATGCTAAATTCCTGAGAGAGGGATAAAGCCTCACCAGCATTCATGAGGTCAAGAAAACTTTCAGTATTCCTTGTGAAGCATCTTCCTTCAAATTGTTTCTGGCCTCTTTCCATGCAGGTCATAGGGAATACTCCAGCAAGAGATGAACATAATTCAGTAAAGCTTTATTGAGTAACTACTGTGTGACAGGCATTGTGTCTGAGGGTGAGGGTATGCACTTTAGATGGTGGTAGTGTAGTGTTAAAGAAGGCCTCCAAAAAATGTGAGACCTGAATTTTTTTTTTTGAAAAAAATTTATAGGCCAGGCATGGTGGCTCATGCCTATAATCTCAGCACTTTGGGAGGCCGAGGTGGGTAGATCATCTGAGGTCAGGAGTTTGAGAACAGCCTGGCCAACATAGTGAAACCCCATCTCTACTAAAAATACAAAAACTTAGCTTGGCATGGTGGCACATGCCTGTAGTCCCAGCTACTCAGGAGGCTGAAGCAAGAGAATCTCTTGAATCTGGGAGGTGGAGATTCCAGTGAGCCGAGATCGCGCCACTGCACTCCAGCCTGGGTGACAGAGTGAGACACTGTCTCAAAAAAAAAAAAAAATTATATTAGTTTGGTTTTCTTTTATAGAAAATATACATGGTCATTGTACAAAATTGAGAAAATATAGGGAGGCATAAATAAGAAAATTAAAATTGCCCTATCATTCTGTACCTAGTTTTATATTTTATTATTGGTACTTAATAGTCTTTTATGAACCAGTGTATCTTATTATTGTTACTTAATCTTCTTCTGTGTCATTACAAACTTAAATATTACTCAAAAATGGCATGAATATATGCATGGTATTTTATTGCATAGATATACCAAAAGTTGTATTTAATCACTCTGCTATTCACATCAGTCCATTTATGTTGCTCTAACTTTTCTCTATTGTAGGTTGAACTGAGATTAGCCAGGCAAAGACAGGCACAGGGGTATCCAGGCAAAGAACAAGAGACCTGCACTTGTTTTTGATGTAAAATGGATATATTGAAATATTGCAATAATAATAAAATAGTAATAGTAATAATAGTAGATAGCACTTAACACAGCACTTTTTATGAACCAGTAATGTTCTCTGCCTTTCATAGATATTAATGCATTTAATCCTCACAGTGGCCCTCTGAGGTAAGTGCTGTAACTATCCCCTTTCACACACGAAGAAACTGAAGCACAGAGAGGTACGTAACCTATGGGAAAACACACAGCTGACATACAACAGATTTGAAGCTGAAGCCAAGAAGTCTGGCTCTAGAGCATGAATAAATCACAAAAGGGAAGTGTGCTGTATTATAAATTTATGTTAAAAGCACAACAGCCAAAGTTTCTGTTATTCTAATGTAAAATGTCTTTTCTGTTTTGCATTTTGCATGTCTTTGAACAGCAAGATCCATGGATTTCCTCTTTTCCTTAGAAAATGTGGGGAATTACAGGCCAGGCTTGGTGGCTCACACCTATAATCCCAGCACTTTGGGAGGCCAAGGCAGGCGGATCACTTGAGGTCACGAGTTCAAGACCAGCCTGGCCAACATGGTGAAACCCTGTCTCTACAAAAAATATAAAAATTAGCCAGGCGTGGTGGTGCACGCCTGTAATCCCAGCTACTCAGGAGGCTGAGGTGGGAGAATCACTTGAACCCGGGGAGAGGGGTAGGTGGGATCGGAGGTTGCAGTGAACCGAGATTGAGCCACTGCACTGCAGCCTGGGCGACACAGTGAGACTCCATCCAAAAAAAAAGAAAAAGAAAAAGTAAAGAAAATTTGGGGAATGATGTAGTGTTTTTCCTTAATTGTTCTAAATATTAATCCCTGCAGCTGTCATGGGATGTGCCCACTTTTGTAGTATTACACTCTGCCTTGTGGCTTACAAGAAGGGGAAACTGTGCTCTACCAAGTCAACACCTCCTTCATTAAAAGCAGGGAAGAAAGCTGCACATTTAAGGAACCACAGGTAGTGCAAATAGGCTGTCTTGGTTTTCAGGAAGTCTCAACTTGGCAAGCCACAAGGCCAAAGAGGTAGACAGGGGTCAGGTTACAGAGAAGCTTCCATTTCATGCCAGAAGCAATGTAGAATGTTTGCAAGATTTTAAAAGGAGAGAAACAGAGACTGATTTGAGCTTTAGCAAAATTATGTTGGATGCTGTGTGGTGGGATAGATTAAAAAGAGACAAAACTAGGCCAGGCGTGGTGACTCACTCCTATAATCAATCCCAGCACTTTGGGAGGCCGAAGCAGGCAGATCACTTGAGGCCAGGAGTTCAAGACCAGCCTGGCCAACATGGTGAAACCCCATCTCCACGAAAAATACAAAAAAATTAGCAGGGCATGGTGGCACATGCCTGTAATCACAGCTGCTAGGAAGGCTGAGGCACAAGAATTGCTTGAGCCTGGGAGGCCAAGGTTGCGGTGAGCCAAGATCGAGTCACTGCACTCCAGCCTGGGCCACAGAATGAGACCTTGTCTTGGAAGAAAAGAAAGAAAGAAAGAAAGAAAGAAAGAAAGAAAGAAAGAAAGAAAGAAAGAAAGAAAGAAAGAAAGAAAGAAAGAAAGAAAGAAAGAAAGAAAGAAAGAAAGAAAGAAAGAAAGAAAGAAAGAAAGAAAGAAAGAAGGAAGGAAGGAAGGAAGGAAGGAAGGAAGGAAGGAAGGAAGGAAGGAAGGAAGGAAGGAAGGGAGAGAGAGAGAAAGAGAGAAAGAAAGGAAAGAAAGAAAGAAAGAAAGAAAGAAAAAGAAAGAAAGAGAGAGAAAGGAAGGAGGGAGGGAGGGAGGGAAGGAGGGAGGGAAGGGAGTTGCTAAGACCATCTTCTAGTTGTCATGGTGAGAAACCATAAGAACCTGACCTAAGACAGAGGCAGTGGGAATGGTGAGAGACAGATGCACGTAAAATTGAATGTAGACTAGAGTTGGTGATTGAATAGGTATAGGAAATGATAGAGAAAGAGGAGACAAGGGTGACTCTCAACTTTCCGGCTTGGAATATTGATAGGAAGAGGCACTTTTTATTGCATAGAGAATATGGAAGAAGGGGCAAGGGACCGGGAGAGGGATCAGATCCAGTACCAAGACATACGCCCTGACCTACTGCACACATGCAAGAAATGGCTAGAGAAAATAACAAGGACTCAGGACAGGAAACAAAGGGCTGGCTGCAGAAAGAAGGGGCTGTGTCAATGAGACATTGTCTGTCTAAGATACTAGACAGGGGACTCCAGGCTGCTGCTTCTGCCTGCATGAAAGGTGGGGCCCACACCTGCTGCAACCTGACCACGCAGACCACATATGAGGAAAGGAGGCCAAAGCTGGGCCAAAGAGGGTGTCATCATCAGTGAACGCATCCCTGGGGTGCCTGCTGCCAAAGGAGATAGCAGAGGGTGACACTTGGGGAAGTGGGGCCTCGGGGCCAGAATCTGAAGGAAAGCAATGCGCCGCACTAGAGAGCACGGGCAGCAGCACGCAGTGGGGAGGCAAGCTGAGCAGTGCAAGGCAAAGACGCCGCAGAGGACAAACTGCCCAGCCAGGATTCCCCGCACTGCGGACTGGGACGCTCTGCTGGACTGAGGTGGGGCCTCGCAGAGGCTGAAATGAGCCAGAACGCTGGGACACAAATCAAATCCCTCCATGCTGAAGGGTCCATGGTGTTGACTGCTGGCTACTTTCTGTCACCACCACCTAAGGAATCTTGGGTGGTCAGTTTCCCAAAGATCAAGACTGTGACACCATGGTCTTTCTTTCTCTCTTTCTTTCTTTTTTCTTTTTCTCTCTCTTTCTTTCTTTTGCTTTCTTTCTTTTTTCTTCCTTTCTCTCTTTCTTCTTTCTTTCTCTCTCTTTCTTTCTTCTTTCTTTCTCTTTCTCCTTTCTTTCTCTTTCTTTCTTTCCTTCCTTCCTTTCTTTTTAAAGCAAATCATAACCTTTTAGATCAAGTTACTGAAAACTTCTTTATATAAGTTTACATTTCTCTTTCTAATTGCATCTTTATCACGACACTCAATTCTATTTTTTTTTTTTTTTTTTGAAACAGAGTCTCGCTCTATCACCCAGGCTGGTCGCAGTGGTGCGATCTTGGCTCACTACAACCTCCCAGGTTCTGGTGATTCTCCTGCCTCAGCCTCCCAAGTACCTGGGACTACAAGCATGTGCCAACACGCCTGGCTAATTTTTTGTATTTTTAGTAGAGATGGGTTTCACCACGTTGGCCAGGCTGGTCTCAAACTCCTGGCCTCAGGTGATCCACCCACCTCGGCCTCCAAAAGTGCTGGGATTGCAGGCGTGAACCACCATGCCCCACTTCAATTCTCATTTTATTTAAAGATTCTTCCTTGGCTATGGAGACCCATCACACTTCTGACTCTCTCTCCTGATTCTGTGTGTGTGTGTGTGTGTATGTGTGTGTTTGTTTTATTTTAAGTTCAGGGATGCACATGCAGGTTTGTTACATACGTAAACTTGTGTCATGGGGGTTTGGTGTACAAGTGATTTCATCACCCAGGTATTAAGTCTAGTACCCATTAGTTATTTTTCCTGATTCTCTCCCCGTTTCCACTCACCATGGCCTTTCTTATCCTACCTTTCCCATTAGTATTTCAACTCCATAGTGAGAGTTCAGGCATAACACATATTGTTAGTCAAATCAGTGATTTATTTATTCATCAAATAGCTATTATGCTTCACTATATGTCAAGCATTGTGATTATCACTGGAGATACACTGGTAGCTAACACAGATAGTGGAATATAAAACTGACCAATTCCATCCACATGACCATGGGTACGTCATTTCAACTGGGAACATCAATTTACCACCTAGGAAATGTCTAAGACCCTCCCAACTCAACCCCGTCCTACATCTCCCTTATATTATTCATTCAATGTATATAAATTAAGCACATGCTGTGCATGTAACTATATTTCAATCCAAGCAAAACACATGGCAAAGGGATAGTTCCTGGTTTGGGGATTGATAGAGAAAGTCTTACAAATATATAAACACTGAGATAGAATTATATATTCAATAAATCATCTTTATTATAAAGAACACAATAATAAGAGATAGAGACTAGGTCACGAGGCTCATCATGTTAAAATCATCATGTGCTAGGATTTGGTTTAAATCAACCAACAAGACATGGTCTGGAGTTGGTTTACAATCTGAGAAGACACTCTAAAAAATCTACCATTATAGGAGTGTTGTGAGGATCAAACATAATAAGTTGTGGTACAGGACGTGTAGCGTGTGGTACCTAGAGTCAGACTACCTGGATTTGAATCCCTGCTCTGCTAGTCATCAGCTTTACGGCCTTCGGAAAATTGCTTAACCTCTATTTACTTTGGTTTCTTCACCTATTCAACTGAGAAAGTATACTGGTAACTAAATCATAGGGTTGTTTTGAAGACAGTTCAAACGTGAATCCCTATTATGGAAATCAGCACATGGTGATCACTCAATAAAAATTACATATTGTGAACTAAAATTTGTGTAGTTGCTAATCTATCATTAGCGCGAAATAAAAATTTGTTTCCAAACTCCCACATTGCCTTTATTAAACTATAAATTTCTTGAGAAAAAGAAACTAAAATAAAATCAACAGGGCATGGTCTAGATTTTTGAAGAGCAAATTACATAGATAACTAATTATAACACACGGTGCTGTAATGACAGAGATAGAAGATGTCCCTTATCAGAACACTGACTGATTCAGCAGTTTCCATTTCCTTTTCTCACTCTCCACAACTCACAGAAGCCAGCTCTCAGAAATGGAATCACGAGTATGGAGGGGGTTCCCCTAAGAAGTGAGTGAGGGAATGCAATTCTGGGTATCACTGAGAGCTGGGAGGCAGAGGGTGGGGTGAGAAGGAGGCATTGCCTGTGATGTAGGTTTCTAATGATACAAGTGGCAGAGATACCTTTATTTGGAATTGGTAGCAATAGGGGAAGATACATGGATGCCAAAGCTCCGGTGAAACCTACCACGGCCCCTGATCTTGCTTCTGCTTCTCCTCCCTCAAGACTGGCACTAGCCATCATTGGGGTGGGAAGGAAACAGAGCCCATGTGTATTAAAAGACCTAAGTCTACAGACACTTAGAAAGGACAGAATTCCAAAGGCATGGTCGCACTTGGCTTCTGTCCTCTGTTATTCTCCAGCATCAAATGTGTCAACTCTAACCCCTTTGGGGGGAATACAAGGCCTGTCCTGGTTTGGTCCCAATTTAGCTTTATCATCCATATTCACCCCCACTGCTCTGCAGCTCCACTGAAGCACCCCCTCTTTCCTCTGAACCCACAATGTCACACTCAGGACTCTGCCTCAGCTGGGCACTCATCTATAGATGCCTAAATCCCGGGCAGTTATCCAGACACAACTAAAGTTCCATCCCTTCCATGAAGCCTTCCCCAACCCTCTGGTGGAAGGTCACTTCTTCCCCTCGTGGGATTCTGAGCTTTCATTTCTTTTTCTACTAGGAGTCCTAGCACTTTCGGCTAAATGCTACAATTACCTGTTCATACACTCTACCTGCCCCCACGAGATCAGGGGCATCTCAGAAACAAAGATCATTAAAACCAACTAAATCTATTTCTCATTATAAAATGAGGTATGCTGATTGATTGTGAAAGAATAAAATAACAAAGTATGGAAAAGAAAAAAAAGCATATAATCTGGCTGAGAAGGTAGAGACCCTTCCACACCACTGAAATTATGTATTGAAAAGAATAAGTAAAAAACTGCTTCAATTTGGCATGATTTATGTAAGTATAGTATAGGATCCTTAAAATGGTTCAAAGAAATGGGAAATCAAGACTTCATTTTGGCCAAAACCATTGAACAGAAACTTCAGCATATTTATCAATAATTTCTTTCAGATTAAACAACTGACAACAACCTATTTTTCAACCAGTGATGTTGGAAATGTTTTTTTAAAAATTAGTTTATAAATTTGTGGGCTGACCAAGAAGGTAATAAAGTCTAACTAAGTAAAATGAGAAAAATTCAGAAAAAGAAAAAAATAAGAAAATAAATCACCCAGGGACCTATCACACAAATATAAGAACTATTCATTCTTTAAGGCATGTATTTCCAAGCCTTTGTATTTTTTTCCATGCTTAGGGTTGGCAAGGAATATATATATATTTGTACAAATATATATGTGTATATGTACAAATACATGTATATATAGTACAAATATATATATATATATTTGTACAATTCTTCAGACTTTGTAGAATTTGTATAATGTCGTATCTTGCTTTTTTTAACCACTGATGTTATAAGCATATTTATGCCACTTCATTCATTTTAGAGACTTAATAATAAATGATCTAGTGGATAATTTATCATTCCCTGATGGAGAAAAATTTAGCTTTGTTTATTTTAGAGTTATAAACGATGCTGGGTCAGGTATCTTTATGTTTGAAGATGGCTCCATATTTGGGTTGTTTCCACAGAACTCTTTCCTAGAAATGCTTTTTCTAGGTTAATGGCTACAGATATTTCTAGGCACCTGACATATTGACACCCACCTCTAAAGTATTTTTATGATCCACAACTAGCGTTTAACACAGCGCCCTAGTCACTACATGACTAATAAATAGACAAATGACTGAAACATGACCTCATGCTTTCTATTCCTCCAGCTTTCATTCAGTTCTTTGCCTCTGGGAGGAGGAAGGGTTGTGCAGCCCTCCACAGCATCAGCCCATCAACCCTATCCCTGTGGTTATAGCAGCTGAGGAAGCAGAATTGCAGCTCTGTGGGAAGGAATGGGGCTGGAGAGTTCATGCACAGACCAGTTCTTATGAGAAGGGACTGACTAAGAATAGCCTTGGGTTGACATATACCCCTCTTCACACTCACAGGAGAAACCATTTCCCTATGAAACTATAACAAGTCATGAGTTGAGAGCTGAGAGTTAGAGAATAGCTCAAAGATGCTATTCTTGGATATCCTGAGCCCCTGTGGTCACCAGGGACCCTGAGTTGTGCAACTTAGCATGACAGCATCACTACGCTTAAAAATTTCCCTCCTCACCCCCAGATTCCATTTCCCCATCCGCCAGGGCTGCCTATAAAGAGGAGAGCTGGTTTCAGACTTCAGAAGGACACGGGCAGCAGACAGTGGTCAGTCCTTTCTTGGCTCTGCTGACACTCGAGCCCACATTCCGTCACCTGCTCAGAATCATGCAGGTCTCCACTGCTGCCCTTGCTGTCCTCCTCTGCACCATGGCTCTCTGCAACCAGTTCTCTGCATCACGTGAGTCTGAGTTTCGTTGTGGGTATCACCACTCTCTGGCCATGGTTAGACCACATCAATCTTTTCTTGTGGCCTAAAAGCCCCCAAGAGAAAAGAGAACTTCTTAAAGGGCTGCCAAACATCTTGGTCTTTCTCTTTAAGACTTTTATTTTTATCTCTAGAAGGGGTCTTAGCCCCCTAGTCTCCAGGTATGAGAATCTAGGCAGGGGCAGGGGAGTTACAGTCCCTTTTACAGATAGAAAAACAGGGTTCGAAACGAATCAGTTAGCAAGAGGCAGAATCCAGGGCTGCTTACTTCCCAGTGGGGTATGTTGTTCACTCTCCAGCTCACTCTAGGTCTCCCAGGAGCTCTGTCCCTTGGATGTCTTATGAGAGATGTCCAAGGCTTCTCTTGGGTTGGGGTATGACTTCTTGAACCAGACAAAATTCCCTGAAGAGAACTGAGATAAGAGAACAGTCCGTTCAGGTATCTGGATCACACAGAGAAACAGAGAACCCACTATGAAGAGTCAAGGAGAAAGAAGGATACAGACAGAAACAAAGAGACATTTCTCAGCAAAAATGCCCAAATGCCTTCCAGTCACTTGGTCTGAGCAAGCCTGCCTTCCTCAACTGCTCGGGGATCAGAAGCTGCCTGGCCTTTTCTTCTGAGCTGTGACTCGGGCTTATTCTCTTCCTTTCTCCACAGTTGCTGCTGACACGCCGACCGCCTGCTGCTTCAGCTACACCTCCCGGCAGATTCCACAGAATTTCATAGCTGACTACTTTGAGACGAGCAGCCAGTGCTCCAAGCCCGGTGTCATGTAAGTGCCAGTCTTCCTGCTCACCTCTATGGAGGTAGGGAGGGTCAGGGTTGGGGCAGAGACAGGCCAGAAGGCCATCCTGGAAAGGCCCAGCCTTCAGGAGCCTATCGGGGATACAGGACGCAGGGCTCCGAGGTGTGACCTGACTTGGAGCTGGAGTGAGGCATGTGTTACAGAGTCAGGAAGGGCTGCCCCAGCCCAGAGGAAAGGGACAGGAAGAAGGAGGCAGCGGGACACTCTGAGGGCCACCCCTACTGAGTCACTGAGAGAAGCTCTCTAGACAGAGATAGGCAGGGGGCCCCTGAAAGAGGAGCAAGCCCTGAGCTGCCCAGGACAGAGAGCAGAATGGTGGGGCCATGGTGGGCCCAGGATTCCCCTGCTGGATTCCCCAGTGCTTAACTCTTCCTCCCTTCTCCACAGCTTCCTAACCAAGCGAAGCCGGCAGGTCTGTGCTGACCCCAGTGAGGAGTGGGTCCAGAAATATGTCAGCGACCTGGAGCTGAGTGCCTGAGGGGTCCAGAAGCTTCGAGGCCCAGCGACCTCGGTGGGCCCAGTGGGGAGGAGCAGGAGCCTGAGCCTTGGGAACATGCGTGTGACCTCCACAGCTACCTCTTCTATGGACTGGTTGTTGCCAAACAGCCACACTGTGGGACTCTTCTTAACTTAAATTTTAATTTATTTATACTATTTAGTTTTTGTAATTTATTTTCGATTTCACAGTGTGTTTGTGATTGTTTGCTCTGAGAGTTCCCCTGTCCCCTCCCCCTTCCCTCACACCGCGTCTGGTGACAACCGAGTGGCTGTCATCAGCCTGTGTAGGCAGTCATGGCACCAAAGCCACCAGACTGACAAATGTGTATCGGATGCTTTTGTTCAGGGCTGTGATCGGCCTGGGGAAATAATAAAGATGCTCTTTTAAAAGGTAAACCAGTATTGAGTTTGGTTTTGTTTTCCTGGCAAATCAAAATCACTGGTTAAGAGGAATCATAGGCAAAGATTAGGAAGAGGTGAAATGGAGGGAAATTGGGAGAGATGGGGAGGGCTACCACAGAGTTATCCACTTTACAACGGAGACACAGTTCTGGAACATTGAAACTACGAATATGTTATAACTCAAATCATAACATGCATGCTCTAGGAGAATTCACTACTCGAATGGCCACCATTAAGCAGAGTATTCTGTAGGGCATATTCATGATGAATCAAGCTCTTAATAGCAATTATTTACATTGTTGAGGCTTACTCCTCCTACTGAGTGCTTTTTATACATTGCTCATTTAATCTTACCAATGCAATAGTACAGCTTAGGTACTATTAATACCTCCACTTGACAGAAAAGTAACCCAGGGCTCAGAAAGGTTAGACAACTTGGCTGAGGTTACACAGCACGTAAACGGTCAATTGTGTTCCAAAACTGGACTTTTATTGAACTACAGACTATGCTGTTAACCATTGACCAAGTTATTTCCCAAAGTATGACCCGCCTATACTCAAATCTTACCCCATTCTTTAACAGATGATACTTTATCCATTGCAACCACTTCCTGTCAGGATTCTGAGTTGACATAGAGTGTTTGAGCAGTGATTGTTGAAGCCACTTAAATAGGATCTTTAAGTGTAGACCTGGGAACTGATATTTTTATCAAGCTCATGAGGTGTTCCATAGCATGTTAATGACTGAGAGCCACTGTCAATAGAATTCACCACTGTTTTCTAAATGTGGTAAGTCTCTGCATATGGCAACAGGTGTATTATACATTATTTCTCTAGAATCTACACTCTACAAAATAAATAGCTAATGTTAGAGAAGGAAAAGACAATCAGCTTCTGTGTGGAGCAGGATGCTGTCTATAGGTTTACTGTGAAAGGTAAGTTATTTAATAGATGGATTGTTTGCATTATCTGTACAAGAAATCCATACTAAGCTAGGGTCCTTTTTGCAGAAGAAAGAGAAATTCAAAATATTTGTGTGAAAACCAAACGTGTTAATTTTTACGAGCTATGCTTATTTCATTTTGTTTCAAATAATCTATTTTTTGTGTCCAAACATGTTTAGAATTGTAGTGTTCCAACTCTTTAAAGCATAAACACTACTACTTAGCAAATATTAAAATGCATATACTATGTGAACTACATCCCATTTGACCTGATCCCATTTCTAGGAATCTGCTTCATAGAAACACTGCCAAAAGATAAGATATGTAGACATGAGGATATTCTTTGCAGTGTGGTTGGCAAACAGCAAAGAAATGCAAACAGTCATCAGTAGGGGATTAATCAGTAGAGGATTAAGATGTCCATCAGTGGAATATTCTGAAGTCAGTAAAAAAAAAGTAGCACACATCTATAACTGTGGAAAGTGTCCATAATATTATATGTAAAAGGCAGACCTAATTACATTCAGTATATGCATATATATTCTCTACATATGCTATGGAACTATCTGTAAAGTATATTATTTTGTTTTATTTTTAAATGCCATATATACATATATATTTACATAGGCAAATATTTGGAAAGATACACATCAAATAGCTAACTGATTTCTTTGAGGAAATGAGGCTTTTTTTTTTTTTAGGAATGAGGGTTTTTCCTTTTTATATTCTGCACTTTTAAAACTTTGAGTTATTTTCTGATTAGCTTGCATAGCTTACCTCTCTGGTCTCATCTTACCCTATTCTTTGATGGGTGATATTCCATCCATCACAACCACTTTCTGGTAGGGATTCTGAGTTGATGCAGAGAGGATAGAGCTCAACCTGGCTTATACTGTTTTGATGCCATGATGGCTTTCATATAATGAGGGTACAGCAACAAACACGTCTTTTTGACAAGGCTGTTTCTCTCTCTCTCTCTCTCTCTCACACACACACACGCACACACACACACACACACACACACACACACACAAGCAGCTTTTGTCCCCATAGACGCAGTGAAGGTGTCATCATTCCTTCTTTATTGGCTTTCAGGAAAAAATATAGGGGCATACAATATTTGCCTGCACTGAATTGTTTCTCAAGGTCTAGAAACCCAAAGCTAAACGAAGTTTAATCATGCCCAACATTCCCTAAATACAAGTGTTATGAAAAAACAGTAAGTTGAACAAAGACCCCTGATAGGGAACTGGAGAATGGGTACTGCATTTTTAAGCAGTTCAGCTGATCTGGCAGTCCCTAGCTCTCCTCCCTGGGAGAATGTCCTCTATGGACAATCTGAGATGTGCAATGTGGAGGATCTGCTTTCTGGAGGCTGCTGACTTCCTGTCTGTGTGAGTTAGCCTGAGGTTGCCTTAGGTATTGTGCAATCAGCAACTTTTTGGAACCAGTCTTATGGTTTCTTTGGCAATGTGACTCCCTTCTAATGTCTGTAGGCTACTATTTGCTTCTGATCAATTCCATGGGCCAGGTAGCCAGAAGCAGACAGGTTGTCAGTTACATAGTTTGCATTTGCATTTTAACTGGGGTTGGGGATGTGCATTTTCTTTTTTCTTTTTTTTTTTGAGATGGAGTCTCCCACTATCACCCAGGCTAGAGTGCAGTGGCGTGATCGCGGCTCACTGTAACCTCCGCCTTCCGGGTTCAAGCGATTCTCCTGCCTCAGCCTCCCAAGTAGCTGAATTACAGGTGCCCGCCACCACACCCAGCTAAGTTTTTATATTTTTAGTAGAGATAGGGTTTCACCATGTTGGCCAGGCTGGCCTCTAACTCCTGACCTCATGATCCGCCAGCATTGGCCTCCCAAAGTGCTGAGCTTACAGGCGTGAGCCACTGCGCCCAGCTGGGGATGTGCACTTTCTAGCACAGACTGCACTACCATTGTCACCCCGACCTCCCAGCCCCTGGTGAGAGACCTCTGCCTGCATCTTGGCCCATGTGGAGGTGATGAATATTTGACGCTTGGCCTCATTATGTCTCTCATCTTCCTGTCTCTGCTCATGCTAACTTTATCTTAGAGTAGAAAATCCTGCATTTACAGCCCTTTCAGTCTTCAGATTACTGGATTCTCAGTCAACAGGCTGGAAGGGCCTTTTTAGCAAGTCGCATTTCTTCTTTTTCAATTTCAGATGAGCCCATTTCAAAGTAGCCTAAACTCTTTCTTAAAGGACCTTACTGATATAATACACAGCAACTAAATTCCAATATTCAGAATCTTTTCTAACAAATTCCTTAATGCTGCAGCCTTGGTATTTGGCACAGGCTTTTAGCACCAAAATAAGACAGACCATAGTTCAACCAGCACGTGCAATACCTTGTAATGGGTATGGCAAAAGGTAGTGCCCAGACAGGACAGCATGGTGAATATCACCTGGGAACTTGGGAGAAATGCATATTCTGAGCCCCACTTCCTTTCTTAATAGACTAGGGCCCAGCAACCTGTGT